>NC_000010.11:102415822-102718852 GCF_000001405.40 Homo sapiens | reverse complement strand
AGACAGGCACAGGCCTGTAATCCCAGCACTTTGGGAGGCCAGGAGTTCAAGTTCAAGAAAGGAGGCAGAAGGGACAGTGTTGGGGAAGGAAGAGCAGTGGTCAATTTTTAGATTTTTCGTTAAGGCGGAAGAGACATCAGGAAGCTGATATGCTGGAGGTACGCCATTTCCTAAGAGGAAAGACCAGGAACAAGAGGAGAGGCTCAATATGGAGTATCCACAGCGCCCTGGCCTGGCCCCGATGCTTCTCTGAAGCGGCAATCTCCAGAGAAGTCAGAAGGCAGACAGAAAGAGTCCACTGCCAAAACAGACTTCCCCTCTCCCTGCCACCTGGCCTCCTGCAGGCTGCTTCAAAGACCAAAGGCATTTATCTCAGTCCCAGCTGAAGCAAGAGTGGGAGGAGGGGAAAGAGTTCACTTTCCCATGCTCTACATGAACCTAAAAGGAGTCAGCTTGGCTGGCTGAACACACGCTGCCTTGGCTTACAGAGCCCCAGGCTCATACATGCTGGAGACAGCCTGACTGAGCAAAATGCTATGCCTCCCCCTCAGCACACACATACACACAGAGCCAGACCTTCTCTGACATCTCTGTTCACCTTAACACAACATTGCAAAGTCCTCTGCTTCTCAGAATGGAGGGACTATCATCAAGGGGTAATCTAAACATTTGCTAATTATGCAAGAGCCTTTGCCTTCTTAATTGAAGTCAGGATAGAAACTGCAGAGTCCCTGTCTTAAATAAAACATAAAGCCAAAACAAAAACAAAACAAAAAAAACACTAAACGATCTGTCTGGAACATTTCCCCCCACACACCCACTGTCCCCCAATGGGCACTCTTCCCCGACTCCTTCAGGACAAACTCAAATCCTTCTGTGATATATACTCCTACAGCATCCTGTCCTTTGCAGCATGCTGGGCGTTTGTGATTGTCACCTTCTTGTCATTGACTGTGATTTGTGTAAAGTCTGCCTCCCCTGACAGACTGTAAGGCTCACAAGCATCGGGATCATGTCTGTGATGTTTACTGCTACATGTTTCACATGCCCTCGAAGAATATTTACTGCTTACCTGAAATGCATTCCAACTTCTTCTTGGGTCTCTTGGCATCAAGGATGTCACCTCTTTTAAGTCAAACTTAGAACCTGCCTAGGTTACAGAATTAAGAGCACGCTTTCTTTCATGAAGTTGCAAAACTGTCTACCTTGCCTGTACTAAGTCATACTGGTCTCTAAATTTTCTTCTACAGTTACTGTCCCTCCTCCCACACAAGCCACATCTAGTCTTCCCTAAAAAGGTCATCATCATGTCCAGGGTAGCCCCACTTCTGTATGGTCCCACTACTAGGAACAAAGTAGGAGTAAAAATCAGACCAGTGATTTAATGATATCTCCCTCCTAGGATTAGAGAATGTCACAGCTTGAGGCCGGGCGCAGTGGCTCACGCCTGTAATCCCAGCAATTTAGGAGGCCGAGGCGGACGGATCACGAGGTCAGATCGAGACCATCCTGGCTAACCCTGTGAAACTCTGTCTCTACTAAAAATACAAAAAATTAGCCAGGCGTGGTGGCACGCACCTGTAATCCTAGCTACTCAGGAAGCTGAGGAAGGAGGATCGCTTGAACCCGGGAGGCGGAGGTTGTAGTGAGCCAAGATCGCACCACTGCACTCCAGTCTGGGTGACAGAGCGAGACTCCGTCTCCACAAAAAAAAAAAAAAAAAAAAAAGAGAGAGAGAATGTCATAGCCTGAAGACATGTGATCTAAGATCTCAGTTTACAGAAGAGGAAACTGAAGCCTAGAAAGGTGCACATGGATTGGGCCACCACAGTGGGCATTTTTGATACACTTGGCCCTGCACTAAGCGCTTGCAGCAGATATAAACACGAACAATCAACAGATCCAGTCCTCAAAGATTGGACAACAGCTAAGGCCTTACTTCCCCAAGGTCCTCTATCCACTATAGCCTACTTGCCAACTCCGAGGCCTGGCACGGTGGCTCACACCTGTAATCCCAACACTTTGAGAGCCCAAAGCAGAGAGATCACCTGAGGTTGAGAGTTCAAGACCAGCCTGACCAACATGGAGAAACCCCCGTCTCTACTAAAAATAAAAAATTAGCCAGGCGTGGTGGTGCATACCTGTAATCCCAGCTACTTGGGAGGCTAAGGCAGGAGAATCGTTTGAACCCGAGAGGTGGAGGTTGTGATGAGCCGAGATCGCACCGTTGCACTCCAGCCTGGGCAATAAGAGTGAAACTCCATCTCAAAAAAAAAAAAAAAAAAAAAAAGGAAAGAAAGAGAGGGAAACAAAGAGAAAAAAAAAGTAATAGACTACTGCCACCTCTGACGTAATGCTCATCCTTCCCAGAAAGAGCAGATTTTCTCTGGCAAATGGTATCAGAGATCAGAAAACAAGCTTCCAAATTCCTTCTGAGGTATCCTCTTACAAGCAGAAGTGCACAAGATTACTGTTTGTAGCCCCAGGTAGGGAGAAAAACGAAACATCATCGCTGGTACTCACATCAGAGGAAGATCAAGGTAGCCAAAGACCCCAGAAGGTCAGACACAAAGACCACTGAGACAGGCAAGGATTAAGGTCAAGGCTGCCTAGAGCAAGCTGGAAAATGAGGGTAATAATTACAAGAGCAGGCCCAGGTATAGGCTTATGGGTACTCGTCTGACTCCAAGGCAAGTGGGCTGTTAGGCACCAGACAACTTAGAAAGAGCAACCTCCCTTGCCTTTTTCACAAAAGGGCCAACAGTCTGGAGATGAGTAGATTATAGGGGTTTGTGCTCCTGTATCACCTCCATTCATCACCTCCTTAGTCAAGGCTCTGAACTGCTTTTTCTCTCCAAGGATCTGAAGCAGGTATGCAAGCAGCAGATGTTGATTTTTGTTTTCATTTTTTTTTTTTTTTTTGAGGCAGGGTCTTGCTCTTTCACCCAGGCTGGAGTACAGTGATGTGATAATAGCTCCTGGGCTCAAGCAATCCTCCAGCCTCAACCTCCCGAGTAGCTAGGACTACAAGTGCGCCACGGAACCTGGCTAATTAAAAAAAATTTTTTTTTGTAGAGGCAGGGTCCTACTGTGTTGCCCGGGCTGGTCTCCAACTCCTGGGCTCAAGCCTTCCTCCCCTTCCACCTCTCAAAGTGCTGGGATTATAGGCATGAGCCACTGCGCCTGGCCGCAATTACCAATTTCTAGGGGTTGTGAAAATGAAATTTGGTATGAAATGTATTTCATTAGGAAGGATGTAATTTCCATACGGGCTGATTTTGTCCACTGCTGTGTCTCCAGCGTCTAGAACAGGGCCTAGCACGTTTGTGTAAACTCTTCTTATAGTCCTCTGCATCGGGAAAGGGATGGGAGGTAGCACTTCCCAACCCACCCCAGTGTCCCACTTGCTCTTCCTTGGCTAAAAATGCAGGCTCATTTTTGCCTCCTCCAGGACTACAGATGGTACGCGGTCCTGTCCAAAGCAGCTTAGCAAAACCGGCCAGAGGCTGGGCACAGTGGCTCACCACTTTGGAACACCTGTAGTCTCAGCACTTTGGGAGGCCTAGGCGGGCGGATGGCTTGACCCCAGGAGTTCGAGCCCAGCCTGGGCAACATGGCGAAACTCCGTCTCTACAAAAACAAAATACAAAAAATTATCCAGGCGTGGTGGCGCCCGCCTGCAATCCCAGCTACTCGAGAGTCTGAGGCGGGAGAATCGCTTAAGCCTGTGAGGCAAAGGCTGCAGTGAGCCGAGATCGCGCCACCGCACTCCGGCCCGGGCGACAGAGCGACACCCTGTGTCAAAACAAAAACCGGGCCGATCCCCAAAACGCCTTTCACCTGTGCTTTCAGCTCACCTCAGGGCTCAGGGCCAGCCCCCAGGCTGCTTCTTGCCCTCCGACAGACGGCCTCCCCCCATCGGTACTCCCCCATCCCGGACAGCTCGTAACGCCCCAGCCGCTCGGCCTGGCACTCCTAGGCAATGGGGGTCAGAGCAGAGGGGCCCATCTGCAGCCCCAGGGCGCACTTCGCGCCACGTGGCTTCTGCAGGTGGAAGTCCAGCCCGCGCTGCAGCCCCGCCTGGGCAGTCAGGACAGCAATCTCAGCACCCACCCGAGATGTGGGGATTGGAGGTAGACAGGGCGAGCGCCATTGTCCCAAGGCCCCTTACCTGGTCCCGGGACAAATGCCACCAGTTACAGCCCGCCTTGAAAACTGGCCCGGGTGAGAGGAGGACCTGGGCTGGGGAACTGCCCCCACGCCCGCCCCACGCCCCTCCTTTTCGACCAATCCCAGGCCGGGAGGCTCCCGCCAGCCACGTGGGCAGGCTTTCTCCACTCCCTGGTCCAGGCGAGCCGGCGGCGGCCTCTGCAGCTCCCGTAGCCCGCCCACTGCGTGGGCGGGCGCCTTAGCGCACTTGCGCACTCTGGGGAAAGCGGAGCTGCACCCCGCCCCGTATTGCTGCTCAGCTCCTCAGCTGTGCGTGCGAGGGACGTCGGGGGCGGCGCCGCAGCAGTTGCCCCTGGTAACGGGGGAGGCAGCAGGAGGAGGAGGAGGAGGAGGGACTCGGCGGGAGGATGGTGAGTGTGGGGGCCTGGGCCCCCTTGGAGCCGGCCGGTTATCCCCCTCCCGTCCCCAGGCCCAGGGCGGAGCACTGCGCTTAAAGCCAAGGAGGGAATGGGACGTCGCTCAGCCTGCTATCTGGGTTGTGGACTGATTTCGGGGGTCGGCGGGGAGACCCGAGGGTGGGCCCTGGAGGGAGGCCTGGGCCTGGAGAGGAAGGCGGGGCTTGCAGCGGGTCCGAGGCTTGGGGAAGGGGCTGGCAGAGTGCGCGGCTGGCCGGGTGCGGAGCCCGGGCTCCATCATTACTCTGGGGACAGGGGTGAGGGCGGATCCCAGGAACTGCGGAGAGCAGCTTTCGCTAGCAGGCTTAGACTTCCCGGGCAATCGGTCTCGCGGCTTTGCAGTAAAGTGGGGTTCGTCTGGAGCCCGGCCAGAAGCGGAGAGAAGGCCGGCCCCATTGGCTCTGAGGTCGCCCTGGCGGTAGCAGGGGAGATGGTAGCCTAGCTCTCCTCCTTCTCGCGCTGTGCGGGCCCCTGGGGGGTAGGGAAGTAAGTCCCACGACACAAAGGGGTGCCGCTTGGAAGGGATGCCTGGTGGATTTTACGCCGTCTTGGTGTCTGCGTGGCGGGTGCGCTTCCTCAGTCCCGAATTATTTAGTTATTTGCTGAGAGTTTTGCAGGATCTGATTGTTGGTGATGACCGATTTTTCATTCAATACATAATCCATGTTGATGAAGACATATTAGCTGCTCCGTCTCTAGAATTTCCTTCGAAACCTTTTGCAGTCTCCTCTTGCGTGTGACCATACCAGGACCAAAAGATCTTAATCCTAGCTTGAGTTCTCCAAACTGAAAAGAACGAGAAGTTAAAAATGGAGATCGAACTTCAATCCGGGGCAAGGCTTTTCTCTGTCAGTCCCAATTAAAGCTTTCCCAAATTCTAAATTATGGTTGTGACAGATCTGACCGTTGACACTCTGTTTCTTGTTAATGTCTGTACAGTTAGTTGGAGGGAGTTAAAATGGAATTGAGTAATTTTAGAGCTATCAAAGAAAAATTGATTTTGAACACTTAAAGCAGGTTAGTTGGCTGCAAAGAGCCTGTCATCAAACTTATAGTCACTGCTCCAACTCTCTTCCTAGTTCCTTTCTTGACTTTTAGAAATGTTGAGCCATTTCTGTTGATTTAAGAAGTAAAAAAAAAAACAAAAAAACTAGATGCCCAGGAAAAAAAAAAATAGATGTATGTTTGGTCAGATTATCCAGTGAGTAGATTTAGAAAGGAAAAAAAAAACTCAATTGATTTTACATTGTCAGATTGTTAAAGAAGTAGGGTTATTTGATCTGAAGTTGCCAATCACATTTCACACTTGCTACACTTGCAGTTTTTTTTTAACCTCAGGCTAAACAGATTTTTACAACTGTTTCTTTTTCTTAATCATTTATACGTGAGCTGTCCTTTTAAAGTTAAAGTTTTTCTCAACAAATGAGTACAAACATAAATATTTACCCAGAAAATAGCTAGAATTGGAATGAAAAGGGCATGCCGAACCAACAGAGATTGAGATTCATCATTATGGATGAGAAGTGCATGAGAGTTGGCTAACTTTTCCCAGTTTGTTGATCAATTAAGTGTACTGTGTAATCCATGATTGTTTAATTTATAATTACAGGCCACAGTAAATTAACCACTGCCCATGTTTCCAGGTGCAAATTGGCACAGTATACAACAAATTTACAGTGTATATACAACACTGTTGTATACAACTGTTGTGTTCAATGATGAAAACAGATTTTGTTTTTCTTTTTTCCTTTTTCCTAAGATGAACAATAAGAAATTAAGACAAATTATTCCGGATTCTTTATCTGGTTTCCCAAAAACATTTTTTTTCTATCTCCACAAGCGTGAGCTGTTCTTAAAACTTGAAGTGAAACACTGAATTTAGTCAGTCGTGTGACTTAAGTGTATCCCATCTGGTATCCCATGAGCCCCCATGGTTAACTGTACAACTGAAGCGTGAACCCCAAGGTTTTTTTGGTTTTTGTTTTAAACTTCAGCTGTGACAAATACATATTTTTTTTCAAATTTGGGTAACTGTGGCAAAAACCCAAATATGGGTTTCTCTGAACATTTAGAGTCAGCTATTTTACCCCTGCTTTACAGTGCCAGGTTCTTGATGAATTACTAAAATACTAAAATGACAGTAATTTTAGCACGTAACTAACCACTTATATTTAACATATGATTCCTTCATTCAGTAATTATTTATGGAGCACTTTCTACATATATGGAGCTTGTGGTCGTTCTCAAGCATGTTCAACATTTGAAGATTGTTCCCAACAGTTACTTATGTTTTCTGGTTAGAAAATGGCCCGTGAAAAATTATTTTAAAAAAATAAACAAAACACGAGGGTAGTCTTTTCAGTGGCTGTTATGTGTCATGCTTTACATACATGACCTCATTTCATCCTCATAGCATCATCTCTTGAGATGTAAGTATTGTTCCTGTTTTCTTCTTTTTTTTTTCTTTTTTTGAGACGGAGTCTTGCTCTGTCACCCAGACTGGAGTGCAGTGGCGCGATCTCCGTTCACTGCAAGCTCCGCCTCCCGGGTTCACGCCATTCTCCTGCCTTAGCCTCCGCAGCAGATGGGACTATGGGCGCCCGCCACCACGCCCGGCTAATTTTGTGTGTGTGTGTTTTTAGTAGAGACGGGGTTTCACCATGTTAGCCAGGATGGTCTGTATCTCCTGACCTCGTGATCCGCCCGCCTCGGCCTCCCAAAGTGCCGGGATTACAGGCGTGAGCCACCGCGCCCGGCCTGTTCCTATTTTCTAGCTGAAACTGTGTGCAGTGTTATGTATATACATATATATATATAAAAACACACACACACATACATATATATACATATATATATACAGATACATATACATACATATATATATATATATACACACACACACACACACACACAGAAGCTGAATACAAGTCTGTGAAATTCTAAAGCCCATAACATTCATTTCATTAGGACTCTGGTGAAGTGGGAACCCACTCTTCCTGAGGAGATGCTCAGACTTTGTTCCTTAGGAAACATTGTTTGTATTTATTTAGGAGAGGGTGATGAGAAAGAAGACACAGTTTGGATTAAGTTCTCAATTTTGAGCTTTAAGCTGATAGGAGTTCAGTTGAAAGACGTAAAAACAAATGGAAGTCAGTTATATTTAAGCTAGTTATGGGGACCGTATGTACTTGACTGTTGGCTTCGTAATTTCAGAATTCAAATTTTAGCTGGTCCTCACAACCACATATATTTTCCATATACCAACGCATTCCTTCTCCCTCCACCACTCTGGTTTCTTTGAATGACCTAGTTTGTATTGTTTTAGGTCAGGGCACCATGCCTCTGCCAGTAGTTTAAGCTGATTTCGAGGCAGATAAAACGTCTGTAGTCCATAGCACATCTATTCATGATTTGACTGTAGAAAAGTTTGTTTAAATGTTTTGTGGTTGAGTCAGACCACTTCTGCCCACCAGGGTGTAGATAACTTGTATACACACATGCTGGTAACACACAATATACTTTTAACTGAAGTTCATGTTTCTTAAATTGTTTTATTTAATGTCACAGGAATATAAATCCTACATAGAGATCATGCCCGTTTTGCTCACTGTTGTACTTGGGGCACATTAAGGGTGTTTAATGATAATTGCGTGAATGGATATTTTGGCCAAAAAATGCACTTTAAAAATTAATGTCATTGTATTTATACTGCAAAACTCAGCCCTATGATAAATTTAACTTCTAATCGCTGTCTCCCTTCATTTGACAGTTAAAATAAAATATGGGCATATATGTATAGATGCACAGAATAGACTTATTCTGGTCTCTTTCATCCAGCCTCTTAAATCAGCTTACTTTGTACCTTTCAGGCAGAACCCTGATCTCTATAAATATCCTCTTCCCTATTTAGCAAACCCTGATAATCCTGTGATCCCATCCTCAGTAGTTGGATTAATATGATGCTGTATTATATTTGCACTTGTCTTCCCTAGACCATGCTTGAAATGCCATTTATCATTTTGCTGGAAGAAAACATTAGCTGAACTTTGCATTTCTCTGTAATTTCACTCAAAGGTGAAGTATCTGAAGTTATTATTTCCTAATAAGGAAAATTACTCATTAGAAATGTAGAAGCACTGTATTCTACACCATTAGGTTAATAAAGTTTATCTATAGTTAGAATTTTTTTTTTTTTTGAAACAGTCTAGCTCTGTGGCCCAGGCTGGAGTACACTGGTGTGATCTCGGCTCACTGCAACCTCCACCTCGCAGGTTCAAGCGATTCTCCTGCCTCAGCCTCCCAAGTAGCTGGGAATATAGGTGCCCACCACCATGCCTGGCCAATTTTTTGTATTTTTAGTAGAGGCAGGGTTTCACCATGTTGGCCAGGTTGGTCTCAAACTCCTGGCCTCAAATGATCCGCCAGCCTCAGCCTCCCGAAGTGCTGGGATTACAGGCATGAGCCACTGCACTCAGCCTTATAGTTAGAATGATTTCTTTTTCTTTCTTATCTGTGCTTTGCTCCTCTCCTTTTAAGGTGAATAAACATTATGTTTGTCTCTTTTTTTTTTTTTTTTTTTTTGAGACAGAGTCTTGCTCTGTCACCTAGCCCATAATGCAGTGGCCCGACCATAGTTCACTGCAGCCTCAAACTCTTGGGCTCAAGCCATCCTTCTGTCTCAGCCTCCTGAGTAGCTGGAACCGCAGGTGCACACCACCACACCTGGATAATTTTTTTTTTTTTTTTTTGGTAGGGATATGTGTCTCGTGTTTGTTGCCCAGGCTGATCTTGAATTCCTGGCCTTGAGCTATCCTCCTGCCTCAGCCTCCCAAAGCACTGGTATTACAGGTGTGAACCACTGTGCCTGGCCTTGTTTTTCTCTTAATTCTTTAATATCAAATGTAATGAGTGTGGAGCAAGTCTCTGCCTGAAAAAAAAAACAGTATTTTTAGTAACTTCTTTAAAAGAGACACATGAGGAAAAACCCAAAACATTAATTTTAAACTTTGAAAATATTTTATAGGCCGGGTGCAGTGGCTCACTCTTGTAATCCCAGCACTTTGGGAGGCCGTCACGGGCAGATTGCCTAAGGCCAGGAGTTTGAGACTAGCTTGGGCAACATAGTGAAACCCTGTCTCTACTAAAAATACACAAAATTAGCTGGGTGCGGTTGTACACATCTATAGTCCCAGCTACTCCGGAGGCTGAGGTGGAAGGATCACCTGAGCCTGGGAGGCTGAAGCTGTAGTGAACCATGATTTCACCACTGTACTCCAGCCTGGCATTAGGAGTGAGACCTTGTCTCAAAAAAAAAAAAAATATATATATATATATATATATAATATATGGTTTTATTTTTTGTTTTTGTTTTGAGATGGAGTTTCACTTTTGTTGTCCAGGCTGGAGTGCAGAGGCATGATCTTGGCTCACTGCAACCTCTACCTCCTGGGTTTAAGCAATTCTCCTGCCTCAGCTTCCCAAGTAGCTGGGATTACAGGCATGTGCCACCATACCCGGCTAATTTTGTATTTTTAGTAGATACGGGATTTCGCCATGTTGGCCAGGCTGGTCTCGAACTCCTGACCTCAAGTGATCCACCCACCTCGGCCTCCCAAAGTGCTGGAATTACAGGTGTGAGCCACCACACCCGGCCAAAAAAAATTTTTTTTAAAATAGGAAACAGATCTTCCTTCATAATTTCTGCACTAAGCAGAAAATGCATGAGAAGAACTTTGCCTGTGTCATTTAATGTACTAATTTGATAAATTCCAGATGTTTTATAATTTATTTTAAGAGGTAATGAGACCTCTTCTTTTCACTTACAATCAGGAACTCAGGATGAGTAGTAAAATGGGTTTTCCTCTTAGCCTTTTTATGTCACCAGTCCCCTAAGGATCTCAGAATTTTAATTTTTACTTTTCTGAAAGGTGATATTATAAATGAGTGATTGCAATATAGCTAATAGAAACCAGGGAGACTTCTTGTAAATATAGTTTTAAGAAGGAATGCTGTCAAAGTATTCAAGACCAGATGAGATAAAAACAGCAAAAAAAAAAATCTTGCCTTTGGGTGGATCGCTTGAGCTTAGGAGTTCAAGACCAGCCTGGGCAACATGGCAAAACCCCATCTCTACAAAAAATACAAAACTTAGTGGGGCGTGGTGGTGTGAGCCGGTAGTCCCAGCTACTGGAGAGGCTGAGGTGGGAGGATCGCTTGAGCCCAGGGAGTCGAAGCTGCAGTTAGCCGTGTTCACGCCACTACATTCCAGCCTAGGCCACAGAGGAAGACCCTGTCCCCCCAAAAAAAAGAAAAAGGAAAAAAAAGTCTGGCCTTTTAAAAAGCCAGACTTCTGTTTGTTTCCAATCTATTCAATCTCTGTCCCCCAAATCTTTTGGCATAGAATTTGTCTAGCTTAGACTAAACCTTCCATCTTACTGCTGGAAAAAATTGAGGCATAGAAAGGTTAATGTGGTCCTTAGCAAGTCAGTACAGATACAGTACTAGAAGTGGTAAACAAAGAGTCTCTGAGGCAGAAAGGAATTCTTAATAATTATGCATATTTGCGTATGATTGTCCAAAGATGCAGTTGTTGAGAATTATTTCTCAGAAGTATCCTTTGATCTTAGTGAACAAACTGGTTTGAATTATTGCCTGGTACAATGTGAATAACAAATACAACCATTTTGCATAATTCTAAGACTCAGTTTGAAGGAATTTCTTCTTGGGCTGGGAGATTAAATTATATGCCCTTTAAACTCTGGGATTCTTTGACTCTTGTTCTAGCCATGTGTCGTTAGAACAAGATTATCAGCTATAGCACAGAACAAATAACTTTCCTATAAAGATGTTCTTATGTTCTTAACTAAAAATCAACATGGTTTATTTATTTTTTCTTTGTTTTCTTTTTCTTTTTTCTTTTTTTTTCTTTTTGAGACAGAGTCTCACTCTGTCACCCAGGCTGGAGTGCAGTGGTACAAATACAGCTTACTGCAATCTCGACCTCCCAGGCTCTAGCAATTCTCTCACCTCAGCTTCCTGAGTAGCTGGGACCACAGGCCTGCGCCACCATGCCTGGCTTATTTGTTTTTTATTTTTTGTAGGGACAGGGTCTCACTATGTTGCCAGGGCTGGTCTTGAACTCCTGGGCTCAAGCAGCCCTCCTGCCTTGGCCTCCCAAAGTGCTGGGATTATAGGCGTGAGCCACCATGCCCAGCAACATGCTTTATATTTCTATCCATAAAAAATAATAAATAATGGCCAGGAGAGGTGGCTCATGGCCTGTAATCCCAGCACTTTGGGAGGCCAAGGTGGGCTGATCGCTGGAGGCCAGGAGTTCAAGACCAGCCTGGCTAACATGGCGAAACCCCATCTCTACTAAAAATATAAAAATTAGCTAGGCATGGTGGCACATGCCTGTAATACCAGCTACTCTGGAGGCTGAGGCACAAGAATTGCTTGAACCCAGGAGACAGAGGTTGTAGTTGAGCCGAGATTGCACCACTGCACTCCAGCCTGGGTGACAGAGGGAAATATTAGATTAACAGTAAAAAATTCCTTGGTTAATTTTGGTGGGTTTTTGTTTTGTTTTGTTTTGTTTTGCTTCATGGATGCCTTTTATGATTTCTTAACTTCTCTGTTGTACCAAATTTTTCATCTAAAAAACACAGATTATCTATACCATGCACCTATCCTGTAGGGTCTTGTGAAAGATGATAGTAGAACATTTTGAATGAAGAAGTCTTGAAGATGTGCTGAAATAGATAAAATCTTTTTTTTTGAGACGGAGTCTTGCTCTGTCACCCAGGCTGGAGTGCAGTGTGCAATATCGGCTCACTGCAACCTCCGCCTCCCAGGTTCAAGCGATTCTCCTGCCTCAGCATTTCGAGTAGGTGGGACTACAAAGCGCCTGCCACCACGCCCGACTAATTTTTTATATTTTTTGTAGAGACAGGGTTTCACCGTGTTAGCCAGGATGGTCTCGATCTCCTGACCTCGTGATCCGCCCACCTTGGCCTCCCAAAGTGCTGGGATTACAGATGTGAGCCACCGTGCCCGGCGATAAAATCTTTTTTAAAAATTTTTTCCTTTTAATTTTTGTGGGTCCATGGTGTTATATATTTATAGGGTACATGAGATGTTTTGATACAGGCATGCAATGTGAAATGATGAAATAGATAAAATCATTAACAGGAAGCCCAACTATAATTTTATATAGCCTTTTTATATATTTTTGTATAACACCTTAAAATCGTGTGTTAACTTGGGTGTGTCATCCTATTTAATTCCACAAGTGTTATCTAGTGTCTGTTTGATAAGTGCCAGGCATTATGGGACAAGTATAGCCCTTACCACGAGAAACTTTAGTAAAGGAGAAAAATACAAACATCAGTTACCTAGTTTGATATGATGAATGTTCTGCTCTAAGTGTATGTAAAGGGCTTTAGGAACACAGATGGGGTAGAGTTCACACTCCCAGGAGATTTGGGGTGACTGCTAAGCTAGATTGATTGGAGGAGCAGAAATAAGCCCTGCTACTTATTAAGTTGCTGAATTTACTGTAGCACTTCTACCGAAACTTGGAAAGAGGAAGCAAATGGAATAAGTGGCATTAGAATGAAAAATAATAACATAAGCTCTCCATAACCAATAACTTTTTTCAAGGAGAAGTTATTCTCATATCCAGTTAATATCACAGTCAGTGCCCCCAGAGTAATCTGTCTCCTTTGTGGTTGTTGAAGGGCTTGCTCTCAATTTTGCGCAAGTTGAAAAGTGCACCAGACCAGGAGGTGAGAATACTTCTCCTGGGCTTGGATAATGCTGGCAAGACCACTCTTCTGAAGCAGCTTGCATCTGAAGACATCAGCCACATCACACCTACACAGGTGAGCACTGCCTTGGCTCCAGATGCCGTGTGACACAGGAAGACGATAATAGCAATGTGAAAGACAAAATGGGAAATACAGTTTTGTCCACTTCCAAGTTTTGTCTCTGAGAAAAGTCTATACAATCTAAAGATAACCAGATTTCAAAAATATGTAAGAGATTCCATTCTCATGAGGTATTTAGAGTAGTCAGATTCATAGAGACAGAATGCAGAATGGTGGTTACTGGAGCTGGGGAGGGGGAATGGGGAGTTATTGTTTAACGGGTACAGTGAGTCAGTTTTGCAAGATGGAAAGAGTTCTGTGGGTAACGGCCCACAGTGTGAATGTATTTAATGCCATGGAACTGTACACTTTAAAATGGCTGAAATGGTACGTTTTATGTTATAACGTTAAAATGTGTACGCAGACACACTTCACAGTACCCACTTCATCAGGCCACCCCACTGCAGCATCTGCATCCCACTGGGCTTCAGCCTCCACACAGCACCTTTCAGCACATGCACCCCTCTTCCGTCTCTGCCCCACCTTCCCCACCCGCACATGTCCTCAGCAGCTGCATATTGTACGTGTTATGTTACAATTTAAAATATATGTATACATATATACACATGTGTGTGTTTGTGTGTATATAGACAAATCCAGCAGATCTGAGTACCTATATTCTTTTTATTTTTATTTTATTTCTTTAAATTATTTATTTTTTGAGACACAGTCTTGCTTTGTCACACAGGCTGAAGTGTGGTAGTGCAATCTTGGCTCACTGCAACCTCCGCCTCCCAGGTTCAAGCGATTCTTGGACCTCAGCCTCCCTAGTAGCTGGGATTACAGGCGCACACCGCCATGGCCCGCTAATTTTTGTATTTTTTTGTAGAGCCAGGGTTTTGCCATGTTGGCCAGGCTGGTCTCAAACTCCAGACCTCAATGATCCACCCACCCCAGCCTCCCAAAGTGCTGGGATTACAGGTGTGAGCCACCACACCCAGCCTATTCTTTTTTAAAAAATAGCTTTATCTTCTCTGATTATGAAAGTAGTGCATGTAGAAAACACAGAGAAAGTATAAAGGAGAAAACTCTGAGAAAAACCATGGTTAATATTTTACCGTGTACTTTTCAGACTTAATAAATACAAATATGTATCAATTTTTAAAAGAAAAAAAAATTACCTGCCTTTTTTTTTTTTTTTTTTTTTTTGGAGACAGAGTCTCGTTCTGTTTCCCAGGCTGGAATGCAGCAGTGCAATCTCAGCTCACTGCAACCTGCGCCTCCTGGGTTCAAGTGATTCTCCTGCCTCAGCCTCCCAAGTAGCTGGGACTACAGGTGCACGCCACCACGCCTGGCTAATTTGTTGTATTTTAGTAGAGACAGGGTTTCACCGTTGTTGCCCAGGCTGGTCTCGAACTCCTGAGCTCAGGCAGTCCACCTGCCTCGGCCTCCCAAAGTGCTAGGATTACAGGCGTGAACCACCTTGCCCGGCCAATTACCTGCCTTTTTAAATCCAGTCTCATCAACCTTCCTCTTTCCTGAAAAGGGCAAGCAAGCAAAGCATAAAGGATAAGGGAATGATAGTGCTCACAGCGTGGAGGTTTAAAGATGAGTCCTGGGCCGGGCGTGGTGGCTCATGCCCATAATCCCAGCACTTTGGGAGGCCGAGGTGGGCGGATCACAAGGTCAGGAGATCGAGACCATCCTGGCTAACATGGTGAAACCCCGTCTCTACTAAAAATACAAAAAATTGGCTGGGCGTGGCAGTGGGCACCTGTAGTCCCAGCTACTTGGGAGGCTGAGGCAGGAGAATGGCGTGAACCCAGGAGGTGGAGCTTGCAGTGAGCCGAGATCATGCCACTGCACTCCAGCCTGGGCGACAGAGCGAGACTCCATCACAAAAAAAAAAAAAAAAAAAAAAAAAAAAAAAAAAAAGACAAGTCCTGGGCACCATGGCTCATGCCTGTAATCCCAGCACTTTGGGAGGCCGAGGTGGGTGGATCATGAGGTCAGGACATGGAGACCATCCTGGACAACATGGTGAAATCCTGTCTCTACTAAAAATACAAAAATTAGCTGGATGTGGTGGTGTGCACCTGTTATCCCAGCTACTCAGGAGACTGAGGCAGGAGAATGGCTTGAACTTGGGAGGCGGAGATTACAGTGAGCTGAGATTGTGCCATTGCACTCCAGCCTGGCGACAGAGTGAGACTCCGTCTCAAAAAAAAAAAAAAAAAAAAAAGACAAGACCTGATTGGAAAAACTGTAGTGGGTTTCTTAGAACTCATTCCCTGTAGGAAATCCTAAGAATGCCTGACCTTTGGCTAAGCCAACAGGGAGAGCTTGTTGGTCTTAGTCACTTTAAAGTGTTTGAGCATTAAAGGTTAGAGGTTTTAGCAAAACCAGAGTTATTTTCCATCACTGTACCGTGATAAGACCCTGGTGTCAGGTTTGAATGGCTGTGCTGGTGTGCATGCATACTTCACGGCCCATGAGTCTTACTGATTCACAACTCTTTATGGAAAAGTCATTTCAACTGCTACCAAATGAACAATTTTTACAGCTTCTGAACAAATTTAATGTATAGCCCAAGCAAATTACAGTAATCTAGCCTAGAAGGGCTGAAAACACATATTAGTGTGTCAAGATTTCTGCCAGAAAAAGAAGCACTAGTTTTTGTGTGCATGCGCTTGTGGGGTTTTTTTGTTTTTGTTTTTGTTTTTTTAGTATTAGCAATAAACTGTGTCTCTCAAGAACACTAACGTGAAGACTTCCACACTGCAAACACAGAAATAAACTCAAAGTTAGGAACCCAAAGTTCTCATTCTAACCTTCAGGCTTTGTTTGATGTGTTATAGGTAACTCTGATATTATATTGTGTCAAGGTTTCATATTCTTTAAAAACAAACTTTTATTATGTTTTTTGTTTTATATTAGAAAAAGTAATAAATGCTCATTGTAGTAAATTTAGGAAGTATAAATAAATACAATTGAGAAACTAAAAGTCACCTATAATGCCCAGTCAGACATACCACTGTTCACATTTAGGAATGTATCAAGTTTTTTTCTATGCATATATATGATGGGTATATTTAAAATAAAAAATAAAAATGGCTCATAGAGGATATACTAGCTTGTATCATCTATATCTAGATATAGATTTTTTTTAGAGACGGGGTTTCACTCTGTCGGCCAGGCTGGAGTACAGTGGCACCATCCATAGCTCACTGCAGCCTCAAATTCCTGGGTTCAAGCAATCTTCCCACCTCAGGCTCCTGAGTAGTTAGGACTGCAGGCATGTGCCACCACACCCAGCTAATTTTTTTTTTTTTTTTTTTTTGGTAGAGATGGGGTCTCACTACATTGCCCAGGCTGGCCTTGAACTCCTGGGCTCAAGCAGTCCTCCCGCCTCAGTCTCCCAAAATTGGGATTATGGGTGTGAGCCACTGAACCTGTCTCCTCTTGTTCACTTAATAATAGATCATGAACATCTTTCTATGTTATTATATATGTAAATACTTATGTAATATACATCTCTAAATGTTTTTGCCCATTCATCATTATTATTTCCTCAGAATAAATTCCTAGATTTGTTGGGTCTCATGACTTATAGCTGTTTAAGCCCATTGATACATATGGTCAAATTCCAAGATTCACTGTTACTTGTATTCCAAGATTTACTGTTATTTATTTTCTGCTTTATTCCAGAAAGGATTCAGTATTACTGAGTTTGACATTTAATATCATTGTTGAGTGTGGAATTTTTAAATACACTAAAGTAGTTTTGCCAGTGAGTCACAATGAAACTTTTTTCAATAAGCTTAAGCCATTTCCCTTTAGAATTCTCGAACTTCTAATGTATTCAGTCATTGGCGTGTTAGAGAAGTGAGAGTCAGCAGGATCCCCAGTTATCCTCCAGAGACTGTGTATCCGCAGTGGAAATTGGGTGGCAATATTCCTGTCCTATTGCACTGTGCCTTCTCCTTCTGTGCCAGGCAGCAGTGTTGACAGGCTACCACATGAAACAAATGTTTGTGGAGGCATCCCCAAAGCTATCTAACTCCAGTTATTCTGGATGAAATGTCTCTTCTGTGGTAGCAAGCTGTTGACTGGGTTTTTCAAATCCTGGTTTCCCTATGTAATTTTTGCAAGAAGACTTTAAAAAAAATTCTTGTTCATGCAATACATTCTCTGGGAACCCCAAAGGGCTTGTTAATTTGTTTCTTTCCACACTGACCCCCACCTGGCAATTCTGCCTGTCCCTGATTTGCTCACCTTCCTCAAAGTTTCACCTCAAGTAACTGTCTTAAAAATGAAGACTTCCAGCCCGGTGCAGTGGCTCACACCTGTAATCCCAGCACTTTGGGAGGCTGAGGCGGGCGGATCACCTGAGGTCGGGAGTTCAAGACCAGCCTGACCAACATGGAGAAACCCCATCTCTACTAAAAATACAAAATTAGCCAGGCATGGTGGCGCATGCCTGTAATCCCAGCTACTCGGGAGGCTGAGGCAGGATAATCGCTTGAATCCGGGAGGTGGAGGTTGCGGTGAGCCGAGAGCACAACTCTGCAAAAAAAAAAAAAAAAAAAAGACTTCCGGCTGGGCACAGTGGCGCATGCCTGTAATCCCAGTGCTTTGGAAGGCCAAGGTGGGCGGATCATGAGGTCAGGAGTTTGAGACCAGCCTGACCAATATGGTGAAACCCTGTCTCTACTAAAAATACAAAAAATTAGCCGGGTGTGGTGGCAGGCGCCTGTAATTCCAGCTACTCGGGAGGCTGAGGCAGGAGAATCACTCGAACTTGGGAGGCGGAGGTTGCAGTGAGCCAAGACCATGCCACTGCACTCCAGTCTGGGCAACAGAGCGAGACTCTGTCTCAAAAAAAAAATGAAGACTTCCTTTTCAAGTTCAAGTTCATCATAGTTCCCTATGAAAGCACTTTTTTTTTTTTTGAGATGGAATCTCACTCTGTCGCCCAGGCCAGAGTGCAGTGGCATGATCTCAGCTCACTGCAACCTCTGCCTCCAGGGTTCAAGTGATTCTCTTGCCTCGGCATCCTGAGTAGCTGGGACTCCAGGCATGCGCCAACACGCCTGGCTAATTTTTGTATTTTTAGTAGAGACGGTGTTTCACCATATTGACCAGGCTGATCTCGAACTCCTGACCTCCTGATCCATCCGCCTCGGCCTCCCAGAGTGCTGGGATTACAGGCGTGAGCTACGCACCCAGCCTGAAAGCACAATTTTAACTGACCACTTGTTTGTTTCCATCAGTGTCTGCAACTGAGGGCTCCACCTCCCTACTGGGCTGATATATTCGAGTTACAAACCCAGCCTCCCCCATAGCATCCTCAGTTCTGCTCTTTTTCCTGATTAATCCCTGTAGGAAATTTATTTTGAGCTGCTCTTGAAGAATCTAATCCTCTAGATTTGTAGCTTTTGCCTCTTTAAATTTAGCTTGTGTTCTTTCCTGTTGAGTCTTCAGATTCAGCTTTTTTTTTGTTGTTAGTTACATGAAATGTCCTGTTAAATTTTACCATCCTGAAGATTCATGGGCATGTGATGTGTGTTGGTTAATTAGAGCTATTCTCATTTGGAGTTATCCTCAGTAATTATATATGTATATATGTTCATTGTAGAAAAACATTGTGTTAGCCTGACATTATTAACACTGACTCCACAACCTGGATGAAACAAGCATGTATAAATATGTTTCTGTATTCTCTGTCACAACAAATCATTTTCAGCATTACCAGTATCACATATGGCAGAGTACTTTAGAATTAATAAAAAACATAGCTATTAAATGTAACTTTGTCAGAATTATGATCCCAAAGTTTAATAAAACTTGATGTTTTTGTCCCTGTTTCAGGGTTTCAACATCAAAAGTGTACAATCACAAGGTTTTAAACTGAATGTATGGGACATTGGTGGACAGAGGAAAATCAGACCATACTGGAAGAATTATTTTGAAAATACCGATATTCTTGTAAGTACTCCTTCTGACGCACTAATTCATAGTATTTTCTGCCATGTGTTAGAAACATGGACACTGTAACATTCTTTCTTGTCAGTAATTCCACCACCATAACATTAATCACTGTGAATTTAGCAGGGATAGCAGAAGGCTACAGATTATAAAGGAAAAACATCTTTGTATAACTTGTATAAGATGTTTTGCTGTCGCTCAGTAACAATGTTGTACCCACACCCATCTTGGCAAAATAAAGTGTTATTAATTGCCATAGTGATTTGAATAGCAGAAGGGAAGTCAGAAGATCATGCCACTGACTGTCACCCCTAGGAAGACAACGAATCAAGTGTATTGCAAAGAGAGCAAGCAAAATAGTGAAAGTACTGGAAACCATGATGTGTAAGGAGTGGTTGAAAGACCTGAGAATGTTATTCCTGGAAAAGAGAACACTGGGAACTGTCTAGGCTGCTTCAAGAATTATCTTAAGTCAGAGGGATTGAATAGTTCTAGAGGGCTGAGCCAAGAGCAAGATGGGGAATGTTAGGTGGTAGAATGTAATTCAGATTAAGGAAGAAGTTTCCTATAATTACAATCGTCCAGTAGTAGGAGAAGCTGCCTCGTGCATTGGGAATACCCTGACTCAGGGAGCGTTCATTCAAGTGGAGGCCGAGATTTTAGCTCCCAGCTCGCTGTCACTTCCTTTAGGACCATCACAGTTTCAGAATTCTTGGAGATTTCACTGTCCACTTACATGATTTCCACAAAACCTCAGCCTCTCAGTTCCTTCACCAGCCCTCCTTCAATGGTCTTGTCATCTACTCTACCTCAGCCACATACTTGCATAATCATACCCTAAAACTAGGGGGGCTCATGAACTTAGATGGGAGAAAAATTGCATGTCGCTTTTACTAACCTCTAACCAAAAGTTTGCGTTTACATCAATTATGATGAAAGGCAATAAACTGCAATAATAGCAGCCATATCTATGTCTTTATTACGAATAGAAATCATCTAGACCAGGTGTGGTGGCTCATGCCTGTAATCTCAGCAGTTTGGGGTGGCTGAGGTGGGAGGATCGCTTGAGCCCAGGAGGCGGAGGTTGCAGTGAGCCCAGATTGAGATCAGGCCACCACACTCCAGCCTGGAAGACAGAGTGATACTCTGTCTCAAGACAAGAAAAAAAAAAAGAAATCATCTTGCATCTCAAACAGCTTCACCTTCTGCTGTTGTTTCCTAAGTGTCTCTCTCCTCTGGATCATTCCCATCAACATAAACATATCCTGTAGCTTCTCTTGCTTAATGAAGAAAAAATAAGCCCCAGAAAACTCCTCCTGACCATACATCCCCCTCCAATACTGTCCCATTCCTCAGCCTCCCTTTATAGCAAAACTCCTTGAAAGAGTTTGTTATGCTCTCTGTCTTTGCTTTATCTCCTCCTAGTTACTCTTGAGCCTTCTTTTCAGGGTCACTGATAATTCCACATTGCTAAAAGTAGGGTTCAGTTTTCAGTACTCATCTCACTTGACCTATCAGGCCATTTAACATTGGTCATGCTCTCTTTGAAACATTGTCTTTTCTTGGCTTCCAAGACACCATTCTATCTTGGTTTTCCTCCTCACTGGCTACTCCTCCTAAATCTCCATTGCTATTTTTTTTTAATCTCCCAACCTCCAAATGTTAGAGAGCCCCGGAGTCCTTGTGTTTTTCTTCTCTGAGTCACTGCTTAGGTGACCTCGTCTAATTTGAAGGATTTAATGACCACTTAGATGCTTATGAATCTCAAACTATCATCTCTAGCCTGGAATTCTCCCCTGAACTTGAGTTTCATATACAGTCATGTGCCACATAATGACACTTGGGTCAGTGACTGACCTCATAAATGATAGTGGTCCCTTAAGATTATAATAGAGCTGCCGGGCGCAGCGGCTCACGCCTGTAATCCCAGCACTTTGGGAGGCCAAGGCAGGTGGATCACGAGGTCAGGAATTCAAGACTAGCCTGGCCAAGATGGTGAAACTGCATCTCTACTAAAAATATGAAAATTAGCTGGGCATGGTGGTGGATGCCTGTAATCCCAGCTACTCAGGAGGCTGAGGAAGAGAATTGCTTGAACCCAGGAGGTGGAGATTGCGGTGAGCCAAGATTGCGCCACTGCACTCCAGCCTGGGCAACACAGCGAGACTCTCTTTCTCAAAAAAAAAAAAAAATTATAATAAAGCTGAAAAATTTATATTACCTAGTGACATAGCTGTCATAACACATTACCTTTTATATGTTTAGATCCATAAATACTTACCATTGTTTTACAGTTGCCTGCAGTATTCGATACAGTAACTTCGTGTACAGGTTTGTAGCCTGGGGCAATAGGCTATGCCATACAGCCTAGGTGTGCAGTAGACCATCTAGGTGTGTGTAAGTACACTGTATGATGTTGGCACCATGTCAGAATTGCCTAATAATGCATTTCTCAGAACATGCCCCTGTCATTAAGCAACACATGACTATATAAGCCAGCTGCCTATTTGACATCTCCACTTCAGCGGCTGGTAAGTCCCTCAGCCTCAACATGTCTAAAACCAAATTCCTGTTTTCATCCTGTTCTACTCAACCCTACTCTTCCCACAGTCTTCTCAGTAAATGGGAGTCCCATTCCTCCGGAAACAATGCAATCATCCTTGGCTCCCTCTCCTCACTCCCCTCATCTGATCTATCAGCAGATTCTTTGTACCTATTGCCATCAGACGTATTTTTATTTATTAGCTTTCTCTTGCACTGTAAGGTAAGCTCCGTGAGGACAGGAATTTTTGCATTTTAAAAAACTGTTGGCCGGGTGCGGTGGCTCACGCCTGTAATCCCAGCACTTTGGGAGGCTGAGGCGGGTGGATCACAAGGTCAGGAGTTCAAGACCAGCCTGGCCAAGATGGTGAAACCCCATCTCTACTAAAAATACAAAAAATTAGCCAGGCGTGGTGGTGGGCGCCTGTAATCCCAGCTATTTGGGAGGCTGAGGCAGAGAATTGCTTGAATCAGGGAGGTGCAGGTTGCAGTGAGCCAAGATTGCGCCACTGCTCTCCAGCTTTGGCGACAGACCAAGACTCCGTCTCAAAAAAAAAAAAAAAATGTTGGCCAGGCTCTGTGGCTAACGCTTGTAATCCCAGCACTTTGGGAGGCCGAGGTGGGTGGATCACGAGGTCAGGAGATCGAGACCATCCTGGCTAACACGGTGAAACCCCGTCTCTACTAAAAAATACAAAAAAATAGCCGGGCATGGTGGCGGGCGCCTGTAGTCCTAGCTGCTCGGGAGGCTGAGGCAGGAGAATGGCATGAACCTGGGAGGCGGAGCTTGCAGTGAGCCAAGATTGCACCACTGCACTCCAGCCTGGGTGACAGAGTGAGACTCTGTCTGAATAAAAAATAAAATAAGGCCGGGCATGGTGGTCACTCCAGCCTGGGCAACAAGAGTGAGACTCTCTCTAAGATAAGATGAGATAAGATAAGGTGAGGTAAGATAAAATTCTTTTAATTCAGAAAAAAACAAAAAAATAAAAATAATTAAAAATATTTTAAATCAGGCCTGGTGCGATGGCTCATTCCTGTAATCCCAGCACTTTGGGAGGCCGAGGCAAGTGGATCACTTAAGGTCAGGAGTTCGAGACCAGCTTGACCAACATGGAGAAACCCCGTCTCTACTAAAAATACAAAATTAGCTGGGCGTGGCGGCACATGCCCGTAAGCTACTCAGGTGGAAAATCGCTTAAACCCGGAAGGTGGAGGTTGCGGTGAGCCAAGATCATGGCATTGCATTCCAGCCAGGGCAACAAGAGTCTCAAAACAAAAAACAAGTCTCAAAAACAAAAAAAAAATTTTAAATCAACAAGGAAACACTTAGAACTAATAAGTGATCATACCAAGGCTGCAGGATATAAGGTTAATATGTACAAGTCGGTTGCTTTCCTTTATATCAGCAGTGAACAATTGAAATTTGAAATTAATAGCAAAATACCATTTAGCACCCCCAAAATGAAACACTTAGGCATAAATCTAACAAAATACATTCAGGACCTACTTGAAGAAACCTGCAAAACTCATAAAGAAGATCTAGGTAAATAAAGAGACAGTCCGTGCTCATGGATAGGAAAACTCAGTATTATTAAGATGTCAGTTATACCCAACTTGATTTATAGATTTAATAGAATCCCAATCAAAATCACAGCAAGTTACTTTGGGGATATTGACAAACTGATTCTAATGTTTATATGGAAAAGCAAAAGATTTAGATGGCTAACATAGTACTGAAAAGGAACAAGTTAGAGGACTGACACTACCTGACATCAAGATTCTCTGTAAAGCAAGTAAACAAGACAGCATAGGCCGGGCGCAGTGGCTCACGCCCGCACTCCCAACACTTTGGGAGGCTGAGGCAGGCAGATCACCTGAGGTCAGGAGTTCAAGAGCAGCCTGGCCAATGGGGTGAAACCCCATCTGTATTAAAAATACAAAAATTAGCCGGGTGTAGTGGCAGGCACCTGTAATCCCAGCTGCTCGGGAGGCTAAGACAGGAGAATCGCTTGAACCCAGGAGGCAGAGGTTGCAGTGAGCCGAGATTGCACCATTGCACTCCAGCCTGGGCAACAAGTGTGAAACTCCGTCTCAAAAAAAAAAGAAGACAGCATACATTAGAGAAAGAGTAGACAAATTGATCAACAGAACAGAATAGAGAGCCCCAAAATAGGCTTACATGAATATGGCCCACTCTCTCTGACAAAAGAACATGACAGTTCAAGGGAGGAAGGATAATCTTTTCAGCAAGTGGCGCTGGAATAATGGGACATCGACATGCAAAAAAAAAAGAATCTAGACCCATCCTTACCCCTTAACTTAAAATGTTAAAATAGATTCTTTTTTCCTTCGACCTAGAGCCCTTGACAAAATGGATCTTAAACCTAAATGTAAAACCCAAACACTATAAAACTCCTAGAAGACAACATAGGAGAACATCTAGGTGACCTTGAGTTTGGTGATGAGGTTTTAGATACACAAAAAGCATAATCCATGAAAGAAATAAATTGGACTTAAATGAATTTAAAACTTCTGGAAGCAGCCGGGCGCGGTGGCTCATGCCTGTAATCCCAGCACTTTGGGAGGCCAAGGCGGGAGGATCACGAGGTCAGGAGATCGAGACCATCCTGGCTAACACGGTGAAACCCCATCTCTACAAAAAATACAAAAAAAATTAGCCGGGCGCGGTGGCAGGCGCCTGTAGTCCCAGCTACTCAGGAGGCTGAGGCAGGAGAATGGCGTGAACGTGGGAGGCAGAGCTTGCAGTGAGCCGAGATCACACCACTGCACTCCAGCCTGGGCGACAGAGCAAGAATCCATCTCAAAAAAAATAAATAAAAATAAAACTTCTGGAAGCTGGATTTGGTGGCTCATGTCTGTAATCTCAGCCCTTTGGGAGGCCGAGGTGGGAGGATGCTTCGAGTCCAGAAGTTCAAGACCAGCTTGCACAATATACTGTGACCCTGTCTCTACAAAAAATAAAAAAAAATTAGCCAGTCATGGTGATGTGGACCTGTAGTCCCAGCTACTCGGGAGACTGAGGTGGAAGGATCACTTGAGCCCAGGAGGTTGAGTCTGCAGTGAGCTGTGATCACTACTGCACTCCAGTCTGGGTGACAGAGTGAGACTCTATCTCAAAAAAATAAATAAAATAAAACTTCTGCTCTGCAAAAGAGACTGCTAAGAGAATAAAAATACAAACCACAGACTGGGAGAAAATATTTGCAAAACACATATATGTTAAAGTAGTTATATCTAAAATATACAAATAACTCAAAACTCAAGAATAAGCAAACAACTTGGTTTTACAAATGGGCAAAAGATCTGAACAGACACCTCATCAAAGAAACAGATAAGCATATAAAAAATGTTCAGTATTATATGTCATTATGGATTTACAAATTAAAACAGCAATAATATGGTACTACATATTAATACCTACTAGACTGGCTAAAATAAAAAAAAAACTGACAATACCAAATGCTGATACGGATGTAGAGCAATGGGACTCCTCTTCATTGCTGGTGGAAATACAAAATAGTACACCCACTTTGGAAGACAGTTGGTAGTTTCTTACAAAGCTAAACATAGTCTTAGCATACAGTCCAGCAGTACTCCAAGATATATACCCAGTTAGTTGGAAATTGATATTCCACACAAAATTCTGCATAGGAATGTTTATGGCATCTTTATTCCTAATTGCCAAAACCTGGAAGCATCCAAGATGTCCTTCAATAGGTTAATAGATAAACAAACTGTGGTACACCCGTATAGTAGAATATTGTTCAATGATAAAAATACATGAGCTATCAAGTCATGAAAAGACACAGAGGGGCCGGGTGCGGTGGCTCATGCCTGTAATCCCAGCAGTTTGGGAGGCCAAGGCGGGCAGATCACGAGGTCAGGAGATCGAGACCATCCTGGCTAACACGGTGAAACCCTGTCTCTACTAAAAGCTGGGCGTGCCGGCGGGCGCCTGTAGTCCCAGCCTACTAGGGAGGCTGAGGCAGGAGAATGGCATGAACCCAGAAGATGGAGCTTGCAGTGAGCCAAGATCGCGCCACTGCACTCCAGCCTGGGTGACAGAGCGAGACTCTGTCTCAAAAAAAAGAAAAAAGACACGGAGGGCTCACACCTGTAATCCCAGCACTTTGGGAGGCTGAGGTGGGTGGATCACCTGAGGTCAGGAGTTCGAGGCCAGCCTGGCCAGCATGGCGAAACCCCATCTCTGCTAAAAATATAAAAATTAGCCAGGTGTGGTGGCACATGCCTGTAATCCCAGCTCCTCGAGAAGCTGAGGCAGGAGTATCGCTTGAACCCAGGAGGCAGAGGTTGCAGTGAGCCGAGATCACACTACTGCACTCCAGCCTGGGTGACAGAGCGAGACTCCGTCTCAACAAAAAAACAAAAGTGTATACATGTTTCAAAAGCTATAGACTCCTTTTTCCTCTTTCAATCATGAGTTAGGAAAAAGCAGGTGGCTGAGAGAAATTACATTCCTATCTGTTCATCTGCTGGATTAAGGTATCTTGAAAGAAATACCCAAGGAAGAGAAGTATATAAAGACATTAATGATTGTAAGTCTCCATAAGGAGGTCTCAGAAACTTTCTGGTCTCCAGGTAAGGGTAATTTTAAATCATAAGCTCTAACAGCTTGAGGGCAGACTGCAAGTTGGTTGTAATATAATGTAACCCTGGATTCCACATTCACATGATCTGAGAGTACCTGGGAATTAACGTACAATCCAGCAAAAATCGGTTCACAGCAACACTAGAGAAGCTTCCTCCAGCTGCATCCTTGTACTCGACACTAGTACAAGATAATAGTTTGGATTGAGAGTCAACCTTTCATTATTTTCCAGTGCTGTTTGAGATTAAACAAGTATGAGGGAGGAACTGAGTCCCTGGGATTAGATTCTAAGGCCTTGTGACTCACAGCCCTGTCTGCCAGTTTTGTAGCAGCTTAGAGTGAAGGTGGTGGATGGGTTATATTTGTCTATGTTTAATAGTCTTCCATTGTTGGTTGAAAAAGACTTATTACGCTAGACTCCACACTGCCTAGAAGAGCAGGCTTGAGGCTTGACACAAGAGTTGCCTGGTTCATTCTTTCCCATTATCTCTAGAGTACCGTAATCAAATCTTGCTTTATAGAGCAGGTCGACAAATTGATCCAGGCTGCCTCCAGTTTTTGTACAGCCTTCAAGCTAGGAGTGGTTTTTACATTTCTAAGTGGTTGGGGAGAAAAACGCCAAAAGAATAATGTTTCACAACATGTGAAAATTATATGAAATTCACATTTCAGTGTCCATGAAGTTACTTGGAACATAGCCACATACATTTGTTTACAGATTTTCTGTGGTTGCCTTCTAACAATAACAGGAGCGTTCAAGAGTTGTGAAAGAGATTGTATGGAAATCATCATTCTCAGTAAACTGTCGCAAGAACAAAAAACCAAACACCGCATATTCTCACTCATAGGTGGGAATTGAACAATGAGATCACATGGACACAGGAAGGGGAATATCACACTCTGGGGACTGTGGTGGGGTGGGGGGAGGGGGGAGGGATAGCATTGGGAGATATACCTAATGCTAGATGACGAGTTAGTGGGTGCAGCGCACCAGCATGGCACATGTATACACATGTAACTAACCTGCACAGTGTGCACATGTACCCTAAAACTTAAAGTATAATAAAAAGAAAAAGAGAGATTGTATGGGCCACAGAGGCTAAAATATTGACTGCTGACCTCTTACAGAAAAAGTTTGCCTACCCTTGCTTTGGAGTATTAAATTAAATGGTTCTCTAAACTGTGTCTGGTGGTGCATGCCTGTAATCTCAACTACTCAGGAGGCTGAGGTGGGAGGATCCCTTGAGCCCAGGAGTCTGAGACCAGCCTGGGTAACATAGCAAGACCCCATCTCAAAAAAAAAAAAAAAAAAGAGGTTTGAAAGACTAAGAGTAACTCCTAGAAGTACCAGAGTTATTCTTAGGGAAGACGACATTGAGAACATCTGACATGAGCTTTATTAATTTGAGGGTTTGTCTAAGAAATAAAACTTGAAGTGTGATGGAAGGGAGGGGATAGGGTATCTTCCATTTCTCTTTAGGCCGAGAAATAATAACAGCCTTTTGACAGATATAAATGTCTTTTCAAGATATATTCATGTTACTACTAATCATTTACTGTATTATTATTAATATCAGCTTTGTGTTTAAACTTAACATAATTTAAACAAAGTAGGCCAGCCACAGTAGCTCATGCTTGTAATCCCAGCACTTTAGGAGGCTGAGGCAGGTGGATCACTTGAGGTCAGGAGTTCGAGACCAGCCTGGCCGACATGGTGAAACGCCGTCTCTACTAAAACTACAAAAAAATTAGCTGGGCATGGTGGCGTGTGCCTGTAGTCCCAGCTGCTGGGGAGGCTGAGGCAGGAGAATGGGGTGAACCCAGAGCCGAAATCATGCCACTGCACTCCAGCCTGGGTGACAGAGCAGAGCAAGACTCTGTCTCAAAAAAAAAAAAAAAAAAAGGAAAATAGTGAAATCTATATTGTAGAGTTGTAATGAGGGTTAATAGAGTAGACCTAGTAATGTTTAGTGACAACATCAAGTGCCCATTAAATGTAGCTATTTTATCCCACTTGGTTTTCCTAAATCCTAGACTTTGGAGCATTGCTGAAGGTATTTTCTGGGCATCCCTATTTAATTAATTTGTGTATTTGTTTGTTTGGCCTTCATAAATGAGATGAGACTCACCAGTCAATTTCTGTATGTTGTGCTAATTGGAATATGCTGATTGGGGATCACCTGCTCCTTTTGCAGAAATTGCCCTGTCTTTTCCATCTCTGCTCACTGAAATAACCTTCTTCTTTTCCTTTATAGATATATGTAATCGACAGTGCAGACAGAAAAAGATTTGAAGAGACGGGTCAGGTAAATAATTCTTTTTTATATCAAAGTTCTTATATATATATATGTATGTACTTTTTTTTTTTTGAGACGGAGTTTTTGCTCTTGTTGCCCAGGCTAGAGTGCAATGGCATGATCTCGGCTCACCCCAACCTCCGCCTCCCAGGTTCAAGCAATTCTCCTGCCTCAGCCTCCCGAGTAGCTGGAATTAGCATGCACCACCACGCCTGGCTAATTTTGTATTTTTAGTAGAGAGAGGGTTTCACCACATTGGTCAGGCTGGTCTTGAACTCCCGACCTCAGGTGATCTTCCCGCCTCAGCCTCACAAGGTGCTGGGATTACAGGCGTGAGCCACCACGCCCAGCCTAGTATATTTTTTAAATACTAATTCTTCTGTTGAGATAGTTCCCAAATAACTGGGTATTCATTAATCAACCTTGTAAATGTGTGAGAGTGAGGGAGGTTTTTGTTTTGTTTTGTTTGTTAACCTTTACAGTTCAAACAAGACAGTTATTCTAGCAAGCAGGCAAAAATACCAGTTGTCTGAAATTAGTTGAGAGTTCTTTAAACAGTTTTTTTTTCCCCCCTCCAAAACGGAGTTTCACTCTTGTCACCCAGGCTGGAGTGCAATGGCACAATTTCAGCTCACTGCAACTTCAACCTCCCAGGTTCAAGTGATTCTCCTGCCTCAGCCTCCCAAGTAGCTGGGATTACAGGCGTGCGCCACCACGCCCGGCTAATTTTTTTGTATTTTTAGTAGAGACAGGGTTTCACCATGTTGACCAGGCTGGTCTTGAACTCTTGACCTCAGATGATCCACCCACCTCAGCCTCCCAAAGTGCTGGGATTACAGGCGTGAGCCTCCATGCCCAGCCTAAACAGTTTTCTAATTAAAGCTTTTTAGCTTTAATCAAATTGAATATATGAGATACAGACAAGTGGAACTTAGCACCATGCCCAAAGGCTCTTCAGGTTTTTTCCCAGGCCATGTGAAAACGAACCCAGAGGAACAAGTCACTTCTCATTTTTATTTACATTTTTCAATACCTACTTAATTGATTCAGGGGTAACTTTGACAAATCTGAAAGGACAGGAAAAAATGCACATGCCAAGGGCTGGGTGCGGTGGCTCGCGCCTGTAATCCCAGCCCTTTGGGAGGCTGAGGTGGGCAGATCACTTGCAGTCAGGAGATCAAGACCATCCTGGCTAACACAGTGAAACCCTGTCTCTACTAAAAACACAAAAAATTAGCCAGGTGTGGTGGCACGTGCCTGTACAGTCCCAGCTACTCTGGAGGCTGAGGCAGGAGAATCACTTGAACCCACTGCAGAGGTTGCACTGAGCCGAGATTGTGTCACTGCACTCCAGCCTGGGTGACAGAGTGAGACTCCCTCTCAAAAAAAAAAAAAAAAAAAAGTTTTTTAAAAAGTTATCATTGCAGAGTCCTTGGCCTGTGTCCTAAATGACCACAGGTGGCCTTCCAAAGGTAGCAGTTCTCATGTTTATGTCCCTTTTTTTGAAATTGAGTTGAGAACTCTCCAGACTTCTGGAAACAACCCACCACCCTTCCATACCCTGATGATTTCTGGATTATCACTCATGTGAAATGAGCTTGGAGGTGGAGGGGGTCCTATGTAGTCATCTGCCTCTTGATCCATACAGTTCTCTTTGAAAGCCCATGTGTTTTAAGTAGCTAAAATGTGGATTTAATGAGGAAAAGGTGGGGCCTATCATTTAAGTACATATACACCCTTTCCTATAGTTTTTGTAAACAAAATCACATATAGTTTAGACCCCAACCTATAACCTAAATATCAGGGACCTTGCCAGATGGACCAATAAAGTTATTTTAGGATGTAGGTTTGATGAAATGTGAAGCATGTGCATGCATGTTTTAGAGATAGAGATTGATGAAACAGAATTATCTCTAAAGTAATTGTCATTTTCAGTTTAAATTTCATACACACACACACATACACACACACACACGCATTGAAAGTTATTTGCAGGTAATAACCTTGGGTAAGTTTTGAATCTCAAACCACTTCTTGTCTTCTCCCTTGAATGATTTTCTCAAAAGTGTTCTATGGGCCAGGTGTGATGGCTCATCGCTATAATTCTAGCACTTTGTTAGGCTGAGGCAGGAGGATCCCTTGAGCCCAGGAGTTCAAGACCAGCGTGGGCAATATATCAAAACCCTGTCTCTACAAAAAAAAATTTTTTTTTTCCAGGCAGAATCTCACTCTGTCACCCTGGCTGGAGTGCAGTGGCATGATCTTAGCTCACTGCAACCTTTGCCTCCTGGGTTCAAGCAATTCTCCTGTCTCAGCCTCCCAAGTAGTTGGGACTACATGTGCCCACCACCATGCACAGCTAATTTTTGTATTTTTAATAGAGACAGGGTTTCACCATATTGGTCAGACTGGTCTCGAACTCCGCCCACCTCAGCCTCCCAAAATGCTGGGATTACATGGGTGAGCCACCGCGCCTGGCCAAAAAAAATTTTTTTTTAATTAGCTGGGCATGGTGGCAATCACCTGAGGTCCCAGCTAGCTGATCAGGAGGCTAAGTTAAGCATTGCTTGAGCCCAGGAGGTTGAGCCTGCAGTAAGCTGTGATCGCACCACTGCACTCCAGCCTGGATGACAGAGTGAGATATTGTCTCAAAAAAAAAAAGTGATCTGTGAATCATCTGTAGCGGAATCACTTCAGGAGTTTGCTAAAAATGTGGATTCCTATGCCGGGCGCGGTGGCTCACGCCTGTAATCCCAGCACTTTGGGAGGCCAAGGTGGGGGGTGGATCACAAGGTCAGGAGTTCAAGACTAGCCTGGCCAAGATGGTGAAACCCCGTCTCTACTAAAAATACAAAAAAAATTAGCGAGGCATGGTGGTGGGCGCCTGTAATCCCAGCCACTTGGGAGGCTGAGGCAGAGAATTGCTTGAACCCGGGAGGCGGAGGTTGCAGTGAGCCGAGATCGCGCCACTGCACTCCAGCCTGGGCAACAGAGCAAGACTCGTCTCAAAAAAAAAAAAAAAAAAAAAAAAAAAAGTAAATTCCTGAGCCCTAGCTCAGACTTTCCAAAGTCAGCATCTCTGGGTTGGGCCCAGGAATCTGCCAGGGGAATCTTATACAGGTTCAAGTTTGATAATCAGACTGAGCACGGCGGCTCACACCGTAATCCCAGCACTTTGGGAGGCCAAGGCGGGCAGATCACTTGAGGCCAGGAGTTCAAGACCAGCCTGACCAACATGGTGAAAACCCATCTCTACTAAAAATACAGAAATTAGCTGGGCATGGTAGTGTGCACCTGCAGTCCCAGCTACTCAGGAGGCTGAGGGGTGAGAATTGCTTGAACCTGGGAGGTGAAAGGTTGCAGTGAGCCGGGATTGCGCCACTGCACTCCAGCCTGGGCGACAGAGCGAGACCCTGTCTCAAAAAAAAAAAAAAAGAAAGAAAAAAAAAAGTTTGAGAATCACTACTCTTGAAAGTTGCTAGTTGATCAGCTTAACTGTTATTTTTTTTTCTGATTAGAACTGCATGGTTGTCCGGGCATGGTAGCTCACGCCTGTAATCCCAGCACTTTGGGAGGCCGAGGTGGGTGGATCACCTGAGGTGTGCAGTTCTAGACCAGCCTGCCCAACGTGGCAAAACCCTGTCTCTACTAAAAATACAAAAATTAGCTGAGTGTGGTGGTGCATGCCTGTAGTCCCAGCTACTCAGGAGGTTGAGGCAGGAGAATCACTTGAACCTGGGAAGCGAAGGTTGCAGTGAGCCGAGATCACGCCATTGCACTCCAGCCTGGGTGACAGAGTGAGACTCTGTCTCAAAAAAAAAAAAAAAAAAGTAGTGTATGGTTAAATATCATAGATGTATAGATTTTAACCTTCCCTCCCTCTCCCTTCTCAAAATCCAGGAACTAGCGGAATTACTGGAGGAAGAAAAACTAAGTTGTGTGCCAGTGCTCATCTTTGCTAATAAGCAGGATTTGCTCACAGCAGCCCCTGCCTCTGAAATTGCAGAAGGACTGAACCTGCATACCATCCGCGACCGAGTCTGGCAGATCCAGTCTTGCTCAGCTCTCACAGGAGAGGGCGTTCAGGTGAGATTACAGGAAGGCTTGGCCACCTGGCAACATGACAGCTAACCGAGGTGGTCTGTCTCATTGGTTGGGCTGATCTTGATGGGCAGATGAGCCATTCCAAGATATGAAGGGCATGGAGGAATTTGGTTCTTTTCTGCTTAGCAACCAATCAGATATCATGAGGTGCCCCAACAGTGCCCCAGGTAAGCCACCCCACATGTGCAGCAAGCTTCCCCTTTGGGAGGGATGTGAGAACAGAAGACTGAGGATTGTCTCTAACTCTAGGATTCTTTGATGATTGATTGGATTGGGGTTTTGTGTTGTGTCTAATATTACGGATGCTAAAATGCCTGTACTTCCAAGGTGATAGCCACCAATAACCATACACGTACTAGTCATCCTAGAAGTGTTTTTGTTTCTTCTGTTGGTTATCTTCCCTACCCCTAGGGTTGGTGTCTGTTTCCTGCTACTTCAGGTTGGTTTCCCACTGGGAGGCTTCTGCTGACAGAAAGCCCCATGCTTTGTACTGAGGAACTGTGTACCGGAAAAGCAGGCTCCCCCTAATTTTTTTTTTTTTTTTTTTTGAGACGGAGTTTCATTCTCATTGCCCAGGCTGGAGTGCAGTGGCACAATCTCGGCTCACTGCAACCTCCGCCTTCCAGGTTCAAGTGATTCTCCTGCCTCAGCCTTGCAAGTAGCTGGGATTACAGGCATTCACCACCACACCCAGCTAATTTTTTGTATTTTTAGTAGAAACGGGATTTCGCCATGTTGACCAGGCTGGTCTTGAACTCCTGACCCCAAGTGATCTGCCTGCGTCAGCCTCCCAAAGTGCTGGGATTACAGGCATGAGCCACCCTGCCCGGCCCTGGCTGCTTTTTAAAACATCAAGGCCAGGTGCAGTGGCTCATGCCTGTAATCCCAGCACTTTGGGAGGCCGAGGCGGGTGGATCACCTGAGGTCAGGGGTTCGAGACCAGCCTGGCCAACATGGTGAAACCCCCGTCTCTACTAAAAATACAAAAAAAATCAGCCGGACATGGTGGTGCACACCTGTAATCCCAGCTACTTGGGAGGCTGAGGCAGCAGAATTGCTTGAAGCTGGGAGGCGAAGGTTCCAGTGAGCCAAGATCGCATCACTGCACTCCAGCCTGGGCGACAGAGCAAGACTCTCTCTCAAAATAAATAAATAAATAAAAATAAACAATCAAAATTTGTCTAACATATTTTACTCCGATTGCACATAGGATGGCAGTCATAAGGCCTAAGGTTATTTTGATGAAGATGAGACCCAAGAAAAGATAGTAATTTTCTTGTGTTTCTGAAAACCACTTCAGCATGAGCCTGTCTAAAAGGTTTAGATGACAAATTTAGAAAGCTGAGAGTAGCCGGCTGTGGTGGCTCACACCTGTAATCCCAGCACTTTGGGAGGCCGAGGCAGGCAGATCACGAGGTCAGGAGATCGAGACCATCCTGGCTAACACAGTGAAGCCCCGTCTCTACTAAAAATACAAAAAAATTAGCCGGGTGTGGTGGCGGGCACCTGTAGTCCCAGCTACACGGGAGGCTGAGGCAGGAGAATGGCCTGAACCCAGGAGGCGGAGCTTGCAATGAGCTGAGATTGCACTACTGCACTCCAGCCTGGGTGAAAGAGTGAGACTCTGTCTCAGAAAAAGAAAAAAAGAGAGAGAAAGCTGAGAGCATCTTGAGGTTGGGGGCTATTATGAAGGTGGGGCTGAAGAAAAGCAATATAGTTTGTGTGCATATTCGTAAGAAAGTGCAAGTACAGCTCTGGAATCTTTCTTTTGCTTGACCAGAGTGTTGAAGAAAAAGCAAAGCGAGAATTAACAGTAAGCCTCTTGTATCTTCCACCAGCCTTAGCGATGTGAAAAAGGAGAACTAGAGTAATCTAGAATCAGTATTTAGAGCCGTGGCATTTAAAGTCAAGGACACTGCTTCAGAGAAGCCTGGAGGTAGAGAGGGATCTCCTGTCATTTTCTTCCCAACCCCCAGCCCTCCCCCAACTCCCATCAGGTGGAGATTAAAGGATAGAACTCCATGCTCCTGGCTGTGTAACCACCGTAGACAGTGCCCTTCACGGGATCTTTAGGCCACAAAAGAGGCAGCAAGCTACTAGGCAGCTAGAGGGTGGGGTTGGGGACAGGCAGGGGAGCACTGCAAAATAAACCAGTTTGAGTGAGTAAAGTGAGATTATTATATATGATTTGATTTTGATAAGAAAGTTCTTCCCAGATTGGGGCCTTCAGCAACCAAGTTCACAGGAAATGATATCAAGAGAGATCCAACAAAAAACTATGAGCAAAAAATAAAAAATGATTTTTGTATGGAGGAGAAATAGTTTGAAGGTCACTTAATTAGTTTAGTAGATAGTACCATGGTGTATAGAATTGGGTAGTTAAGACTGGGATTTCAAGGTTAATGAGATTAGATTATGGTTAATAGAATGATATAAATTTAGAGAATTTAACCATTATTTGAAATGGGTTATTTAATAAAAATGTTAATTAAGAAGGGAATCTGCTGTCTATTGTCCTTTCGTGGTAACCTTTGGGGACTAGAGAAAGGTCATGGAGTTTTGCTGTGGAAGCGCTTTTCACTGTGAGCCACTGGTTGACCGTGTACCTCCCTAAGGTGGTGCCTCTGACCCAAGCTCTTGTCCACACACCAGCTTCCTGGTTTTTGCCTTAAAAAGAGTCACTTAAGTGGAATTCCTTTCCAGCATTGCTTAGTTGAAGTACAGGCCTTTAGTAATTTTTATTTATTAGGGCTAAAAATATTCTAAAACTGAAAGACTTTACTAGAAAAATATCAATAAAGATCGAATGGTTTGAGGTTCACTTTCAAACGTGAAAACTGTGCAATAATTACTGAAATGCCCTAAATTCCTGTTTTTTTCCTCCCTACCCCACCCCACCTCCCCAAAAGCTGGCCCAAATGATTAGGCACTGAATAGGCAAGTCAGGTGACATCTGATTCTAACAACTCTGAAAGAAAATGTACAAAGGTTTAAAAATAAAAAAAGGACCTGGAATTTCTGTTGCAGTTTCAAGTGTTTAAAGACAGACACATACATCGTACATGTTTAATCAAAACATATTTAAGAGACCTGTCTTGTACTGCTTAACAATAGGTAGCCTCACGGGGGCGAGTTAAGGAAACAGCCATGGAGCTGCTAGATGGCAAGCCACGCCCCTCTGTGGATGAAGTAGGGCAGGTACATCACTTCTCATTAGTGGAGTAGCTTAAACACATGATTTGAGACTATGGAAGTTAGTGATTCCTGGGATGGATTTCAGGGTCCCGTTCCACCTGGTGTCCTGAAGGCAGCACATACGAAGCCATTACAGGGGTGGGAAGTACCACGTGTTGTTCACCAGCCTCTGCTTCAGGTGTGGAAACTGACTTTTGAGAGAGGATGGAACCGGGGTTTCTTTTCCTCATTGGTGCTGACTGGGAAGCCAGCCCATTGTATGATTAAAGCAGGTTTTCACGGGAGACCATCAGGAGCAGAGAGTAGGTAAAGGGCACGAGAAGCAGAAGGAGATCATCAATCTCAGAAACTCTGTTGTGCCAAGAGGCCCACTGTCCAGGGGAGTGATGAGGAGAGACCCAGTTATGTCAAGTGGATGAAAGCGGAAAGAGGAGAAACTGAAAAATGTCTGGGAGGGAGAACCGAAGCCAGACTCCATTATCAACATGGAGGAAGTGTCACTCTGCGCCCTCGAGGTCAGGCCCAGGTTGCCAGGGCCCCTCCTAGGATGAAACATTCTGCACTGGGACTCTCAGTCTTTTTTTTCCCTCCTTGGGTGTCTAGAAAATAGTGAACAAAGGATCTGGCTTAGAGCCAGAGAAAGGTATCGAGAAATCCATCCCTCCTCCACCCACAGACCTGAACTTGAACCCCAAACCACAGCTCTTTCTGCTGTTACAGTTCCAGGCATTTGAAGACATTTTCTCTCTAAAATACTCTGAGTGTGCATGTGTGTGTGGTATGTGTAATTAAAATGATACTGGCTTTGAATTTCCTCTCAAAGCAGAGATCCGAAGTTTTAACCTGACCTCTAGCCATGGTCACCACGGAGACTTGCCTCCTCCCATAACCTTAAGCCAGCAGATCGTGCCCTGGGTGCTGCTCTCCAGGCCACCCCCTCATGCTCACCTTTTCTTGTGATGTCTGCCCCACGTTCCTCTCCTCCTCCTGGAGACAGGAGCCATGAGCAGGTCACATAGGCTTTCAGTTGCCTTGTGTCCACAAAAGGGGCCATGAGCAGTCCGAGCGCCGAGCTGTGATCCGTGCCTGAGTCAGCCTCCAGAGGAACACTAAATGCTCACTCGCCCATTTCTTGGTTTTGCTTCTTTTTCCTTGATTTGGGGGACTTGTCCCTAATATGCCACAGAATTTTAATTTTTTTTTTTTTTTTGAGATGGAGTTTCGCTCTTCTTGCCCAGGCTGGAATGCGATGGCACAACCTTGGCTCACTGCAACCTCCACCTCCTGGGTTCAAGCGATTCTCCTGCCTCAGCCTCCCGAGTAGCTGGGATTACAGATGCCCACCACCACGCCTGGCTAATTTTTTGTATTTTTTTTAGTAGCAACGAGGTTTCACCATGTTGGCCAGGCTGGTCTCGAACTCCTGACCTCAGGTGATCCGCCTGCCTCAGCCTCCCAAAGTGCTGGGATTACAGGCGTGAGCCACCACGCCTGGCCTGATATTTTGAAAAACAAAATTTACCACTTCTTTCTAGGCCTGGCATCAGTTATTGTTGACTCCAGGTGTATATGGAACTGCTTATCTGTGAGTCAGACCTCAGGTTTATTTTTAAATTTTCAAACTTTTCTGGAGACTAAGAAAGCAGTCTCAGGACATGCGATTTCACTACCTTTCTGGTGCAATGCCCTTTGTCACCAGAAAAAAAAACTACTAATAGCGAGCCATATTTGATGGAAGCAGCATCCAGCTGCTTCTTGACCCTGGGGGCCTGATGGCACAATGAGGTAGGCTGCATTGCTCAGCAAGGGTCCGAGCACCTCATCATCTTAAAGCAATTACTGCTGTGACCACGTAACCAGCATGGCTCTAAAAACCAGGCCCACACAGCCATGGCTGCCACCGCTTCCTTCCAGCTACCGAGCAGTGATGGATGCAATGTACAGAGATCAAATTTAAGAGAGCAGCATAGTCAGAGACCACTCTTCCCTTGGAAAGAAGCAGTGCACCTTAACTTCTGGGATGCAGAGATTTGGGAGGAGTGAGTTTCCCCTGTATGCTTAGGGGTGGCCTGCTGTTTCTCCCAGTGGTTATAGGGGAGAATAATATTGTGACATAGGAAACTTTATTTCCTCTCTAGGAGGCCAAACAAAGCTCAGTATTTGAAATTCCATGTCTCTCTTTAGTCTCTGTTATTGAATTGAAGCTAATCAATTCAAATTCAGTTTCAGCAAGATTGGTCAGGGGAGGGTCCAGGGAAGGAAGGAAGGGAGGACTATTCATACCGTAAGATCGTCATCCCCATAATGAAGATCAAATGTACAGAAAATTGGTCAAACCAGTTTTTAACAATAAAGATTCGGCCAGGTGCAGTGGCTCACGCCTGTAATCCCAGCACTTTGGGAGACTGAGGTGGGTGGATCACAAGATCAGGAGATCGAGACCATCCTGGCTAACATGGTGAAACGCTGTCTCTACTAAAAATACAAAAATATTAGTCGGGCATGGTGGCGGGCGCCTGTAGTCCCAGCTACTTGGGAGGCTGAGGCAGGAGAATGGCATGAGGCGGAGCTTGCAGCGAGTCGAGATCATGCCACTGCACTCCAGCCTGGGCGACAGAGCAAGACTCCGTCTCAAAAAAAAAGCCTTCCTTGCCAGGTGAAAGCAAGAGTGGTATGGAACATTTATTTAAACATAAGAAGCAGAAGGTTCCTCCTCTTGCAAGTATGTTTTCTCTAAATGTAGCATTTCCACTGGAGGAGGTGGTCTGGGTGGATGGTTAATATGTGAGGATTGTGCAGCCAGGCAGATAACCAGGCCTCTGCATATACAGATACCCACAGCCCAGGAATCTTGAGAACTGAATGGCCCATAACAACCTCTGGCACTATCGGAGCTGCAGGGAGGCTTGGCTGGGGCTACTCCAGTCTCAGGCCCCTGTTTTTAGCGGAAGTCACAAGGAGGATAAAACCAGAATTCCTCCTTTTCCCATCTTCAGGGTGCTTCCCAGCTCCTCTTTAAGCTTGGGGCAGAACCCTTCACCCGGCAGGTACCCACATCCGTGGAGAACTGGTAAGCAGCTCTGGAGCACCACGCTGGGCACCACAGCTTGCCATTGCCCTGCTCTGTCCTGTGCCTTCATCTCCTCAGCTGTGATAGAGAAATAACACCAGCACCTACTTTGCAGGCTTCTACAAGGATTGACTTAAAAGATGTGAATTAAGTGGGCTGTGGGCTAGACATCATGTTAGGTTCTGGGAATATAATCTCCAGCAAGTCTGATGGGAGCCTCCCCTAGGGGAGCTTGGGCACCACCATTGCCTTTCCTTTCCAGGAGGCAGCTTGACAAAGCTTGCCCTGATGTGATTGACAAAGCTTGCCCCAGCTAGATCCATGGCCACGTGATTGAGGAGGTACCATTGTTGGCCAATGCCTCCCCTTCCCTCCCCTCCCACCTCCAGCCCAGTTCTCTTCTGCCCAGCACAAGAAAGATGCCACTCCCCAAGCACTAGCCGCTTCAGATTAGAGGGGCCTCCCGGGCCCAGGGCAGCCACAGGGCTCGGTCCCCTGTTTACGCTCCCTGTGCTTCCCACACTCAGGGTTGCAGCGGCAGCTGCAGGGGCCCAGGCCGGGGGTCAGCTGGCAGGGACTGGCCTCTGTGCGCCCTCTGTTGGCAGGACAGTGGCTAGAAGGGCTTCACCACTGCTGGCCCTCACAGGCACCTGGAGACACCAGACACTGTCCCTCAGCAGGGCTCTGCCGTTTGAACCCTCCTTTGCCTCCATAACAGAGACCCGGCATAAAACCACCCCACACCCTCCACCTTCTGCTTTGGGCTCCTGCAGCTGAGTAAATATTTTTCCTATCTCTTTGCCTGCATTCATGTTCAGTTATATGCAATAATCTCTCCTTAATCAGCCATAAAGCAAGGAAAAGGCAAAGCGCTATTCACATAGTGTGGGCACACTGTCCTTGATTTCTCTGAGAAGATGGTTTGAGTGCGAGCCTCCGTAGAGGAGAGAGTGTTGAGGTGCCCACCTTTGAGTGTTTGTGTGAGCCCCTGAAGGTGGAAAGTGCTATGTAAGTGCTGAGCTATTCAGCTTCCCAGGCGAGAGAAGATGCTTATCTTATTCATCCCTCTTTTATTTGTAAAATCTTTTTTGTCTCTTGACAGGTGATCTTTTTTTTTTCCTGGAAACCAATTAGCTACTAAAATTAAACATGCTTCTCTTTAAATTAATCCTTTTCATAAAATGGTCTTAAAATTGGCCTTAGCTTCTCAGAGTAAGTAGCTGACCCCATTGTAATTAGAGATGCGTTTGGAGTCCTCATTTCTCCCACCTCGGCATTCCTCTGCCCTTCCCCCTGCTGCTGCCAGGTGCTGTCCACCTTCGGGCTTTCGGCGCCACCGGCCTCATCTTGGCAAAGGTCAGATGTCGGCTCTGGGACAGCCGTCAGATTATCTAGTTCTGCTGCCCAAGTGCACTGACAGCAACTGGCAGAGTTGTAATCACTGTAAATTCAGGTGACGGTCAGATGAGCCAGGAGAGAGGATGCCTGCTGGTTGTTTTTTTGCAGTGATGTATTGTTTATGGGATTAATGTTCCGAATGGCCAAGGGTGTCAGCTGATATTTATTACTGTAAGCTGTCTCAGCTGTTCAGGTTCGGCAGCTAGATCCATGGCCACAGGAAATGTGGGACTCGGTGGCATGTCCAGTATGGCTGATGTGTGCAGATGTAGCTGGGACCTCCGTGAGCCTCTGTTACAGATGCAAGGGGAAGGACTCATGGCAGCAGCTGCCTTGGATTTTGTTCAGGGCTTCTGAGGGAACTCCACACACTCTTGAAGGTTGGGGAGACTCTAGGGAAGGGGAGAGTGTCCAGGTTTGGCTCCAAAGGGGGTTGGGAAGGAGTTCACCTCTGACAGGCCTGGCATCCGTAGGAATTATGCTGCCTGCCAGGTAGCTGTAGGCATTGTGTGATTTTTACCTTGGTCCCTCTTCAGCCTTCTAAGAGAGGGCGCTTTCAAGGTCATTGTGCCTTTAAGGGAACCTTCTCCCCAGTCCCTCTGGATGCTGGTGCTTAAAGCTATAAGAAGCGGGCCAGACCCTTTTAAACCTATCTGGAGTGCTGCAGGAAGAGAAGTAAATGCACATCGCCCTGGTGTGTGCCTCGCAACACTCACTGCAGTAGGTTTGTTTTTCCAAAAAGAAATTTAATTTAACCCAAGTGTACACTGTCACACTGTAAACACATGGGGCACCAAAAGGGTGGCTTATTGAATTTAATGCCCTGGCAAAGGTCACCTTTTAGAAAAAGCCAAAAATGGCTGGAATCTTTCCTGATAGCTCTTCAGTCAGGCTTTGGATGCAGGCAGATGTGTTTATTTTTTCAGAGGGAGTTCCTGAGGACCCATCTCAAGTTCAGGCGCTGGGCATCCCCCTCCCATCGCCCTCTTGTGCTCTCAGAGACCTCCCTCCTCCTCCTCCTGGGAGGTCACTGTCCCTGGTCACCCAGGTGGGCCCCTGAGCCAAGCAAACTCCCTAAAGCTGGCGGTCTGGGAGGGAGGGCCTGGGACCCCCACTGCCCGCCCCTCCAGGCTAGAGTGTGTGGTGCTTTTCTTATAACTAACACTGCCTTTCTCTGCCCATTTCCCTCAAAGGATGGCATGAACTGGGTCTGCAAAAATGTCAATGCAAAGAAGAAATAAAATCTAGACGAATGGAGATGCAGGAGCTGCGGGAGCCGAATTCGGTCCTGAAAAACACTAATTTGCTGCTTTCTGACCAAATGTTTTTCCATCTGTGTACAGCTCCAGCTGTTTGAAGAGAGGGAACAACACGGTTTAGAAAGAATCCCCATTCCAGCAGTAGATTTAACTGATCTCTGAGGTTCAGTATCATTTTTCAAATAAAGGAATTATATTATTTCCTCTGCATAATTGAAATAGTATTAAATGTCTCAAAGCACATGATTAGAAAATGAGATCTTTTAAATGAGCAAGAGATTGCATTGCAGTTTAGACAATTCCAGTGGGCTTTTTTTTCCTCTCAAAAAAAAAAAAAGAAAAAGAAAAAGAGGAAGAAGCAGCTTTGCTGAGTTCATTTATTTACTGACCCGTCCCTTGCATTCCCTCCATGGTTTTGAAACCACAGACAGTGTTTGCTGGTGCTGTCAGTGATTTTTACCGTCACTAGCCCAGCCAGGCTTCAGTCTGTCCGACAGGAAGCTGCTGGGTGGGGGTGGGGGGAGAAAAGGCAGATAATTAAACCATCTCATCGTCTTGCAGGTCGGAGACTACGTATGTAATCCTCACTCTTTGGACAGAAAAAAAAAAAAAAGTCTTTCTTGCAGACAAGTCACTACAGAAACATACCCCATCCCACCCACCCCTGCCTCTGCCCCAGCCAGCCACACAGAGAAGCAAATTCTTATGACTTTTGACTGTAATGACATCTGGAATGTAAGGAGAGGTGGGAGGTTTAATTCCAGAAAAATTACAAGGTCCTTAAAAAGCTCTCACATCGAGGGCTCAGGCTAGCGTAAACAGGCTTTCTCCAGCTCAGTGGAGCAGTGAGCAGCCGACTCTGAGATTAGCTGGCTTCTCCACGGCCGTCCTATAGACAGGATTTCTAAAGCTCAAAGAATTCTGTGTTTAAACGATCACAATAGGCCGCTGCTATCAGATTTTAGAAATAAATGCAGCTTTACCATGAACCTGCTCCACTGAGAAAAGCCAGGCAGATCGATTTTTAGATCAATTTTTACAGTGCTGGCAACTTGGTGGTGTGGGATGCTCCTGGATGGAGAGGGTTTGCTGCTGGGGAGGACATGGGTGTGTGTGTGACTGCAGGGGTCGTGTCCAAGGAATCAAGAGTCACCCCAGCTGCTGGGCTCCTCTGCCTCTCTGCAGCAGAATGTCCGTCCTCTGTTGATTGATTGGAGAGGAATAGCAGAACATTTCTCCTGCCCCTCGTTGCAAAACGAGCTTGTTTCCCTGAACCTCAGAAATCCTCAGCTTCAAACATGGGGAAACAGGCCAGAGCATTGCCCGGCTCCTGAATTAAACTCTGTTCTGGTGCCTGAGCTCAGGGGTTTTCAGAGAATGAATAAGAGACTGTCCAGTGACTGGTGGGTCCCTGGGGGCCAGCTGCCTTCTCATCCTGGGAGGTGGCCCTTCCCAAGCCCATCAGGGCGTGTGAGCAGACTGAAGGGGCCGCTGCAGCCCCTGGCCCTCAATACCCAGCTGCTTCTGGCTAAGAGTGCAGCAGAGACTGAGGCATAGCCAGCTTCAAAAGCGATCTGACATGAAAGTCATTAACAAAGCCAGCCGTGAAAAGGTGCCCCAGAGTTGCTGTGGACAGACCTGTAAGGACTTGCAAAACAAAAGAAAGTGAGGGGTTTTTTTAACCTCAGAGCTAGCTGCTCTCTGCAGCCTCCTCCACTGGCTTCTCTGGCTCACCCAAGCTCTCCCTTACAGAGGCAACACAGAATTATAAGGAATCAGAAATCCCCCTTCTACCAGGCTGCAAATGTGGCTCTAGCACTTGCAAATTGTTTTTTCTTCCGAATAGTTCAGCAGGGACAAGTTATCTGAGGGGCAAAATGCCTGCTTGGAGGTCTGCAATTTTGGAACACTGCAGTATGGAACTTTGGCATTGGAGGGTCTGTAAAATATTTTTGTTCTTTTACCACCAACTTAGGGGACTGTTTTAAAGAGCCATCCCAAGGCCTCTCCTAGCAGGCAGAAGCCACTCCTCTGATAACGGCCTCTGTAAATGTTCTGATTTGCTCTCAGCTGCAGAGACACAGAGACACTGCAGATGTCACACGCTTTCATCTTCCCTTTGAGCCCTTTTGAACCCTCCTGGGGCTCTGGGGTAGATGAGAGAAGCCTGAAAAAGGCAGAGTTTGAAAGCTCCCATTTAAAAACAAAATACTTTTTAAAGCCCTCTTGCCTCTTCCCTGCCCACTCCTGCCCCCTGACCAGAAGACAGAATTTGAAGCTGGAAAGGGAAGACCCCTTTTCCCCTCCTCCTGTCCCCAGTGAGTCTTAGCGAGACTTTTGCCCTGCGCACAATTGCATCTGAATGTGCGGGGGAGAGGGCTGGGGGCCGGAGGGCAGGCAAGGCCTGGGGGGTGCTCGTGATATGTGCTCAAGCCAGTTGTGGGAAAAACTCGAGTCCTCCCCTCCTCCCGACCTACCCCGTGTGGCTGCTTTTGGCTGGATTCCCTGCACCCAGTGCAACACACCCTTTCCCCTTCACTCTCCCTTGGTTACTATGGAAACAAGGGTGTCATTGATGTGGGCTGAGCTGGGGAACATGTCGGTGCACAGCTGAAAGTCAGCGATTATGCCGGCGGTTAGAAATGTGCCAGGGTTAAAGGAGTCCGCAGCTCCCACGGCTGCTGGGAGGACATGGTCCTGCCCCCTTCCTTCCTCCCTCCCTCCGTCTCCACTTCTCTCTCCTTGCTTTTGACAAATTTCTTTATTCCCCTCTGGACTAAAGTAGTGGCTATTTTTGTGCCACTCTGCGCCCCACCCTCACTGTTGGCCGCTCCTTATCCGGCCTGGCCTGGAGGGTGACACCATGTCACCCTCACCAGGACTCGTCTCTCCATTCCCGTCAGAGTTTGCTTTGATTTCCCTTTCCTTTCCTTCTCGGGGACCAGTTCTTACTTCCTTTTATTTTTAGCTCTGCACTCCATGTGGTTTCAGGGTTCAGTCTGATCCATCAAAAGGTTCTTTTTTTATAATCCCTTTTGAAAATGATAATCAAAGGAAGAGATGTGGTGTTTGGTCATGTGGAAAACTCAATGTATAATTTAGACGTCTGTCAAAAATCCGACAAATAAAATTTAGCTGGAACGAAGGCAGCCTGGAATGTGTTGTGTTCTTTGCTGAAGCTCAGAGAGGGCCTGAAATGTGTTTGTCCTTTCAGGGGTTAGCTTTCTTCAAGAGGTTTTTTCCAGAAGGATATATATATAAAATAGGATACCAACAATAGCAATAATAGCCCTTCATTAAGCCCCTCCTACGTGCCGGGCACTTCAGATACATCGTGGTGAGCATTAGTCCCCCTTTGCAGCAGAGGACATTGAGACATTTGCCCCAGTTAAGGAATTTGCCTGAAATCACAGAGCCTTTAAGTGCAGGTGGGGCCTGGAGCCTGGGTCTCAATGCTCAGCAAGCTGCCGCCTCTGGAGAACAAAAACAGTCAATGGCAAGGCCGGATCACGCCTGTAATCCCAGCACTTTCAGAGGCCAAGGCAGGTAGATCTCCTGAAGTCAGGAGTTCAAGACGAGCCTGACCAACATGGTGAAATCCCGTCTCTACTAAAAATACAAAATTAGCCGGGCGTGGTGGCACGTGCCTGTAATCCCAGCTGCTTGGGAGGCTGAGGCAGGAGAATTGCTTGAACCCAGGAGTCAGAGGTTGCAGTGAGCTGAGATCGTGCCATTGCACTCCAGCCTGGGCAACAGGAGAAAACTCCATTGCAAAAAAAAAAAAAAAAAAAAAATTTGTCAATGGCTCATCTCCCAGCAGCCTCAGCCCCCCCAGCCTCTGAGTGCTACTTCTGCCCAGCCTCCTCCCCTCAGCCTCTGACAAGCACTGCTCCCCTGGGTTCCCTGCCCCAGGTGTTGGGTGTCCTCTGCTCACACAGCACAACCATAGACTGGGTTTCATCCTTGGCCAAGTCCAGCCCAACAGACAGGAAAAAGGGAGAAGAAATAATTAGCAAAGTTAGGGCCTTCAGGGAGACTTGCAGTTACATAGTACCTAATACTGGATCTTCCATTTACAGAGGGTTCCGAGAGGGAACAGACCTGCCCAGTGTTACATGGAAGGTGCAGAGTTGGCAGCTGTCCCGGGCTCTGCCCTCTGGAGCAGAAGAGTTCGTTGTCCCTTCAGCAGGCTAGAGACACAGCAGCACAGCTGGTCCCAAAGGGCCTCACCATTTGTGTGTGTGTGTGTGTGTTTTGTGTTTTTGAGACAGGACTTCGCTCTGTCACCCAGGCTGGAGTGCAGTGGCACAGTCACAACTCACTGCAGCCTCAACCTCCTGGGCTCAGGCCATCCTCCCAACTCAGCCTCCCAAGTGGCTGGGACTAGAGGCATGTACCACCATGTCTGGCTAATTTTTTTTTTTTTTTTTTGAGACAGTCTCGCTCTGTCGCCCAGGCTGGAGTGCAGTGGCGCAATCTCAGCTCACTGCAAGCTCCGCCTCCCGGGTTCATGCCATTCTCCCACCTCAGCCTCCCTAGTAGCTGGGACTACAGGCGTCTGTCACCACGCCGGCTAACTTTTGGGGTTTTTTTGTATTTTTAGTAGAGATGGGGTTTCACCGTGTTAGCCAGGATGGTCTCAATCTCCTGACCTCGTGATCTGCCCACCTCGGCCTCCCAAAGTGCTGGGATTACAGGCGTGGGCCACTGCGCCCGGCCTTTAAAGAGCAAGCTGTGGGCAGAACTAGCTGGTAGCTGGAAGCAGGAGAAAGAAGAATTAGGGTTGCCAGATACATTACAGAACATTCAGTTAAACTTGAATTTCAGATAAACAATGAATAGTTTTTAATTCAAGTATATCCCATGCAATATTTGGGACATCAGTATAACATTAGAAAAATGCATTGTTTACCTTAAATTCAAATTTAACTGGCCATCCTAGCTTTTTGGTTTTGTTTTGATAAAGCTGGCAAAACCCTTCCCAGCACTCCCTGCCCAAAAAAGGGACAGCGCAGTGCAATTAAAAAGTGTGGCTGGGTGCGGTGGCTTATGCCCATAATCCCAGCATTTTCATGTTGACTAGGTCAGCACAGGGAGATTTAAAAGAGATCTCATGTAAACAAAGTGCCTAGATCTAGGACAATACCTAGCACATAGAAGGAACATTCCATGCCTCAGTTTCTTTTTCTTTTCTTTTTTTTTTTGGAGACGGAGTTTCGCTCTTCTGCCCAGACTGGAATTCAGTGGCACGATCTCGGCTCACTGCAACCTCCACCTTCCAGGTTCAAGCGATTCTCCTGCCTCAGCCTCCCGAATAGCTGGGATTACAGGCATGTGCCACCATCCCCAGCTAATTTTTGTATTTTTCGTAGAGATGGGGTTTCACCATATTGACTAGGCTGGTCTTGAACTCCTGACCTCAGGTGATCCACGTGCTTTGGCCTCCCAAAGTGCTGGGATTATAGGCGTGAGCCACCGTGCCTGGCCCTCAGTTTCTTATCTTCAAAATTGGGCAATAATCATGCTGCACAGTTGTCAAGAGGATGAGATGAGATGTCCGTACAGTGAGTAGTAGGTGCTAAATCAATGGTAGCAAATATAACAGCTGGCAGAAAGTCTGGAGTCCAGGCTTTCCAAGGCCCCTAAGACCTCTACCTCCCACCTTCCCTCCCATGTGGCTCTGTGACTTTCAAGGCCAGCAGCCCCCTCCCTTCGGGACTCCCAGGGCCACCCCAACCACACCTCCTGCTTAGCTTTGTAAGTGGGAAAGGCTCTTATCAGAGGCTCCTGATTGGCTCCAGGCGCAAACACAGTTTAGTGCTCAGTCAAGCTGCATCTCACGGCCTCTGTCCCTGTCTCCCCCTCATCCCCCTTAATTGCAATCTGTTCTGTAATTTCCTTTTCCAACACTGCAGAACACAGAGAAGCTGCAGCCACCAGGAGCAGGGGCAGGGAGGAGAGAAAGAGAGCCCTGGCTCCCTGCAGTCATTCTGCTGGTCCAGCACTGGTGTGTGTGTGTGTCCAGAACCAACCACACACAGGCGTGGAAGTGCAGCCAACAACCAGTCCCCCACAGTGTCAGAACCGGGGGAAAGAGTTAAGGAGGTAGCCACTTGCACCAGGTACTTCACAGTTACCTTATTTAATCCTCGCAAAGACACTGTTAACTGTAGGTATTGTCATTCACAGTATGAGGATGGGGCTCATAGAATTTGAATCACTCGCCCATGATCGCACAGGAAGAACTGGGCACAGTCAGGATTTGAACTCAGGCCTATTTCACTGCTGGGTCCCAAATTTATACCACAATACCTGTTTGCTTTTGGCTCCTAATGCTCTGCTCTCAGAAAAGGAGCTAAGGAATCCTTCTGCACGAAGGAACACGGAACAGTTTCTTCTCCAGAGCGAATAGCAGTGTCCCAGGGACAAAAAGCCTTTGCTAAAGAAATGAAATATTAATGACAGAACTGCAGAAAGCAAGCTGTGTCCAGGAGGGGGCAGGGAGAATTTGCTTGGATACCTGAAGCTGAGAGGTACAGGGTTGGGGTCAGAATCCCATTTAGCTAAGCCAACTGCTTCTCCTTTGAGTCATTAGTGGGTCTCATCCTTTGATTAGCCCTACAAGATAGCCGTTTACTGTCCCTAGTTCCCAGATGATGAAACCAAGGCTCACAAAGGTTAAGTCACTTGCCCAGAGTCACACAGCTAGGAAATGGCTTGACTGTGATTCCCGCCAGCCCACTTGCTGAAAGCCCATTTTATTCCATGATGCCACCCCAGGGAGGTAGGTGAGAGGCGGCCCTCGCTTTTTGCCACTCACCCTGTTTTCAGGATCCAGAAGACCCTGCCCTGGGGTCCCAGAGTCAGCTGCTGCTCTGGATGCCACCAGTAGAGGGGGCAGGAGGTGCCCAGCCCCACCCTTACAACCAAGGAAAGGGCCTGGGGAGGCTGTTGTAGTTGGGGCTTTGGCCTGGGATCAGCTGCCTCCACTTCCACCCAGGACTCAGAAGCCCCTGTGCCAGCCCCCTGGAGGCACAGCCCTAGGAGCCCCCCAAGACCGCTGGAGCAGGAGGAGAAAGAGCTCACCATAGGAGACACACGGGCTCCGTCCACAGGCAGGCCCTCTTGGCCACATTCCTAACACTAGAGAGGCCTGTCACCCAGGCCACCACTGACTCATGTGGGAGATTATGCCCCACACCAGAGTACAAGGCGTGGCACCAGCTGCAGGCCCCTCAGCCAGTTCCCTTGGGTAGGGCACAAGCTGTACAGCTACACTTGGCCCTGCCTGTGACACCAGCCAGACCCTTCCCTGGGCCTACATTTCAGCACTGTTCCCCAGCCCAGGCCCAGGCCCACCTAGAGCACCTGGTCCCGGGCTGGAGCCCAGCATTCTCCTTCCCTAGCCCTCCTTGCTGCCAGGACGTCAGAATCCTGCAGAATGATGCTGGTCCACCAACCTCAGCCCCCTTGGATTCCCTTTGGAGGCACAGAGCAAGCCTGGTCTAGGGTTGTCACATAGGAATGGGGCTTCCCTCGAGTCTCCAGGGGACAGTGCCAAAGCAGTTTTCCTGCTGGAATGCTACAGATGGCTTCTGGGAAGATGGGGATAAGAAGCTTTGGTTTGTAAACAACAGCCCATCCTGGACCAAGGGATCCAATCCAGCCCAACTCTTCCCTCACTCTCCCCAGCTCCTATGGGGATGCAGCCTGGATTTCATCCTTACTCATGCCCCAGGCCCCTTTCCCGCCCTGAGACCTCCAGATCTGGCATAGCAGCAGGTCGGAAGAAGAAAAAGCAGGAGGAAGGGGCATTCAGGGGCTGAGATGCTGATCCAGGCAGTGGGGGAGGCATCTGCACAGCTGCAGGCAGCCCCCCTACCCCCAGTCTGTGAATGGGTACATCACCCTCTCCCGCCCGCCTGCCACTGCTCCTGAAACAGTTGGTCCTAATGAACACTAAGCAAGCAGGGCAGCTGTGAGCATGATCCATATGCATGGGAGGTGTATATTTATCCTCACATCCCGCCCCACCCTGCAGCTGCTGCCATCCCCTATGCCAGGAGGGTGAGTGGGCACCAGGGCCCAGCCTGCTCCCGGGCTCCCAGGCCCCCACTTCTCCCAGCCCTCCCTCCCCAACCCACGCCCACAGCCTTCACTTGACCCATTTTGGAGGCAGAAGTTTGTATGTGTGTTTGAGAGAAAGAGAGTGCACACATCATTTCCCTGGTTGGTGCTTTTGATTTCCTCTGAAGCATCTTGATTGCGGATGTACAATGGCATCTTGCTGCCAGTGCTCCCTCAGCAGCTTCTGGCTCCACGCCGCCTCCTCCCTGGAGCCGGGATTTTCTGCTGACTCTGGGGCCCATGGCTAGCTGGCAGGGAAGGGGAAAGCTTGATCCAGGCTTCCATCCCTTGGCTGAGCAGCAGGACCTGGACACCCAGCCACCTGCCTTCCCACTCCTTAGACTGGGTTGAGGGTGCACCCTGAACCCCACCTGTCTCTCCCTTGGCCCTCCCACTGCCTCCCAGCTTGGGCTGGACTCCCCTGCCTGATCCTCCTTTGAGGGGTTAGCGCCATTATTAAAATGCAGTACCCTGCTAAGATGCCTTCAGAGGCCCTGCTGCTGTGGGTCCCTCCAGCCAAACCATTTATCCTGTTATTCAAGGCCCTGCTGATCTGACCCCAAACCTTTTTAATGGACTTATCAGCCATGGACTCCACACAGCCTTTGTGCCCAAGTCTCTCCTCACTACTCCCCCAAGCACAATCCCTACAATTTCATTTTCCCACCTGTGTGCACAGCGACCTCCTCCCTGGGATGTCTGCCCCCTCTTTTGAGCTTTCTGTTCCTTTAGGGCGTGCTTCAAGTCCTACCTCCCTAAGAGGACAGCCGGGTACCCTCTAACCCTCTCCCTGTGAAACCCTTCATCCAGCAAATATCTCTCGAGCAGAAGCAAAACCCCTCCCATAGCCTGTGCCCTGCCCTGTCCCCTCACTGCCTTGTCTGACCTCATCACTTGCTACTCTCTCCCACCCCCAACACTTTCCAGCTGCCCTCGCCCCCTGACTCTTCCTGAAACAACATTTTCTGCCTGAGGCCTTTGCACTGGTTCTCTCTGCCAGAAGCATTCTAGCTCCAAGTATCCCCCAGATCTTGCCCCCCCAAATTCTGAGGTTTCTGCTCAATGCCACCTCCTCAGCCAGACTGCCCAGTCCTCCCTGTAAACACTTCCACACCCCCTCCCCTTCTGGTATCCCCTGTGCCCCCACCTGCTTTGCCTTCCTGGACTGTACTTATCGCCAACTCATGGTGACTTTTTTTTTTTTTTTTTGAGATGGAGTTTCATTCTTGTTGCCCAGGCTGGAGTGCAGTGGTGCGATCTCGGCTCCCTGCAACCTCCGCCTCCCAGGTTCAAGCAATTCTCCTGCCTCAGCCTCCCAGGTAGCTGGGACTACAGGTGCCCGCCCCGCCACCACGCCCGGCTAATTTTTTTGTATTTTTATTAGAGACGGGGTTTCACCATGTTAGCCAGGATGGTCTCAATTTCCTGACCTCGTGATCCGCCTGCCTCGGCCTCCCAAAGTGCTGGGATTACAGGCATGAGCCACCGTGCCTGGCCTTTTTTTTTTTTTGAGACGGAGTCTTGCTCTGTTGCCCAGGTCAGAGTGCAGTGGCACGATCTCGGCTCACTGCAACCTTTGCCTCCTGAGTTCAAGTGATTCTCCTGCCTCAGCCTCCCAAGTAGCTGGGACTACAGGCGCATGCATCACCACGCCCGGCTAATTTTTGTGTTTTTAGTAGAGACGGAGTTTTGCCATGTTGGCCAGGCTGGTCTCGAACTCCTGACCTCGGGTGATCTGCCCACCTCGGCCTCCCAAGTGCTGGGATTACAGGTGTGAGCCACTGCGCCCAGCCTCACAGTGACTTTTTTTTTTTTTTTTGGAGACGGAGTCTCACTCTGTCGCCCAGGCTGGAGTGCAGTGGTGTGATCTCGGCTCACTGCAACCTGCGCCTCCCAGGTTCAAGCAATTCTCCTGCCTCAGCATCCCGAGTAGCTGGGATTACAGGCATGTGCCACCATGCCTAGCTAATTTTTTTGTATTTTTAGTAGAGACAGGGTTTCACCATGTTGCCCAGGCTGGTCTCGAACTCCTGAGCTCAGGCAATCTGCCTGCCTTGGCCTCTCAAAGTGCTAGGATTACAGGCATTAGCCACCAGGCCCGGCCTCTCACGGTGACTTCTTTAGGGTTGATTGTCTAGCTCTTCCCCACAGATGATCAGCTCCAAGATGGCAGAGTTTGTTTTGTTCGCTGCTATATCCCTGACATTGAAGCAATGCCTGGAACAAGAAGGAGCTCAATAATGACTTATTGGATGAATGAATGAATGAAACAAACATACAGGCATTGTGCTAGGCCCTGAAAAAAAAATCAGAGCTGACTCACATTCACGTCCTCCAGGCACTCACAGCCTAGTTGGACATTAAGCCAGGCAGCTTGCAACTTAACCTGTGAACCACAATTAGTTAAAATCCAAAGTGAGGGAGCGAAGTGCATGGGAGTATGGCTGGCCCAAAGGAACATAAACATTGTGATAGCTGCGGATGCCTGAAAGTCACCTATGCCAGCACCAGACCTGGCACTCATATGCATCGTCTCATTACCCCTTAGCCACTCTCTGCAGAGGGGGCGGGGGCCACGAGGGCTGCACAGAGGTGAGACTTTGAGGCTAGAGAGTCAGTCCAGGCAGAGGGTCAGCAAGTCCAAAGCCAGTGAGGCATGGAAGCACGCAGGTTGCAGGCAGACTGACTTCCAGCATATGGTGTGCTGGGTGGAGACTAGGGAGCTGCAGCGGGCGGGACTGGCATTTGGTGTGGCTGGTAAGTCCCTCTTAGGCCACAAGCTGCACATCTGCATCCATGCCCCCTCCCAGCTCAGTGCCCTGCAGCAGGCATGCACATGGGTAGTGTCTGATGGCAACAACCAATTCACAACCAGGCAGCCAGGACATTTATTTTTATTTATGTATTTTTTTGGGACGGAGTTTCACTCTTGTTGTGCAGGCTGGAGTGCAATGATGTGCTCTTGGCTCACTGCAACGTCCGCCTCCCGGGTTCAAGCAATTCTCCTGCCTCAGCCTCCTGAGTAACTGGGATTACAGACGCCCACCACCACGCCCGGTTAATTTTTGTGTTTTTAGTAGACATGGGATTCCACCGTGTTGGCCAGGCTGGTCTCGAACTCCCGACCTCAGGTGATCCGCCCGCCTCAGCCTCCCAAAGTGCGGGGATCACAGGTGTGAGCCACCGCGCCTGGCCCAGGACTTTTATATGTCAAATGATTCACTGCTGTTTTTTTTTCCAGGTGGACCAGAAGTTCATACCACCTTTACACCCAGTTCTTGGAACACCCCTCCCTGCATTCTACTTCTGAGATGGAATTCTGTGCCATCTCTTTTTTTTGAGACTAAAGTCTCACTCTTGTCACCCAGGCTGGAGTGCAGTAGTGAGATCTCGGCTCACTGCAACCTCCATCTCCCGGGTTCAGGCGATTCTCCTGCCTCAGCCTCCTGAGTAGCTGGGATTACAGGCGCCTGCTACCACTCCTGGCTAATTTTTGTACTTTTAGTAGAGACGGGGTTTCACCATGTTGGCCAGGCTAGTCTTGAACTCCCGACCTCAGGTGATACACCGGCCTCAGCCTCCCAAAGTGCTGGAATTACAGGCATGAGCCAGTGCACCCGGCCATTCTGTGCCTTCTCTAAGCCCCCATGCTACAAGCTGCATACCACCTCATGTATCGCCCCCTGCTTGCCTCAGTGTAAATAATAATAATAAAAAAAATCTGTATCACAGAGCAGATGGGTCCTTTCTCAAGAAAGAGCCAATTATTGAAGATCTAGTGCAAGGAGAAGTCATAAATATCCCAGTTTGCTACAGTTGAGAGGCATTAACCACACAAAAGTGAAAGAAAACTGGTCTCTCGTGAAGGAAACATTCGAAGACCCCCCTAGTGCAGAGCTCTGGGATAAGTCCAGGCCACTGCACTCCAGCCTGGATGACAGAGCAAGACTCTGTCTCAAAAAAAAAAAAAAAGAGAGAATGGATATGGTAGAGACCACAGCTCTGTCCATCAGCTTTCTATTGGTTATGTCGAAGGACTTTCACTGTGACAGTGACATCCTGAGGTTGTGGGCTGTGTAGGAATTCCAGCAGGGTTGGAACACATGCTATCCTGGAAAGGAAGACAGACTTTGGGATTCAGGTGGAAGGACACAGTGTTAGGAAAGAAAGACGGAAGCTAAAGCTGAAGGAAGAAGCTCATGTTCTTGGGGCCAGCCCCTTCCTGGTCCAGGCGGATCCCTTCTCACCATAAGCCCCTCAACCCTAGCAGCCTCTGCCCCATACTGTGAAGTATTTCCCATTTCTCCCAGCCTCCAAAGAAGATTCTGGAAGCTTAGCCCTGGAAAAGCCTGAACCCCAGGCCCTGCCCCAGCTCTTCTGCACAGAGTATAAGACAGAGGCAATCTAGGGCCGGGCGTGGTGGCTCACGCCTGTAATCCCAGCACTTTGGGAGGCCGAGGTGGGCAGATCACAAGGTCAGGAGATCGAGACCATCCTGGCTAACACAGTGAAACCCCGTCTCTACTAAAAATACAAAAAAATTAGCCGGGCAAAATTAGCCGGGCGTGGTGGCAGGCGCCTATAGTCCCAGCTACTGGGGAGCCTGAGGCAGGAGAATGGCGTGAACCTGGGAGGCGGAGCTTGCAGTGAGCCGAGATCGTCACTGCACTCCAGCCTGGGCAACAGAGCGAGACTCCGTCTCCCCAAAAAAAAAAAAAAAAAAAGACAAAGGCCGTCTAAGAGTGCTCTCAATTTCCTTCCTTGCCCTCTTAACAAAAACAAACAGGACCCAGAGGATTCTAGAACCAGCACCAGAATCCGGGTTCTGGAGACCACTGTTTCTAAAGCTCCTCCAAGGAAGAATTTTCCAAAAACACGCAGGGAGACTTATTTTATTTTATTTATTTTATTTTATTTTATTTTATTTTATATTTTATTTTATTTTATTTTATTTTAATTTTATTTTATTTTATTTATTTTATTTTATTTTATTTTATTTTATATTTTATTTTATTTTATTTTATTTATTTTGAGACGGAGTCTTGCTCTGTCACCCAGGCTGGAGTGCAGTGGCGCAATCTCGGCTCACAGCAACCTCCACCTCCCAGGTTCAAGCAATTCTCCTGCCTCAGTCTCCCAAGTAGCTGGGATTACAGGCACCCACCAACATGCCCTGCTAATTTTTGTATTCTTACTAGAGACAGGGTTTCACCATGTTGGCCTGGCTGGTCTCCAACTCCTGACCTCAGGCAATCCACCTGCCTCGGCCTCCCAAAGTGCTGGGATTACAGGCATAAGACACCATGCCAGGCATTTTATTTATTTTATTTTATTTATTTTATTTTATTTTATTTATTTTATTTTATTTTATTTTATTTTATTTTTTATTTTATTTATTTTATTTTATTTTATTTTATTTATTTTATTTTATTTATTTTATTTTATTTTATTTACTTGAGACAGGGTCTCGCTCTGTCGTCCAGGCTGGAGTTCAGTGGTGCAATCACAGCTCACTGCAGCCTTGACCTCCCAGGCTCAAGGGATCCTCCAGCACTCAAGTGATCCTCTTGCCTCAGCCTCCTGAGTAGCTGAGACCACACATGCCAGCACGTCAGGTTAAATTTTTAATTTTTTGTGGGTTTTTGTTTTGTTTTGTTTTGTTTTTGAGACAGAGTCTTGCTCTGTGGCCCAGGCTGGAGTGCAGTGACACGATCTCGGCTCACTGCAAGCTCTGCCTCCTGGGTTCACACCATTCTCCTGCCTCTGCCTCCCGAGTAGCCAGGACTACAAGTGCAGGCCACCACGCCCAGCTAATTATTTGTATTTTTAGTAGAGACGGGGTTTCACTGTGTTAGCTAGGATAGTCTCGATCTCCTGACCTCATGATCCTCCCGCCTCAGCCTCCCAAAGTGCTGGGATTACAGGCGTGAGCCACCGTGCCGGCCTTTTTTTTTTTTTTTTTTTTTTGATATGGAGTCTCGCGCTGTCACCCCAGTTGGAGTGCAATGGCGCCATCTCGGCTCACTGCAACCTCCGCCTCCCCTGTTCAAGCGATTCTCCTGCCTCAGGCTCCCCAGTAGCTGTGATTGCAGGTGCCCACCACCACACCCAGATAATTTTTTTTTTTTGAGAGGAAGTCTTGCTCTGTCCCGAGGCTGGAATGCAGTGGCACGATCTCTGCTCAGTGCAACCTCCGCCTCCCAGTTTCAAGCGATTCCCCTGCCTCAGCCTTCCAAGTAGCTGGAATTACAGGCATGTGCCTTCACGCCCAGCTAAGTTTTTGTATTTTAGTAGAGACAGGGTTTCACCATGTTGGCCAAGATGGTCTCCATCTCCTGACCTCGTAATCCGCCTGCCTCAGCCTCCCAAAGTGCTGGGATTACAGGTGTGAACAACCGTGCCCGGCCCAGATAATTTTTTTTATTTTTAGTAGAGTTGGGCTTTCACCATGTTGGCCAGGCTGGTCTCGAACTCCTGACCTCAAGTGATCTGCTTGCCTTGGCCTCCCAAAGTGTTGGGATTACAGGCATGAGCCACCGCGCCCAGCCTAATATTTTAATTTTTTATAGAGACAGGATCTCCTTATACTGCCCATGCTGGTCTCATCAAGGGATCCTCCTGCTTCAGCCTCCCAAAGTGCTGGGATCACCTTAGAAGAGGGGCTGTAGTGTGGTGATGTCTGTCTGGGGATACCCAGGAATCACGACTCCAGCTCCTTCACCTCCCACACTTTCATAGGGTCAGCCCTGCTCCCATTTCTTAGTAGGCCAGAGTGGGAGGTTGGGGAAGGACATGCCTCTGATCCTCCCTCCAGGGCCTCCTCCCCCAGAATTTACAGGCTGCAGAGGTGGGGTAGGGAATCCCCCAGGCGGCTAGATGGGTCCTGGGTCCTGAAGTTGCGAATCGAATTGGTTCTCCCCCACCCTCGGATGGGAGAAGATGAGGGTGTCTTAGGAAGGCCATGGTGACAATGACAGGATCTGAGTGGGAGAGTGTTAGCAAGGCCTGTTAAGAACCCTGAGGTGAGGTCACAGCTTGGAGAGAGGGGCCCTGGGGTGCGGACTCAGTGGGTCAGGGCATCCACCCTCGTCTCCTGCCTCCCACCCCAGGGTGCCCTTTGAAGCTGGAGGGGGCTTTGAGCTGGGGTCTCCTGGCCAGATGCGCTGGGAGAAGGGGTGGAGCCGATCATCCCCTAGGCCTCGCCCTCTCCACCCCCACCCTTCAGACTCCCTTCTTGGCCCAAAGACCGTTTCCGGCAGTTGCAGGGGGCACCCATCACCCCCCAGGCTCCTGCCTTGCAGCTGTTCCCCAGCTGCCCTGCCCCACCCCAAAGACAGCTGGGAGCGAGGCCGAGGGAGGGGGCAGGAGCGGCCCAGCTGCTTGGCTCCGGGCTGGGATGGGGAGGGCGGCAACATGAAAGAGCTGGGGCCGGCAGGCAGCAGAGGAAACCACCCCCACCCACTCCCTCGCGGTGGCCTCGCTGCGGGCTCAGCACATCTGGGCCACAGGAGCTGTCGGCCCCAGTCTGTGGGGTAGGGAGACGTGGTCAGATCCCCAACCCTTCCCGGAAAGGGGAGGCGTGATGGCCTTTGGGGGAAGGCAGGAGGGGAGGGCTGGGCACTGGGGCACCTGTGGCTGCAGCCAGCCCTCCAAGGGGCCACCAGTTCAGGGCAGAGAAGGCCCCTCCGATGACTTCTGAATAAGCCTGTTCCCTGGGGCAGCCCCAGCTCTTTCTGGGCCTCCTCTGCCCCGACCCTTTTGGGAGCTGGGTGACAGCTGCTCCTACAAAGCCAGGGACAGCTGGGTGGCTGGGGACAGCTGGGTGGGTTAGCGTCTCCCTGCTTCCCTGGCTGCCTAGGGAACCCCCCCCAAGCCAACTCTGGGCAGCTGCTGCTTCACCTATAGATGTGTGCCTGAGCGTGTCATTGTCTGGAGTGGGCTTCAAAGCTGGGACATGGAGGGGCTCAAGCCCATCCCATTCCCACCAGAATGTCCCCTCCACATCTCAGTGGATTGACGCACCTGGGGAAAGGGCCTCTCCCCTCAGCCAAAACAAAACTAGGCCAAGTGGGAAAGAAATTAGGCAGCTTTTTATCTTGGCTCCCAACTCTTGGCACGGGGGATGTCTCAGGGCTCCTGAGAACTGGAGAAAGGGACAGTGAGACAGAAGCAGATTTGAGTGGAGTGAAGTGACTGTCCACCGGCACCTGCCCCCAGGCATCCTGCACCCTGGGCTGGAGGGGCACTGTGCTCCAGTCATTTCCCCACTCCCTTTAGCCCCAAACAGGTGCACGGGGAGGGAAGGGGTAGGCCAGCTGTTGTCATACTGCTCCTGGCTCCCTGCCACACTGGGGAGGGGAACAATGAAGCAAGGGTCCACCACCCCACCCGAGTCATCCTCTACTCCCTCAGGGCAGGAAGGCGGAGGCAGTTAGCAAGACCAAGGCTATGGTTTGGTCTGGCCAGCCCCAAAGTCTTTATTTTTCTTTTTTTTCTTTGAGACAGGATCTTGCTCTGTTGCCCAGGTTGGAGTGCAGTGGCAAGATCTCAGCTCACTGCAACCTCCACCTCCCAGCCTCAATCAAGCAATCCTCCCACTTCAGCCTCCAGAGTAGCTAGGACCACAGGCCCGTGGCACCACGCCTGGCTAATTTTTCGTTTTAGTAGAGATGGGGTTTCACCATGTGGCCCAGGCTGGTTTTGAACTCCTGAACTCAAGTGATCCATCCACCTTCAAACTGCTGGGATTCCAGGCATGAGCCAACGTGCTCGGCAAGCCTTTATTTTTCTGAGGGGAGGGGTGGCTAGGGGTCAGTGAGGCTTGGACCACTGGCATGGGACTTTTTTTTTTTTTTTTTGAGATGGAGTCTGGCTCTGTCACCCAGGCTGCAGTGCAGTGGCACGATCTCGGCTCACTGCAACCTCTGCCTCCCAGGTTCAAGCGATTCTCCTGCCTCAGCCTCCTGAGTAGCTGGGACTACAGGCGCCCACCACCATGCCGGCTAATTTTTGTATTTTTAATAGAGATGAAATTTCACCACGTTGACCAGGCTGGTCTCGAACTCCCGACCTCAGGTGATCCGCCCATCTCAGCCTCCCAAAGTGCTGGGATTACAGGCATGAGCCACCGCGCCTGGCAGGAATGGGACTTTACAAGGCTGTCTGCCTTGTCCTGGGCTTCCTGGGGTGGGTGGCATTCAGGCCCGGATTCTGCCCAAACAAGAAGAAAGATAACTAGGCACCCAGCAGATTACAGAAGTGCATGGGCTGCGGACTTACAGCTCTGTGCAGAGCATCAGGCAACAACCGGAGCCTTTTTGAAGGTGAGGCCCCTCTCCAGAGAAGGGCCTTGGGGGTGTCCCAGCTTCCTCTCCCCGCAGTGGCCTCTGTGACAAGCAGCAGGGAGGACCCTGACCACCACAATGGCAGCACTTCTCTAAACCCAGGATATGGGAGAATAGAGTTAAAAATGCAAATTCCTGGGCTCTCAGAGATTCCCGATGAGTCTAAGCTAGGCCTCAGGAATCAGCACCCTTACCCTTTTTTTTTTTTTTTTTTTGAGACAGGGTCTTGCTCTGTTGTTTTGTTGCACAGGCTGGAGTGCAGTGACTTGATCTAGACCTACTGCAACCTCTGCCTCCCAGGCTCAAGCAGTTCTCCCACCTCAGTCCCAGAGTAGCTGGGACCACAGGTGTGGTGTGCCCCACCACGCCCAACTAATTCTTGTATTTTTTGTAGAAACAGGGTTCCGACATGTTGCCCAGGCTGGTCTCAAACCCCTGAGCTCAGGCAATTTGCCTTGGCCTCCCAAAATGTCAGGATTACAGGCGTGAGCCACAGCAAGGAATCGGCCCTTTTAACAAGCTCCCAAGACATGCTTGAGACTTTGAGAAGCTCTGCCGAAGTGGATGGGGGCAGGATGTCTTTTTCATCTTGCCACCCCACCTCCACCCCTCCCAAGGCCAAAGCCCCAAGTCCAAAGGAAGTATGGACCTGAGTGGTCCCCTCTCCCTATGGGGTCCAAGGCCCAGCTAGATTACATTCTGTCTCTATGCCTGCAGCCCTGCACAGTGCCTGGCACGTAGTGTGCACTCAAATATTTGTGGCCTGAAGGAGGTAAACTTTGCAAGACTCATAGAAAGGTGTTCCTCCTTCGTCCTCAGCTAAGAGCACATTGGCAGAACCTCAAAGAGATGCCGGGGCCCAGGTGGCATGGGGCTGGGCCTGGGAGGCCCTGGGCAAATATTTGTCAAATGAACCCAAGGCCAAGAGCAGACGGAGTCAGTGCCCGACGAACTGACATTCACAGGCCTGGAACCAGCTGGACCCAGGGGAGCAAAATCAAGGCAAGGAGGGCAGGGGCCCCTCCCCACACCGACGCCTGAAGATCCCAGGCCTGGGGGGGATAGGGGAACAGGCGAGGCAGGGAGTGGGACTGCGCCATCATGTTTATTAGAAGGTTGGATTTTGGTGTGTGCTCTAGACAGATACAGAATAAATACCTGCGCCTTGAGAACAGGAAGTCCACGATTCATACAAAGTGCTCACTACAGGAAGTTGCTGTGTCAAAATCCAGGCAAGGACCCAACTCCGGGCAGCCCCTCCTCCCTGCTGACCTCAACAAGGGCTGTGCTATTGTTTTTTATTTTATTATTTTATTTCTCTTTATTATTATTAATATTATTATTATTTGCTTTTGCTGTGGTCACTATCATTGGCAAAGTTCCTTTTCCCCTTTCCTGGACATAGGGGTCCTGTCTTTAAAAGATTCCACTCTGAGGCTGAAGGTGCCAAAAGCTGCTTGAGAAGTGGCCTTTGAACTCCGTCTGGGAAGATGGTGAGGAGAAGGAAGCAGGAGAAATCATTCTTGGTTTAAAAAAATTTAAAAAAACAAAAACAAAAGTCGCACAATCTAAAGGTCATTCCTTACTCGATCAGTGATCAAACTGCCCAAAAGGAAAACAAGAGGAGAAACAAGCCCGGGGCCCTGGGCGTTCCTCCCGGGTGGGGTAAGAAGGGTGGGACCCCCAAGCTTTCAGGGAAGCCGAGGTTCCTTCCAGCCACGGGGGTGTGAAGGGGAAGGAGTAGAGGAAAAAAGGAGAAACAGAGAGAGAGCTCAGCGCCTCGACACAGACACTTTCCCATCTCCAGGGCCACCTGCCGTCCTGGCCCAGGCCAGCTCCCACTGTCACCTCTGCGTCCAGGAGATTCATAATAAAAAAAAATCAAAAACAAAGCCAAAACCAAAACAAAATCCAAAAGGAAAAGACCTGGGGCAATGGAATGAGGAAGAGGGGAGGCGAGGAAGGTAGAAGGGCAGGTCTCTGGATGCATAACTCCCGAGCCCGGGGGCTGGGGAGGAAGATTCCCCAGCGCCCCGCCGCCTGCGTGGCGTTAGCTCGTCACGTAGTGTTTGGTGGACGGCTGCCCATACACCCTGTAGAAATCCTGGTGGCCGGGCTGCTGGGAGGCGTCAAGCCAGTCTCTGACCGCCAGGCTGGGAAGGGACTGGGGGACGGAGGGTGTGGGCGGGAGCGGGTGTGAGTACTCCTGCGAGGGCACTGTCCAGGGAAAGTGGCCGGAGCGGGGGTAGGGCTGGTGGCCGCCATGGTTGGCCACGGAAGAACAGTAACAGTTGTCCACAGAACAGACGAGAATCTTGCGGCCGCCATACTGGGGGAGCATGGGCTGCTGGGCGGCGGAGCCATTGGGATACTGCGATGGGGGGAACACGGGGCTTGAGTGCACTGGTTGGGCGCCGCCCGGCAGGGCCACCAAGTGCTGCGTGGAGCTGCAGGGCCCCAGGGGCTGCCCAGACTGGCCCTCACCGCTGGCTGTGCCCGCCGCCCCGTACTGGCCGCCCACAGGGCCCGACGACGTCTCTAGGAAACTGGCCTCTGGGAAGGCCGTTGAGTGCTTGCGCTTTTCCGCCCCAGAGCTGCTCACGCCGCAAGGGTACAGGGGGACACTCTGCAGGAAGGGCACCGGCGTGCTGAAGGGGCCTGTGGAGAGTTGGGGCAAAAGTCGCCAAAGCTCCCACCCCAAGCAACCCAGGCCTCCTCTCCCTGGGTTGGACCTGGGGACCATTGACACCTAGAGGCCCAAGAATGTTACATCTCAGGTGATGCTTGCTCCTCTACCATTAGGAGGTACAGAATAGTTATATCCCCACTTTAAGCTGAAGAAATGGAGGCTGGGGAGGTCATGTTGCTTACCCACTGTCCCACAGCTACAAGTGGCAAAGCCTGGATATGAGGACAGGTCTCCCAGACTGGGCCACACTGCCTCTTGGAGGGAAGGCTGTGGCGCTGAACCCCTCCCCAAAGGTCCCTGTCTCCCTTCGGCGGAACACCCCACCCTCACCTTCTAGCATTTTCCGCAGCTGCTTCTCCTTCTTGGCCACTTCGTTCAGGAAGAGCTTGGAGTTCAGGTGGCCGATCTTAGTGGGGGAAAGGCTGCTGCTCGTGCAGGTCTGGGTCCTGGGGGCAGTGGACGGGGCATCTGCTGTGAGGAGGCATCACCGGTGAGCCCGCCCTACCTCCCCGCCATGGGCCTGGCCCCCCTGCCCTCCCCAGGATGTGCCCCCGGGAGGGCTAGGGCCCTCAGCTTACCTGTCCATCAGGATTTTCACAGACTTGGTGTTCTGTTGGGGAGAGAAAAGAGTCAAGTCAGTGGAAAAGGCAGTCCAGGGAGAGCCCGGGGAGAGGGGAAGACAAAAGCTGCCCCCCCTGAGCCTCCCCCAGGCTGGGTGGATCCTCTCATTCTGGACAGAAAGTGGCAGGGGTAGGGGTGGCCATTTGCGGAAGAAGAGCTAACATTTACTGAGCTCTTGCCACGTGACCCAGGCATTGTAAGTGCTTTCTGTGCATCCATAACTTCATCCATACCCGAGGAGAAGGGCTCTGCAGGCCCACACTGTTTTAGCTCAAGTCTTTGGGGCCAGATGTGTTTTGGAATTTGGAATTTTTTGGATTTTAGACGGAGAATACAGTGCCTGTATCATATATTACATTATCATCCCCAGCAAGACACAACAATCTAATACAGCAACATTTCTGCAGCAAAATGTTTGAATTTTCATACTAAGCAAGATAAAGACCATAAATTGCCTAACATCAGTTTAGGTCAATTTTTGCTGTTAAATTAGATGCCAAAATTTGTTTAGTTTCCAGAGATGTTTATAAATGTGGAATTGTGGATAAAGAATAGTAGACCTGTATCATCAACACCACTTCGTAGGTGAGGGAACAAGGCCCGGGATGTACCTATGACTTGCCCAAGGTCACAGTGCTAGAAAGAGCAGGCAGGTGGATTTGAACCCATGCATGCTGGCTCCAAAGGTAAGGGCATGTGAGCTACAGGTGCAGGAAACTGCAGATCTCAATTTGGAAATGGCCCTCTGGGTGCCACCAGCCTGGTCCTGAGCCCAGCCCACCTTCATGAAGCTGACATCCTCCGTCTTATCAAAGAGCAGCTGCAGGGAGCCCAGCAGCTTCTTGGCCTCCTGCATGCGCTCCCCGAGGTGCAGCGCCTGCGCTGCGTTCTCGCTGCAGAACTTGGCCTGGGCCTTGTCTAGGACCTCCACTGTCTGCCGCAGGTCCTCGTCCAGCAGCTGGTGCAGCTTCTCGTACTGCAGCCGAACTTCCTCCTTCAGTTGGTTCACTTTCTCCTGCGAGTACAGAGGGCAGGAGTGGGCAGGCAGGTAAGCACTGGAAACCTTTGGTTTCCCCCCCTCTTACCCTTCTCACATCCTAGAACCCTAAGTCACCAGGCTGCCCCAGGCTCCCAAGGGCAAGGTCTGACCTGCCAGTTCCCCACTGGTAGCACAGGGCTCTGGGCCAGCATCCCCTGGCACCAGTGGGCATCCACGGGCAGTTGATTGAATGACTGATGGAGTGGTTCTGGCATAGGGCTACACAATCAATCCTTAGTAAGGAACTCACCCAAAGCCCTGCGCTCAAGCCACCCCCACCCCGCAGCATGGCCTTGGGCTTAGCTACCTCCACCAGGCGCTTGTCTGACTCGAGTTTGTACAGCTGGTCCTCAATGTCCTGCTCTCGCTCCTCCAGCCGGTCCTGCTGCTTCATGAGCATCTTCTGCAGGGACATTTGGGTGGGAGTATCAGAGGGACTGTGGCTCCAACCCTGACCCATGCTTCCCTCTACACAACACATGCATCCTATGGATCCTTTGACCCGATGGCACCAAGCCTCTGCTACCCAGCCCCTTTGGCCCCCTCCAATCCCAGGGGCCTATTCCCAGCTCTCCCCAGAATAGCTTCCCATGCATATTTATTTATCTTATTATTTTTTTAGATGGATTCTCACTCTGTTGCCCAGGCTGGAGTGCAGTGGTGCGATCTCGGCTCACTGTAACCTCCGCCTCCCCGGTTCAAGTGATTCTCCTGTCTTAGCCTCCCGAGTAGCTGGGATTACAGGCGTGCGCCACAACGCCCAGCTAATTTTTTTGTAGTTTTAGTAGAGACGGGGTTTCACCATGTTGGCCAGGCTGGTCTCAAACTACTGACCTCAAATGATCTGCCCGCCTCGGCCTCCCAAAGTGCGGGGATTATGGGCGTGAGCCACCATGCCCAGCCCCCATGCATATTTAAACCCTGAGCTTTCTGAGGGCAGGGCTACACCAACCTCTGTTCTAAACACTTTTCCTGTACAGATTTATCTAATCATCCCAGTAATGTCATGAGATAAGTACTATCATTATTCTCATTTCACAGAAGAGGAAACTGAGGCCTAGAGAGGTTAAGTAATTTGTCCACAGTCACACAGCTTGTAAATAGCAGAGCTTGGGCACAAACACAGGTGATCTGGCAGCAGGGTCCGTTCTTACCCAGGCTGTGCTGCCTCTCCCTGGGGAGCATCCTCTAAGAGATGAGTACCCTAAGATGCAGGGGGTCAAATTCCCTTCCATAGCCACGTGAACCTCTGTCCCAGTCCAAAGATCTCACTTTACCCTCGCCTTACATTAGGGGGCATCAGGCCAGTCACCCCCTCCCTTGTTCTTAAGACTGAGAGCTAGGACTCTGGAGTCCTGGCTAGCTCCCTCAGCCCCCTCAGTGGGACCCAGGCAGAAAGGAGATTTGAGGTCTCCTAAGACCTGAGGCCAGGCTGCTGGAAGGTGCTGGACCAAAGTGCTCTTCTCAGCTCATAATCTCCTGTCCCCACAACCCCTTTCCTGCCAGTCACTCCATCTCTCCTGCCCTCCTCTCACCAGATATGCCTCTTTAGACAGGCTCTCTCCCCTGCTCAAAAACTCTCCGTGACTCCGTCCTATCAACTACTTTAGCATGGCAATGAAGGCTCTTTTACACCCTGACTCTTCCAGCCAGCTGGGCTGGTATCCTGTCCCCAGCCCTCCACACATGGAAACTCCCTGTAGCTCTAGGTACATTCTTCTGCAGCCCACAGTGCCTCCTCCCTCCCCTGTCTATTCTTCAAGGCCCAACTGAAGTCCCCACTCCTCTAGGAAACTTTCCATGACCCCTGCTCTGAGCCTGTGCAGGTCCCTCCCTGTCCTGGCTACGGGGTGGGGCTGTCCCATTCTGCCCTCCCTCTCAGGTTGTGCTGTCCAATATGGTAGCCACTAGTCATATGTGGCTATTTAAATCCAAGTTAACAAAAAATAAAAAATAAGGTCAGGTGCTGTGGCTCATGCCTGTAATCCCAGCACTTTGGGAGGCCGAGGCAGGCGGATCACCTGAGGTCGGGAGTTCGAGACCAGCCTAACATGGAGAAACCCCATCTCTCCTAAAAATACAAAATTAGCTGGGCAAGGTGGTGCATGCCTGTAATCGCAACTACTCAGGAGGCTGAGGCAGGAGAATCACTTGAACCCGGGAGACGAAGGCTGTAGCGAGCCAAGATCGCGCCATTGCACTCCAGCCTGGGCAACAAGAGCGAAAGTCTGTCTCAAAAAAAAAAAAAAAAGTTAAGTATCGGTTCCTCATGCACCAACCTCATTTCAAGTGCCCAGTACCTACGTATCACTAGTCTCAGATACTAAAGTTATAAAATGTTACCATCATGCAGAAGTTCTATTAGACAGCACTATTCTGGAGTCTTCTAATTGCCTCACAAACCATGGTCTCATCTCCCTACAAGACACAGGGCCTCTTAAGAATGGGGATTTGCTGCTGTCTTTCTCCACCTTCCTTCAGAGGCAGGCCACACAAAGGCCTGGGCGGCCTGAGATGCATAACAAATTCACTCAATAAGCCCATGGGTTCCATACACAAACTAAAATTTGCAAAGCAGCTCTGTGTAACCACAGACATTCACAGTAACTGTCATGCTGCAAGGAGTGGTTCTCTTTCTTCCTCTGTGGGGGCCTCAAAGTAACCCTCCAGTTCAACCCCATGACTCCCATCCCAGCCACTCCCAGCTGGCTCCCCGAAGACAAGCTGCCATCAATCCCTTCCTCACCCCGCCAGCCCATTTTACGTAGGGGCAAACCAAGGCCCACCACAGACTTCAGCCTGACCCTATTTTGTGTTGGAGGCTACTGTGGAAAAAACCAGAACCCTGGGAGCAGGAGGAAGTGTGGGGGTGAGGCTTTCACCTTATAAGCTGGGTGCAGGGGGCCCACACACAACTTAACCTTTCAGTGACCCAGGACAGGACCTCTAAAAGAATCAGGCCTGGGAGACCTTGCCCTGCCCCCAGAAGCACCAAGAGGCACAGGAATCTGCTGCCAGCCCAAGGGTCAGAGCCCGACAGCACACACAGCATGAGTGGGCAGGCGCAGGGGCACCTGGCACAAAGCTGCGCACGCACATGGGAATACCTTGCCACCTGAGCCCCGAGCCCGCCTCAGGTATGCTGGCGGGCACAGCCAGAGGTGCAAAGGCACTTGACCCAACCCCCTCACAGGGAAGGCTGGACCTCCTGGAGGCCCCAGACAATGGCAAGAGGCCTGGCACGATGGCGAGGTGGCCAGGACACTCTGGGAACATCAGGCCCACTGACCTCCCCTGGAACAATTGGCCCTCAAATTCTTGCCTGCTGGTTGCCCCAAGCCCACCCTCAGGAGGACAGGGCCCCCCAGGTGCTCTTCAGAGTCCAGGCTGATCCCTCCATCCAGTGCCCAGGACATCTGAAAGGCCCTGCTGGCCCCACACATCTCACACCACAGGCTTACTGCATGGCTGCTTCTCCACGACCAAACCCACCAGGAGCTGGTTCAGGGAGGATTCAGGTGAGTCCCAGGGGAGGGGTAGGAAAGAGGCAGCTCCAAGGTCCCAGCGCAGCTTCCTTGGGGACAGGAACTGAGCTGTCCACACCCACCCCGCAGGCTGGTGGGTGCCCCTTTGCCCCATCCCTTGCTGATGCCCAGGGAGTGACCCCTCAGGGCACAGCAGAGGGAGGGCCTTCCTGTCCAGTCCTGGGGGGGTGGGGCTCAGCCCCTTCCCTCTTCTTCCGGGCTTTCCTCAGCCTCCCCTGACAGCACTTCTACCCTGGGAGCCGGCAGGGTCTTCCCAAGCTTCTGTCTGTCCCAGGCAATCTGGGTGGGACACCAGCCCAGGCCACACAGTCCCTAGCAGGTGGGAGGGTTTCATTTCCCCCTCCTGCTGCTGAGGCCACTGGGCTCCTGTCTCTGCTGCAGGGGTTGGAGTGAGAGCAGGAAGAGGAAGGAGGCTGGCCAGGGGGTGCCAGCCAGGGAGGAGTCCGGGGGGCTGCACTGGTCTGGCCTGCTCTCCCTCAGGGCCAACTCCTGCTACAGACAGCGCCTGGGAGAACAGTGGGAGCTGCTGCCGCTTCAAGCCTGGGAAACTGGAAGGAAGATGGGAAATACCTGCCTGCCGTCCCCTTCACGACCCCACCCCAGTTCACCGAATGAGCAAATCAGGTTGCCAAGACACTGGAAAATGCTGGAAAACAGGGAGCAGAGGAAGCAAGGCCCAGACCCCCCACCACCAGCAGCCTCCTTTCCATCCCAACCCCCACCTGCCTCCCCAGGGAATGGCTAAGAGCCAAGGCCCCACTTCCCACCTGGGAAAAACCCATAGCTGAGATCCGACCAGATTTCCCAGCTCAGTTCAGAGCAAGTACTCTCTGCGCAGGCAGGTGGGCTGGAGGCACCTTACACATGCCACCGCCCCATCCCCCCACAGCAGTGCATGGCCTGGACTGCGTACACTGGAGCATGCAGGAGCAGAGCAGAGTGGAACGTGGCCTGGGCTAGAAGCTCTGGAGGCCCCAGGCCACCAGGGAGACTGGGACTAGGTGGGGCCCAGGGAGGACCTTCACACCCCCAGCCCTGCCTGTCGGGCCTCAGGCCTTTGGTGATCTGCCCGGGGCCTATGAGGACAAAAGCATGAAGAATCAGGAGCCGCCATTCCCACCCTCCACCACCTGGGCCCCCACTCCTCAGCTTTGCCGCTGCTTCCTCTGACTCCCCTCCCGGCCTGGAGCAGCGAACCCTGAGCCCCTACATTCCTGCCCCAGGAAAGCCTCATGTCCCTCTGGAGACTGACTGGCCAGGCCAGCTGCCATTTTTGATGCCAGACTAGACTGGGCAGACGGGTGAGGCTTGGGGACTCTGGGCTGTATAAAAGTTAATAAATAATAATAATAAAACCCTCAAGTCAACCTTGAAGAGAAACAAGGTCAGGAGGAAACAGGGCCCCAGGGACTGGGACAGAGGCAGTCCCTAGGTTTTCAGACAAGACCATGGCTAGCTCCAGAAGCCCCTGTGGTGGTGGGAGGGGCAAGAAGAGGGGGCTGGGCAGCCTCTTCCTGCTTAGGTCCCTGCCCGGCCAGCTCCAGTTCTGGCTCCAGCCCCCTTCTCAGAGCCACCCCATCCTAACCCTCCCCTACTCCTCCCCCTGGTCCCTGTCCCCATCTCTCCCTGGGTCTCTGCGCTCATAGCACTCTCCCCTTTCCTCAGAAAAGCTTCTGCCTGCCCTAAACCCCCTTTCCATGCCTCAAGCCACTGCCTTGGGCTATCATGTGAACTGAACCCCAGGCTGGGGAAACCACAAGCTGCAGAGGGAAGGGGCTCCAGGGCAGGCGCCAGGGCAAGGAGAGAGGCAGCACCTCAGATGCGAGCCCGGCAGACCCCAGAGAGGGCTTCCCAGCTGCAGAGTGGAATTAGCTTTTGCCATGCAGAGAGCAGCGCTCTGGGGCAGCAGAACAAAGAGGCGAGAGAGAAAGCCCCCCTTTGTCTGGCTTTGAATGCCAGGCCAGCCGGGAAAGGAAGGCTTTCCCAGAGCCAGGGAGGAGGCCAGCCAGGCCAGCCTGCTCGGCCCGGGGCAGGGGCCCAAGCCGGGCTTGCTCCGCCTCGCCAGACTGCACCCAACACAACAGCGCAGGACCCTTTCAGCTCCTGCCTCCAATACCCGCCACAGGCTCACCCCAAGGGGAAGCCCATCTTTCCCTCCTTTCCCCAACAACCCCACCACAGGGGGAAGTCCCAGGACCCCTGACAAACTCACAGCCACCAAGCAAGGATCACCTGAGCGGGCACTCACACAGCAGCACAGTAGTGCTGCCAACTGTCAGGAAGGCACACTCAACTTCAACTCGCAGGCGCTCAGCAAGCCCGGCAGGCAGACACGGCTGCGCAACTAGGGACTGAAGTCAGGCAGGCTGCGCCTTCTCAGAGACACCCATGTGAGATGCAAAAAGATCAGTCACATCCAAGATACACGACCCAGACGTGCTGGCTACACATGCACGCACACACACACACACACACACCTGCAGACAGACACAGATGTGCAGCCACCCAGGGCCGCAGAAGGCAGAGTAATAATAGTGTGTGCATGACAGGTGCCTGGCCATGTCAGCAGGATCCTGGGGTAGGGGTGGGCAGCTGGGCCTCTGCCTGAGGCTCCCTTTCACGGGCAACGGAGAAAGCCAAGCCAGGGCCTCCTTCCACGAAGACTCGGGGGTGGCCAAAGAAGGGGCCACATGACCGTCACACCACAAACACACGTGCGTGCACACAAACACACACACCCCTGCAGGAGTATGGTCTGCTGTAGGGAGAGGGAGCAGTGAGGTTTGCACTGCTGGAGTCAGGCTGCAGCCCCAGCCTCAGCACCAGCCCCAGTAGAGCCAGCCCTCACTCTCACTGCGTACTCAGAGACAGATAAATGGAGAGGAAACCCAGGATTCCCTCCAGGGTCTCAGGGTGACCCCTCCAGCCACCGGCAATGTGCACAGGATACCCTCACTCCAAGCAGGGGCAAACCCCACACTGGCCCAAGCAGTGGGATCTCCTCCCCCAGAGAACCTCTTCTTGACTCTGAACCTCTGAAAATGCAAGGAACAGGGCCCTAGCAACATGTCTGGCCTTGCTCTGGGACACCAGGGACGATGCAGAAACACAACCGTAACTGCACAAGACTCAAGCAGATACACCTGCATAGACACATACGCACCACATACCTGCAGGCCCCTCACACATGCAACCGGGCCTGCTCTTGGGTCTTCTTTCCATGTCATGGGGGGTCATGAGATAAGGATGCCCCCCAGCTCCCACCAGTCCTTCAATGCTTAGATGAACCCCTGAACCTGGGGGCTAGGAGGGGTCTGACCACTCAGGACTGCCAGGCCTGAGCCCACCTGGATGTCCAAATCTTGGGCCCTTAGCTTCCCCACAGCCTCATGGGAGAGCACATTTAGGATCTAGGCACATCCTAGACAATGGTCTCGGGATCATCCAGTGAGTATCCAGGCCTCGGCAATGTGGCCGACACACTGGCTTCCCAAGGGAAGATTAGGGCAACAACCTGCTTGGGCCTGATTCTGAGAGTCCCCCTTGTAGTTCCCCAGGATGGATGGAGGACCTGTTTGCTCTCCTGCTGGGTCCCTGCTCTAGGCTATGGCCCATGTGCACCTGTGGATGCTGTAAGTATATGAGGGTGAGGCCACCAGGGAGGGGTTAATCAGAGTTTCCTATTTCTAGCCAGTTGACAGGCATGTCAGCAATCCCCCTGGGAGGGCAGAAGAGGACGCACAAGAAGCAGAGCCTAGATTTTAAGGCAGGTGCCAGGTCTCTGTGCTTCTGCCCCTGTATCCTGGGGAATTCTGTGGCCCTCGCCCACAACACCAGCAAAGGCCCTTTAAGGCAGACTCCCTCCGGGAAGAGAAAAGGGGCCAAGGAAGAGCGCTCCACCCACTCCCCCTGTTTGGCCTACAGAGAGTGCAGAGGGTTCTTCCATTTAGGTTCCTATGGTTCACCCCCTCCTCTCCCTCCTGGGAGGGCAGGCAGGGCCCCTATTCCTCCACATTCAATAAGTCAAACTCATACTTGAGTGACACTGGGCTACTGAAGGGTTTCCAACCCCAGTGGCCTGGGGCACCAGAAAGAATCAGGGGCCTGGGGAGGGGGAACCTGGAGAAGGATGAGGCTCAGGCTGCCACTGCAGGGCACAGCTGCTGAACGCACAGAATTGCACATCTGGCCCTGATGCAACCCACTACTTCTGAGCCTGCCCACACCAGGCACAAGAAAGCACGCGCATGCACGCGCACGCACACACACGCACACACGCACACACACACCCTGCGGAGTTGCCGACAAAGTTCAGTGCCTGCTTCCATCCAATCCACGAGTCTGGAAATGAGGGGCCTGCTGGGGGGCACCCCAGGGAATACTCTGCATGCACATGCCACCCACCCACCCCTGCCTGTGCCCTGAACTGTAGAGACAGGAGACAGGTGCATTGGAGGGCGAAGCACACAGTCTCAAAGACATTCAAAAACACAGACACCTAAAGCTATCCTCCTACACCAAGTCAGGTATAATGACGTTTTCTCCCCCACCCCAATTAAAGACATCCCTAGAACTCAGACCAGCTACAGCAGCACTGTGGGTGCGGGCAGGCATCCGCCCATCGCCCAGGTTGCTGCCCCTCCCCTGTTCCTTTCAGCCACATCTCCTTTCCCCTCCTCTCATTTTCCACTGCCAATCCCAGGACAGAACTGGACAGCCCTCCTTTCTCCTGCCTCTGCACTTTTCCCGGCCTCCTCCCCCAGCCCTTCCATCTTTATTAATAGCAGCAGCTTCCCAATACTGGGGAAAGTGTGGGCTGTGCCTGCCCTGAACGGGGATGGAGGACACAGGGGGTGGAGGACACACTTCCTTTAAGAAACCAGAGGCCTATCCTGGCACACAAACCCAGGGCTAGTCCATCCGATTGGAAACTAATTATACAGCAAATCGTATTTGCTGCCCCCGCCCCAGCCTGTGGTGGCCCTCCTGCCTTTTGTTGGTTGTATGTGTATGTTTTTTAATTGCTAAACAGTGACTCATTCTGACTGGTCCCCCCACACAGGAAACAGCCCCATCTCCAATCATGCCCTGAACAGAGCTTCCTCATAGCCAGCCTCCGCACTGGCCTCCACTAACCTCCAGGGATCCCCACCCAGAGACACTCCCAGTCCCACCAGAGTGCAGCCTAGCCCCCAGATATCACACCCAGGCCCCAGGCCCCAAGGTGGGGCTTCAGAGAGGACTCCTCGGTGTCAGGCCAACCCCTTCATTTTGGTATGACTCAACCCTGAAAGCCAGAGGACTGGGGAGGGACCTAGGAGGAGCCCCCTCCACTGAAGGGGACGGAAGTATTGCCTCAGTCCAGCTCCAAAACCAGGCCCAGAGGCCTGAGGGGGGAGGCGGTTTGACATTGGCCGCGGCCGCAGGGTGTATACAATGGGAGGGGACGCGGTTCCGTAATCACCCAGCCGGCAGCCCAGGGGAGCCAGCTGCCTGAAACCAGATTTCAAGGCGGCTCAACCTTAAACCCACAGGATTCTTTTTCCGTCTTCCACTTCCCCTCCCCAAATGTGGGAGGGCGGCGAGAGGGCTGTGCTAGGCGAAAGGGCCAGGATGATGAAGACAGATACTTGAAGGCTTGTTCATGCGGCCCGTGCGACACACAGGCACACAGGGCAGCGATTCTCACACAGGGAGAGCCGGCTCTCGGGAGGAATCCAAATAGCGGAGCCGCTGTCGGGGCCTCGCTGGCTGCCCAGGCCCTGTCCAGAGAGACGGCCGGAGTTCTGCTCTCCCTCTGGAAACTCCCCCCACTCCCCCCCCAGTGTGTTTCCAATAGCGCTGAAAACTAACATGGCTGCTTTTGTTTACTTCCTCATTGGTATGCCAGCATCATGGATCATGTCAGCCACAGCAGCGGCACCGGGACACTCATTACATAAACAGCAGCTGGAGAGGCAGGACCGGGGTCACTGCCTCGGTGACTTCCCGTAGGGCCTACAGCAACAAGACTGGGGGAGGGAGCTGCGCACCACAGAAAAGCAACACCCAGACTCTACCCCTGACGGTCCCACACCCCAATCCCATAAAGCACTCAGAAGACGGACCCTGTGCGCACAGGTGCGAGAATGTACCAAGTAGCGACCCGGGGCCCTTCTTCCCAGGACCCTGTCCCCAAACTTTCAGAGAAGAGTTTGGCCAGGGGCCACTGGCCTGATGTCACAAGAGTCAGCCTGTCGGGATGGGTGGTCCCGGGGCGGGAGAGAGGAAGGGACTGTGTGTCTGTGTGTGTGTGTGTGCGCGCGCGCGCGTAGGGTACTTGCCCGGATTTCATTCCTTCGGATCTCCACGTCGCACACCGAGTGTCCCTGATGCGCGCCGCTGTAGTAGCAGCAGTACTGGCACACGGCCACCTGCTCGGCCTCGCAGTGGTAGAGGCGGTAGGCGTTGTGCTGCGGGCAGCTCCAGGCCCGCACGTCGTCCGCCTCCACCAGGAGGTGCCCGCGGGCGGTGGAGGGCTGCTGCAGGTGCGTCTGCACGTGGGACTGGCAGCAGGGCGCCTCGCAGCGCAGGCAGACCTTCTGCGCGGGCAGCGGGGGGCCGCGGCGGCAGAACACGCAGTGCAGCGCCGCCGGCGGCTTCTCCACGTGCAGGGCATTGAACTTCTCCACGATGTTGGTGAGCTTCAGGTTCTTCTCCAGGCCCGGCTTCTGGTTGTAGGCCTGGTTGCACTCTGGGCAGCGTACGAGGCCGCTGTCCTTGGCCCACGCCTCGCCGATGCAGCCCCGGCAGAAGTTGTGTTTGCACGGCAGCTGCACTGGCTCCACGAAAACGTGCAGGCAGATAGGGCAGATGAGCTCCTCCTCGAAGCAGTTCTTCCAATTCTCCGCCATGGCGGCCGCGGGCAGGGGGCCGGGGCAGGCCTCCCCGACTCCCCAGCCCCGGGGGTCCGTCCGGAGCCGCTGTAGGCCCACCGAGCCCCGAGCTCCGGCCCCAGCCGGCCCCGACGGTCGCTCAGTCAGCAGCGCCTTCCGCGTGCCCGCCCCCCGGAGGAGGGAGCCGCGGTCCTCACGCCGCGCGCGCAGCGGGCTGCGTCTCCTCCTCCTCCCGAGCGCCTAGCGGGAGGCGGCGGACTGCGCCAGGGCCGCGGCCGGGACTCCAGCCTTGGAGGGGAGCGCCGGGGTCCAAATTCCATATAAGAGGCCGCCTCCCCGTCGGCGCGGCTAGGGCAGTGGCGGCCCGCGGCCTGCGCTCGTCCCCGCGGCTGACATTGGGGCGCGCCCCGCGGCAGACGGAGCTTGGGAGCAGCACACTTCTTCCGGCGGCGGCGGCAGCGGCGGCTCCTGCCTGGCTCGTCGGCGCCGCACCTCCCTCGCAGGGGCCGGAGCCCGGGGTCTGCGGGGCCAGGAGGCGAGGGCGGCCGCGCCGAGGGCTGCTAGATCCGGACGGGGCGGGAGGGGCAGGCCGGCGGTCCCCGGGCCACGGTGCAGGCGTCCCCCGGCTGGCTGGCCGGGCGCGGGCTGCGGGGCGCGGGCGGGCCGACTCCGGGGCGCTGCGTGCGCGCAGGGGCAGTCATTCAGATGAAATTCCAGTCCCCGGCCAGAGACACCAGCCCGCCTCTGCCTTCCTCCTCCCTTCACAAATAGAAACGGAAGGGGGAGGGAGAGAAGTGGAAAAAAAGGCAACCGGCGAGGGAGGGAGGGAGAAGCCCCGGCGGCGCTCCGGCCTGACCCCCGGGCGGCTACTTCTGCGCTCCCCCGAGGCCCGGCGCCCCCGCCGCGGAGAGACCCCGCGCGCCCGTCTCCGCGCTGGGCGGGCGCCCGGGCTCTGCCGAGGAAAACAAGGATTGATCAAACTAGAAAGGAATTTTTCTCAACTGCTAATGAACAGGAGGCTCGGCTCCCGGCCCTCCCCTCCCCTCCCCCGGCCCTCCCCCTTCGCCCCCCCGGCCCCCTCCTCCCCACTTTCTTTTCTTCTCGGCCTCTGCTGGGGCCTGGAAGGCTCGGGGCTGCGGTCGGAGCCAGCCTGCGGCGGCGGGGCCAGGCCGAGCCGCCACCCTCAGCGCCCAGCCATCTTGGGCTCCGCGGCGGCGGCCGGGGTCTGGGCGCGCTCGCTGAGGGCCCCGCGGCGTCCTCTCGCTCCTGATTCTTTTTTTTTTTTTTTTGGTGGGATTTTTTTTTTTCCAAGGGGAGGGCTGGCGGCCTCCAACAAATTAGGAGAGAGAGAGGGAGAAAATGCCAAGTCCCGATTTCTCTCCACCTCTGCTCCACCCACCCCGGTCCTGTCCAAAAAATAAAAGAAGATGAGAATTGGAAGAAGTCGGCAGAAAGGCGAGAGCCCGCGGTCCCCGGCTGCTGCCCAGGCGACGCGTCCGGGGCGGGCCCGCACCCGTTGCTCGGTCCGAGGTCCGTCTGTCTGCCCGCGGCTTCTCAAGGGAGGGGAGGGCGCTTCGGGCAGGGTCTCCGCAGCCGCTGTCGCCTCAGAGCTTTATCCTCAGATCAAAAAAGAAAAAACAGGAAGAAAAAAATCCCAACCCCAACACTCTCATCACAGCCACCTTCAGCCATCTTGCGCGTATTATTATTTCAGGAATAATCTGTTTAATAAAAATACCTGCGTATCCAGCCCCTCCCCCGCGTCCTGGGGTCCCCGCCCCCTTTTAATAATAATCTCGATAATAAAAACGATCGGCGGGCCGGGCAGTCCGTGGCGGCCCTTTCCTGCCTCGACTTGCTCGGGCCCGGCTCTCCCCCCGCGAAGGGGCGCCCCGGGGTGGGGGTGCGTCCCCGTCACCCGCGCGGGGAGGAAAGGGCGCCCTCGCCGCCGCCGCGAGGAAGGCGGCGGCGGAGATGCCGCGGCCCGCGGGACCAGCCGGAGGGGCACTCGGGGGTCCCGGGGCCCCCGCCACGGCCCGGCCTGGGAGTCCGCAGCCGGCCGTATACAATGGGTTCGGAGCAGAGCGGGGCAGGCAGGGTGGGGAAACGGGAGGGCCAGGGGCTGCAGCGAGCCGAGCTCCCGGGCTGGGGCGGAAGGAGACGGGGGGTGGTGTCCCTACATCAAGGCCGGTCCCGCTACTCGGGAAGGGGGCGGAGAGCTGCGGCGCTGGGGGGCGAGGAGAAAGCGGCAGGCGGCGCCTTTAATCGGCACCCGCCGGTTCGGCCCACCCGGCACTGGCGAAAGAAACGGGCGCGGTGGGGGGGAAGGGGCGGGGCGTGCTTTCCGGAAGTACAGTTACAGGGCCGGGCGCCCGGCTCCTCCCCCTTTCCCTGTCGCGTTGGGGCTGTTCCGGAGGCTGCTCCTGCTATTGGCCCACAAGCTGAGGCTCCACCTCCCTAAGGCGGGGCAGACCCGAGAGTCTCACGTGACTCTCACAAACTTCGGTACATTAAACATTGGGATGGGAGGGGGTTTTCCGCGCTTGTTAAAAAAGCGATGATGCCACGGCGTAGTGGGACCACCTCTTCCTGGGCCTGAAGTGAAGACCCGTGGCTCTTTTTACCCAGAGGGAAAGGAGCGTTTGTCGGTCTGCTCAGCAGTCCGGTGGAACTGAGCAGGGAAATGCAAAGGTTCAGTGTGGGGAGATTTCCCGATGTCCTTAATACTTTTAACTTCATCCCTGGCACTTTAAACTACCTAGCAAGATAGGCATTTATTCCTCTATTAATAAGGAAACCATGGCTTAAAGAACTGCAGAAATCTGCCAAGGTCAATGGTCAGTCAATAAATCTTTAACAAAATATTTTTCTAGGCCCTGAGAATTCCCAGAAAAACGTACAAAAAATTTAACGTAAATACACGGAGGACAATTTACGTGATAGAGAATAACAGGCTCACACAAAGGCTTTCTGAAAAAGTGACATTTGAGCTGGGACCTGAATGCACACAAAGAGTCAGATAGGTGAAACCTGGGGGAGGAGCGATCCAGTCGGAAGAAAAAACAAATGCAAAAGCAATAGAACAGGCAGGTTCCAGGACAGAAAGAAGGCCATGTGTCCAGGAAGAAAGGTAGGGGCCAGAACACACAGGGCCTTCCTTATATATCTATTATATATTATATAATAGTACGCTTATTATAAGTGTGCTATATAAGTATAGTATAAGATACTATATATTATAAGTACACTATAAAAGTATAGTATACTATTATATATAGTACATATTATATCTAGTATAGGATATACAGTATATGGTGATAAGTATATAGTATAAATATACTATATGTATTATATGTATTTATAGTGTATATTATATATGCTATAATATACCATGTTATATATACCATACCATATATTATATATACTATAATATACCATATATATACTATACCATATATTATATACTATAATATACCATATATACTATACCATATATATACTATAATATACCATATATTATATATACTATAATTATTGTTTTTTGAGACAAGTTTCACTCTTGTTGCTCGGGCTGGAGTGCAATGGCGTGATCTCGGCTCACTCCAACCTCCGCCTCCAGGGTTCAAGTGATTCTCCTGCCTCAGCCTCCTGAGTAGCTGGGGTTACAGGCATGCACCACCACGCTTGGCTAATTTTGTATTTTTAGTAGAGACAAGGTTTCACTATATTGGTAAGCCTGGTCTCAAACTCCTGACCTCAGGTAATCCAGCTGCGTTGGCCTCCCAAAGTGCTAGGATTACAGGCGTCAGCCTCCATGCCAGGCTATACTATAATATTTATACTCTATATTTTTCCCTTCTATCCTCCAAAAATGTTTTAAAAATGATTCCTAGGATTTGGATCTCAACAAAAGGCTGATGGTAGCACCATTTACTAAAAAGGGGAAAATTGAACAGGATTAGATTATTTGAGTAAGGGTATTTTCTTTTCTTCTCTATTTTCTCTTTTCTTTTCTTTTCTTTTCTTTTTTTTTGAGACAGGGTTTCACCCTGTTGCCCTGGCTTGAGTGCAGTGGCGCAATCATGGCTCACTGCAGCCTCAACTTCCCAGGCTCAGGTGATCCTACCTCCTCAGCCACCTGAGTAGCTAGGACTACAAGCTCACAAAACAGCCCAGCTAAATTTTTGTATTTTTTTGTAGAGTGAGGGTTTCACCATGTTGCCCAGGCTGGTGAGTAAAGGGATTTTCTAAGTTGAGTTGGCTCATATCCCAATGGAAATATTGAGGAGACAATTGTATATACAGGCCCAGTGGGGATGTTTGTCCTGGAGATAGGGATTTTGGAGTCATCAAAGATTATGTTCTAAATGGTAGAACTGAGATTGAAATCTAGTTCAGTATGACCCCTGGGTCCCTGATCCTCTGATGACAGAGCCTGTCTTTAGTGTTTTGTATCTCTTCACATGGGGGGTTATATGCAGGGCAAGTGAATATGTGAATAAATGAATGAATGAACAAACAAGGAGAAAGTGGCTTCTAAGCCCTAATCCTCAATTCCATGCTGTAAGGATGGTGCAAAGAAAGAAGGTCTAGCTTGGAAGCAGTTGGAGGGCCCTTTCTGACCTCCTCACCAGTGACCTCCAGGATAAACAATCTAAACAATTCCTCACTTCTTGTCTTTTTTGAACACTCCCCTTAACTTGTAAGATATCATATGCTTGTCGTTTTCTTCTTATCTTCTAATCATAGATGTCTCCAATTTCCATCTCATAAATGTTGGCAGTCTTCAGAGTTCTGCTTTCCATCCTCTTCTCTTACCAATCTACACCCTGGGGCTATCTCATTTACTCCTGAGCTTTATTACCATCTACATGCTGATGACTCCCCAGTCAGTATCTCCAGGCTAAATCCTCACCTCCTGGTTGCAGATCTGTGTAACTGGCTATGCTGTCTGCACAGATGTCCCACAGGCACGTTGAATTCAATGTATTGGAAGCCAAACTCATTATCTTCACATTCCAGCCTGTTCTTCCTCCTGCATTCCCCATCTCTATTGGTGGACCTATCAACAACTTGTTTTTTGTTTTTTGTTTTTTTTTTGAGACAGTCTTGCTCTGTCACTCAGGCTGGAGTGCTAGTGGCGCGCTGCAACCTCTGCCTCCCAAGTTAAAGCGATTCTCCTGCCTCAGCCTCCCAAATATCTGGGAATACAAGTGCGCGCCACCATGCCTGGCTAATTTTTGTATTTTTGGTAGAGACAGGATTTTGCCCATGTTAGCCAGGCTAATCTCAAACTCCTCACCTCAGGTGATCTGCCTTCCTCGGCCTCCCAAAGTGCTGGGATTACAGACGTGAGCCACCGCGCCTGGACTTCAAAAATGTATTACCAAGCTGAGGATGAAGAAGACAACCTTGACAGCTGTCTGTCCCTTACTGCCCTCCCTGACCCCTTATCCATTCAATCAGGTATCCGGTCCTATAGGTCCTTCTCTTAAATCTCTCCGATCATCCACTTGTATATCTATTGCTCACATGACATCCTCATGTGGTTAGAACAAACATCTCAAACTCAGCATGTCCAAAAGGATACTAATCTCTGCTCCCTCTTAAACCTGTTCTTGTTGCCGTATTCTGCTTTTTGGTGAACCAACCCTTCAGCAGATCTTTTTTTTTTTTTTTTGAGACAGGGTCTCTGTAGTGCCCAGGCTGGAGTGCAGTGGTGCGATCATGGCTCACTGCAATGTCTGCTTCCTGGCCTGAAGTGATTTCCTGCCTCAGCCTCCAGAGTGGCTGGGACAACAGGTGTATGCCACCACACCCAGCCAATTTTTGTACTTTTTGTGGAGATGGAGTCTTGCTATGTTGCCCAGGCTGGTCTTGAACTACCGAGCTCAAGTGATCCACCTGCCTTGGCCTCCCAAAGTGCTGGGATTACAGGTGTGAGCCACTGTGTCCAGCCAGCAAATCTTGACTACTTCTTAACCTCTCCATTACTTCACCATAATCTCTTGCCTAGATTATTTCAGTGTATCCTAACTGGTTTCCATGCTTCTGCCCTTAACTCCTGGAGTCAATTCTCAATGTAGTAGCCAGGGTAATCTTTTTTGTGGCACGAACTTGGCTCATTGTAACCTCTGTCTCCTGGGTTCAAGTGATTCTCCTGCCTCAGCCTCCCAAGTAGCTGGGATTACAGGTGTGCACCACCACACCCAGCTGATTTTTGTATCTTTAGTAGAGACTGGGTTTTGCCATGTTGGCCAAGCTGTTTTCGAACTCCTGGCCTCAAGTGATCTGCCCACCTTGGACTCAGAGTGCTGGGATTACAGGTGTGAGCCAGCACACCAGGCCCCGGCCAGTTTTTTAAAGACATAAGTCAGAATGGCTGGGCATGGTGGCTCATGCCTATAATCCCAGCACTTTGGGATAATATATTATATATAATATATTATATATTTTATATGATCATATATAATATATTATATATTTATATGATCATATATAATATATTATATATTTATATGATCATATATAATATATTATATATTTTATATGATCATATATAATATATTATATATTTTTATATGATCATGTATAATATATATTTTATATGATCATGTATATTATATATTTTATATGATCATGTATATTATATTATATATTTTATATGATCATGTATATTATATATTTTATATGATCATGTATAATATATTATATATTTTATATGATCATGTATAATATATTATATATTTTATATGATCATGTATAATACATATTTTATATGATCATGTATATTATATATTTTATATGATCATGTATAATATATTATATATTTTATATGATCATGTATATTATATATTTTATATGATCATGTATATTATATATTTTATATGATCATGTATATTATATATTTTATATGATCATGTATATTATATATTTTATATGATCATGTATAATATATATAATTATATTTTATAATCATCATATATTATATATAATTATATTTTATAATCATATATTATATATAATTATATTTTATAATCATATATTATATATGATTATATTTTATAATCGTATATAATATATAGTTATATAATATATAATATATAGTTATATAATATATAATTATATATTATATATAATATATAGTTATATAATATATAATATATATATTATATATAATATATAGTTATATAATATATAATATATATATTATATATAATATATAGTTATATAATATATAATTATATATTATATATAATATATAGTTATATAATATATAATATATATATTATATATAATATATAGTTATATAATATATAATATATATATTATATATAATATATAGTTATATAATATATAATATATATATTATATATATATATATCAGAAAATGTCACTCCTCTGCTCAGAATCTTCCAATGCCTTCTCAATTCAACCAGAATAAAGGTGAAAGTTTTAGAATTCCCTCCGAGGTCCTGCACAGTCTGGCCTCTGCATAATTTTCTAGCCTTCTCTTCTCCCACTCTGCTGCACCTACACTGGCTTCCTTGGTGCTTCTCAAAGACACCCGGTGTGTTTATTCTTGACTCCCTCATCCTTTGCAGGTGCTCTTCAGTTTCCCTGGCCCATCTTCCCCCAGATAGCCCTATGGCACACTTCTTCCAGTAATTGAGATCCTTATCCTTTGTTCAAATGTCACCTATGCTGTGATGCCGTCCCTGACTTCTCTATTTAAAATGCATCCCTCCCTCCAGCCCCACTATCCCTCCTCCTCTGTTTCTCCATAGCATGGGTCTCTATGTAAGATATATCCTCCTTTTGAAAATTATTATCTGACCAGGCATGGTGGCTCACGCCTGTAATCCCACCACTTTGGGAGTCCAAGGCAGGTGGATCACCTGAGGTCAGGAGTTCAAGACCAGCTTGGCCAACGTAGTGAAACCCCATCTCTACTAAAAGTACAAAAATTAGCTGGGCGTGGTGGCAGGCGCCTGTAATCCCAGCTACTCGGGAGGCTGAGGTGGCAGAATTGCTTGAACCTGGGAGGCGGAGGTTGCAGTAAGCCGAGATTGCGCCACTGCACTCCAGCCTGGGCAATAAGAGCAAATCTCTGTCTCAAAAAAAAGAAAAAGAAATTATTATCTGTCACCCATCATTAAAATATAAGATCTGTGAGGCCGGGCGCGGTGGCTTATGCCTGTAATCCCAGCGCTTTGGGAGGCCGAGGCAGGTGGATCACCTGAGGTCAAGAGTTCGAGACCAGCCTGGCCAACATGGTGAAACCCTGTCTCTACTAAAAATAAAAAATGAGCTGGGCGTGGTGGCACGTGCCTGTAGTCCCAGCTGTTCGGGAAGCTGAGGCAGGAGAATCTCTTGAACCCGGGAGACAGAGGTTACAGTGAACTGAGATCGCGCCAGTGCACTCCAGCCTGGGAGGTTGCAGTGAGCTGAGATCGCGCTACCACACTCCAGCCTGGGCGACAGAGTGAGACCCTGTCTCAAAAAAAAAAAAAGTAAGATCTGTCAAAGGAGGTATTTTCTTTAATGCTGTATCCCTGGTGCCTAGAATGGGACCTAGCACATTGTAGATCCCCAATAAATATTTGTCGAATCAATAAATGAATCCCATTCTCTCCATCCCTACTGCTTCTACCCTAATCCAAGCATCACTGGTCACCTTGCCTTCACTCTTACTCCCTTTCAAAACATTCTCCATCCAGCAGACAAGGAGATGATCCTAAAATGAAAGTTTGATGCCTTAAACCATATACTCCAGGCAATTTGCACTCTAGTTCCCAAGCAGTTTTAAGGCTTCTACCCTTGTTTTTTTGACTGCCTGGAGAGCTTATGAAAGTAAAGTTTCCTCTTGTTTTGCTCAACTCATCCTTAAGCATCCTTTAGGTTTTAGCTTAGATGTCACTTCTTCAGGGAGTTTTTTTGAATCTCCGCAGATGGGGTTAGGCACCTGTCTGAAGTCACCCTGATAAGTGGTGGAGCTGGGGTAGGACAGGAAGCAGCTTACTGCCTTCCTCTTTGATGGTTCTTCCTCATAAGTATCTGTTTCCTCGTCTATTTCCCCTCACCACACTCTGAGCCTCTTAAGGCAGGGCCTGAGTCCAGCGTCCCAGTATATTACAGAGTGCCTGGCACACACTTGTTGAAAGAACAACGGAATGTTTTCTAGTTCATTCCCACAGTGTTATTGTAGAGGCTGGACAATGCATGGTTGGCCTTCATCTGTCTTGTAAAGGTTAAGACTCAAAACTCCATTCTCCGTCCTTGCAGTGCTCTCGTGGTACTGAAATGGGTGTGGGGTGGGTGTGGGTGAAATTGGAAAAACAAGGAAGAGGGTCTCTGCCCCAGTAAGACCAGTTCTCTGGCCCCAGTAAGACCACTACTCTCATCATAACCCCCTCAAAGTTTCCCTCGTCCTACGAGTTACTTGGAGAGTTAAGCTCATTCAAGCCATGGACACCCACCAGCAGTCAGCTGCTTCTTCCCTCATGGTGTCCTCACCTCCCAGACTTGTTGGCAATAAGGAGGAAAGGAGGGAACGGGTCAGTCCCACCATGTCCCCTGGAAGGGGCCTGGAGATGGCTGCCCCTCTCAGACCACATCCAGACCTGCCCCTGCAGGCTTCCCCCTTCTCCTGCGCAGCAGATCACCCCACCCCGGCCTCCCCACCACCTACCCCCTTGCACCCTGCTGCTGCCTCCGTGCCTGGCAGGCTGGGTTGAGTCACTTGTAGTTTGCATTCTTCTTCTGGTCAGGCCAGTTTGGCAAACCTCTCAGGCTCCCCAGCCCCCCTGAAACCTGTGGGACTCCCTCCCCAAGGCCCCCAGATGAGGCAAAGCAGACACCTGGGAGGAAGGCACATGACTTTCTGTAGGAGATATTACAGATGGCATGGCAGATCTCTCTCCTCCCTAATTCTAGGGCTAGGGTCTCTGCCCTAGGCCCAGGAGTCCTTCTCTTTCCAGAAACAGCGTCAGCCTGGTATCTTGCAGAACCACCTAAGCAGAGGATCTTGCTATTCTGCATTCTCTGGGGCAAGAACTTCACCCTGATACTGTGTCCTTGTAGGCTAAAGTCAGATGAGGATACCTCCCCCAGCCCCCAGTCTCCGGGGAGAAAAGGGAAAGGGCATGAGGGCCCCAGACAGGACCTGCTGCACTGCTCCGTTGGAGAGTTCAGTAAGAGGCTGCAGGGGAAGGAGTGCGGACCTCTCAGCAAAGGCCCCCCACATGGCTAGGTCTCACAGAAGGGACAGGACATAAGAACCCCCTCATAGGAGCTGACACCCCCTCTCCCTTGCTTATGATGTCCTAGGACCTCCGCCCCAGCCCCCAGCCCCAGCCAAATCCCCTGCCACTATCCAGGATAGAAAACCAGAAGGGAATGAATATGTGAGGGCCCAGGTGGTCACAGGTTCCAAGAACTCTGTCTGGGCGCAGCCCTTATCCTGCCTGCCAGGCTAGTGCCTTCTCCCCCAGCTCAGTGCCTCCCCACACTGGGCGTTGGGCTGTTTTGCTGCCCCCCAGCCCTGGAGAGGCAGGAGCTGGGCAGTCCAGGAAAGGAAGATATACCTGATACCTCCCTCCACTGCCAGGCCCAGTGGAGTTGCTAGGGCGGGTGGGCTGGCCTCTGTGTCACCCAGTGGGTGCCACCGGTTCTGAATTGCCCTTCTATCTGGATCCTGCCCCTGGGCCCTGGATTAGGAGGTGGAATTTAGATGTCATGTGAGAGGAGCTGGAAGCCGGGCAAGGACTCCAAAGGAGATGAGGAGGGCCTGCCCTCCTCACCTGTCTGGGCCCCTCTTCCTAAGGCAAAAGGGGTTTTTGGTGAGAGGAGGATAGAAGAGGGATGTAGTGGCAGGGAGAGGGTCTTTTCCCACCGCCTCATCTCCCCAGACTGCTCCTCGCTCCCACCCCCTTGACCTTAGAGGAATTCAGGACCAGTGAGGGAGAGCCTGTCCTTGCAAGGTCATTTCTTCAAGACTGAAGAGCCACCAGCTGTGTGATCCCACTCTCTGGCACCTCCTCCACTCTCGACAACAATCCTGGGGGCCTCCCTCCATCCTGGCTTCTAAGTGGCTAACAACAACCCACTCCCTCTGCCAGGGCCCCGGGCTTCCGGCTCCACTACTTCAGGCAGCCAGAAATGAGCACACAACCCAGGCACTTCTGCAAAGATGTTTAATGCACTTAGATTACAGAGAGGAAGAGGGGGCAAGAAGGAAACGACATCTAAGTGAGTCACCCAAAAATTCTTACAAAAGTCCCAGGCTGGCTGCAGCCCCAGGAACCGAGTCGCCACTGACATTAAAAACTAATATAAAATTTTACAAAAATCTGCTTGTCGCAGCATTCAGGTACTTGTACAAAAGGAGGGGTCTCCCTACAGGGCTCCTGACTTGTAACAGGGACCCAGGCACCTCACCTGGCATGGATGTCCTAGAAGCCAGAAAGGGAAGACCAGACACAAAAATACAGTAAAGGAAATTCTCTACTGGTCAGCCCCATAGGGGCACCGACCTTCAGGTTTTCTCCCTGCTTGCAACTCAATCCGAAACCCCAGTCCCAAGACCCTGTGTCTATTTTTAAAAATGCTCTAGCCCTTTTAGACTCTCCCCTTGGCTTCTCCAGTCCCTGCCTTGGAGCACTGCCCTTGGAAGAGAAAGATACGGGCAGGAAGAGGCACCAGCTCCCCACACAGGCCTGAGACCTCGCACAAGCCTCCCAAACCCCCCTCAGAATTGCAGCTGAGTCTGCAGTCCTCCTGCAGCCCACACTGAGCCAGCAGAGCCACAGGAGCCTGCCTTATATAGCAGGCAAAGAGGAAAGGGAAAGGCCCTTCTCAGAAGCTCTAGCACCAGGGACCTGGAGGGGTGGGTACAACTAGGCAAGTCTCCAAGTAGCTTGCAGAAGAGGCAGATTTAGGGAGGGAGGCCCCTTACCTCCTCCACCCACTACAAGGTCAGGGGCTCCCTCAGAGCTGCAGGGAGGGAAAGAAAGGGTACATTCACCAAGCATCCTGTGCCAGAAGCTGTGCTGGACAGGGTCCAAGGTCAGCTTGGCTTGATCTTCTTTAAGGGTCCTCTCTCACCAGCCAGCAGCCCAAGAAACCTCTGGGAGGCACCAATGCCCATAGGAAAGGAGGCCTGGTGAGAAATGTGTGATACCCTGTCCTGCCCTCAGAGCCAGTGAGATGGAGCCTGGCCCCTGCAGGATCTTGGGTGAGCGTGAGGCTCCTGACATATTGCAGGTACGAAGGGGCCACAGGCTTCATGTGCTCATCATCTCGGAGCTCACCCACTTCCTCCTGCCTTACCCTGCTCCCCCAGAACAGGGCCACCATGCTGGCTGGTGTCTACCTTCAGTCCACAAAGACCCTCCAGGTCTGGGGCAGGTTGCTGACCAGGTGCTTCACAAACTAATGACAAAGCTTAGCTCAGAAAATGCCCCATCCCCACCCAACCAACGATGGAGGCACCCAGCAGATGGAAGTACGGCGAACTGCAGCAGGGAGCCCTCAGGCAGGTCCCGAGCAAGAGAGAGTTCAGGGAGAGGCTGGTCATGGTGGCAAGGAATGGAGGCGAACTGATGGCACCTCTCTGCCTGTGAAATGTCAGAAACAAGAGCTTCACAGGCAGGGCTGCTGTGGTGGGGGAAGGCCAGTAGGGCTCCCTCTGGTAAGTCCTCAGGGCAGTAGAGGCACAGCTGCCGACATCAGGTCCCGAGTGGCTTGCATCTTGGCTGGCGGGGATCTGCAGCCAGTCTCTCCCAAATACTCCAGGCTGATATGCCTTTTAACTCTGAGCTTGATGGAATTAACCAGATAGCCCTGGGGATGTGTAGAGGAGGCCAGGCCTAGTGGCTCCATGGAGGTCCAACTCCTGCTCCCTGGAGAACCCAGCTGGTGCCCTCATACCCCTGGGGGCAGCTCTTTGGCTGGATCTCTCATCAGTGGAGTCCTGCACCCTGTGGGCACTCCTGTGGCATCCCTGCTGGTGCCTGTGTGTGCAGCAGAGGCAGATGGGAGCAATGAGGAGCCCTGCATTGTCATGACTTTGCTTTGAAGAGGTGTAAAGAGTGATCTTGAAGTATTGTAACAGTCCCATCCCTAGAGTTGGGGGTAAGAAGGCAGGAAAGGGGCTTGCTGGTTCCAGGTCAGGCGTGGGAGATAACCCGAGAGGAACTCCAAAACCATGGGCTAGAGATAGGCTGGCTTCTGGAAGGCAAACTGTGAGATCTGCAGTACTGGGGGTGAGGGGCTGAGGACCACGAGAGGCCAGGATGCCAGAAAGGAGAGGGATTAGGAGTGGAGAATGAAAGATAGGGCATGAATGGATACAGGGAGGATGGGAGGGCAGCAGAGAGCAGTGTTAGCAAAACCAAAGTGAAAGAGATGTTAAGAGGTGGATTTTTCAATTTTAGTAAGGCAGCCCTACAGCCTGAAGGCTGGGAGGCCCAGGGACTGAGGAAATGGGACAGGACTGGTTACAGAGCTGGAGACCCAGGCCCTGAATGACAGTGGGGATGGTGTGTGATGTGCTGAACCTCACCCTCTCCCAGGTAGGCCTGGTTGGGTGGAAAAGGCCTAGAAGATGAGGCTGGGGTCACCAAGTCTTTGAGACCCATTCACTTGGAAAACAGTAGCACCCCTCCCTGGCCCCAGCTAAACTAGGCTCAAAGCTGCACAAGGGAGTGTCTCTACTCTCCCCCTGCCCCGGGCTCCACCAGGCCCAGCTGGGAAGAAAAGCCTCTCTGTGCAGCCGGCTCCTCCAGGGCTCTGGGCTGGCAGGCGAACACCAAGCACCTTCTCTGGTGGCAGCCCAGGGAGAGATACAGCCCTAGGCCTCTGTCAGAGAATGCGAAAGTTCAACGGGGAATGAAGTTCTGTTTAAAAAACATTATATACATGGCTTCTGGACATCTTTGCAGAGCAATAAAATACCACCCGGTTTCTACAAAATAAAATAAGGAAGAAGAAAACCAAACATGATCAGAGGAATTGTTCCGCGGCCAGAGGAGCTTGAGTAGCAAAGGCTTCCAGAGATGAGCTGGGAAGTGCATCCACTCGCTCTGCATCTGGCTGTCCGCCTCCCTCCTGCTGGGCTGTGCGGCAGGGGGTAGGTGAGAAAGAGGGCTGTCTCCACCTAGGGGCACAGCCAGGGTCCAGAGTCAAACCTCAAACCAGAATCTGTGCAGGCTGCAGGCAGGGAGGGTCCGCATTTGCCCACTCACTGGCCTGATGGGTCACAAGGCTTAGCCAGCGGCGGGGTGCGGCCCCTGAGCTGGAGGTGAGGTGGAGGGCCTGTGGCCTGTGCATGGCACCCCACTGGGCTGCGGGGTGGCACTGCGCAGTCTTCCTCACACTTGTCCTTTTATTTGTGGAGATCTCGTTGACACAACTGTTACACTGGAAGTCACTGGGGAGCAGCTGGGCTCCCTGCTGGCCACTGCAGGGCCCAGCCCAGGCTAGTGTAGCGGACTGTCGAACACCACGTCAGGCAGGATGGAGACCTTCAGCTTCTTTTCAGGCCAGCTGTACTCTTTGGGAAGTTTGAACTGTGGAGGGAGCAAGCACAGACCAGGAGTGTGAGTGGTTAGCAGAATACACCGTGGTCTTTCCAGAGATTGCCCAGGCCTGTCCCCGGGGAGCTAGGGATAGGACAGGCCGCGGGAGGCGTGGCTTCATTCTCAAATGCTAGACCCAGGTGGCAGGCTGGGCTCAAACGGCTGGAGTTGGTGACCCCTTCTTTCCCCACGGCCTGTCAATAATGAGGCAGGTTGGAGGAGGGCGTTTTCTCCTCCTTTCTCCACTAAGCTGACCTCCCTCTTGCTCACTTCCTTGGTTCTGCCTCTGGCCACAGGCATGTAAAGAATCTGCTCCCTGAGGCCCTGGGGCTGGAGGATGGGGGCTGGGGGAGGGTCTGGAGGCTATGGGGAAGTGGCCTGAGCTCTGTCACTGCCATGGCCTCTCTTTCAGAGGCTAGTGCAGGAAGAACCCTGGAACCTGTCCTCTGTATACTTGGCCAAAGGCTCCAAAGGGAAGGAGGCCCCAGTTCGGCCCCAAAGTCAGAACCACACTTGCGGCCTTGGTGGGAGCAGAAGAGTGGGACAAGTGTGGTTTGAGGTGATCCCTTGGGCCTGAGAGGGGCCAATCCCCACCCTGCTCCCTGTATTCATTCGCACCACTTCCCAGGGTTACCAGCCTCAGAGTGGTCCCAGTGGTGGCCAAGGAGAGCCAAATGTCTCCCACCCCATCCCAGGATACACTGATTTGCCTACAGTTCTGTTTCTCCCATTCACCTGGGAGTTTCTGGTAGGGGAAGGGGAAGAGGCTGATGCCTCTTATTCCCTCTTTACTGTAGAACTTTGCATGCAGTCTGGCACACAGATGGAGCTCAATAAATGCTCACTGCCTGGGACTGATACCGGAACTTAGACACAGGGTCTGTCTTTTCTTTTTCTTTTGAGACGGAGTTTCGCTCTTGTTGCCCAGGCTGGAGTGCAATGGCGCGATCTCGGCTCACTGCAACTTTTGCTTCCCGGGTTCAAGCGATTCTCGTGCCTCAGCCTCCCGAGTAGCTGAGATTACAGGCATGCACCACCAAGCCCGGCTAATTATTGTATTATTAGTAGAGATGGGTTTTCTCCATGTTGGTCAGGCTGGTCTCAAATTCCCGACCTCAGGTGATCCACCTGCCTCGGCCTCCCAAAGTGCTGGGATTACAGACATGAGTCACTGCGCCCGGCCCAGGGTCTGTCTTTTCTAATTTGGCTAGGCCGGAAGTCAGGGCAGGGTGGAAAGGAGAGAACAGTGTTCTCAGCCTGCCTCGGTCTGGGGCTGGAGGCAGACGAGCCTGACCCTTCCTGGCTGCCTCCCTCTTCGCTCCCTCTGCTGGGGGACTGTCTCTGCCAGGACCAAAGTGGCGAGTGAGGCAGGGTGTAGGGACAGCCTCTGGACAGAAAAGGAAAAAAAGAAAAAAGTCATTTTTAGTGACCTACTTTCCTCTGCTCCCCCAGGCTTCTGTCCCTCTTGCCTGGACTGTCCCCCTCCTACCCCCAAGCTCAAAGCAGCAGCCTGGCACAGCGCCATCCCAGTGCGACAAGGCCTCTCCGGAAGCGCTTCTGGGCAGCTGGCTCTGGTCTGACTGAATGGGGAGCTGGGACTCAGGGACCAGTGACTTGTGGGGGTTGATTGGCTGGCATGGACTGGGTGCTTGATGGCTTTGGAATATATAAATGAACAAATTTCTCAAGCTGCATCCCAGAGGACAGAGGAGACCCTGCTCTATTGAGGTGACCCTGGCTCTGGGGAGTTCCTGTCCAACTGGAGACCTGGACTGGACGGTCCCGCCCTGTGCACTCCCCTCAGCTTCCTAAACACCAGAGGCCTGTGTCCTGGCTGTTGCAGCCCAGGGAGCCCTGGAAGCTGGAAGCTCCAGCCCTGGCTGGAACCTAGCTCCCGCCTGGCCTCCCTCTTGGTAGAAAGCCTGGCCCCTGGGAGGCGAAGGAGTTCTCCCCCAAGCACATTTCCTGGCAGACAGGACAAGGGAAGGGTCTGCCTCTGCCACAGGCAGGGCAGGGCCCAGGAGAGCTCTCCAGAGGCCCGGCCAGCCTGCTAGAGTTCACTAACCCATGGGGCACTGGGGCCAGGAAAGCTCCCATCCCACTGGGGTGCTGCGGGCAGGAGCGGGGGAGGGGAAGGGATTTTCCAGGATGAGGTAAGCCCTCGCAAATAAGGATGCCGGGAACAAGGGAGAAAAAACAAAGGGGATTATGGACTCCATTCCTCTACCCCAGAGGAGCAGCTAAAGAAGGCACAGCCACAGCTGGCCTGCCAGCTCCTCCAGCTCTGAGCCAGGGCTGGAAGAGGGAGACTAAGAGGCACAGCTCATGGCTGGAGGACGAAGAAGGGAGAGTGGCTCCTGGGTGGCCCGAGGCGAGAGCAGGAGTCCCTTGCTGCCCACCAGAACTCCCCAGCGGAATGTTCTCTGGCAACAGACATGGGCGTTCTGTTCAGAATCTGCCAGGGAACAGCAGGGGCTGGGGAGAACTCGTACTAGCCTGAAGGCCCTGGCTTCCTCTTCAATGAGGCTCTCAGGAGCTGGCAATTCAGACGATTTGCTGGGTGTCCTTACAAGGGCTGGGGGTAGGGCAGGGGATGGTGAGGGTGCATAGAAACAGAAGAGAAATCTACAGTCTCCTCTCCAGCCTATCCCTGCACCTTGGGGAGGAGCCCACAGATGCAGCCACACAGATACATGCAAGCACACACGCACCACAGGTACACACGCACACATGCATGCACAGACGTGCACACGCACGCACACACATGGTCCCAGAGACGGGACCTGTTGTCAGGAAAAGTCAAACAAGCTTACTTCCTCTGGAGAAGTCAAATCTTCTAAATCCTCCAACATTTTCTCTACAAACTCTTCGGTCAACAGAATCTGTGAAGGCACAAGGCAGGCTTTTATTATTATTTTTAAATGTATGATCTTTTTGCCAACCACCAAGCGTTATACCTCTCTTCTGACCATGGAGGAGAGATGAGCTCACTGTGATCTGTTCAAGGGACACAGGGAAGTGTTTGAGGCCTGTCCCCAGCTGTCATTCCCCCCACACCCTCACCTCCCTGCAATATCAGACTGAGGCATAGAAGGAAAGGGGTCAGGGGACAATGGGGAGGGGAGGGAGGACACTGGGAGAGCTGGGAATGCTGCTCCCAGAAGGGAGATGAACACTGGTGGGGCCGGTAAAAAGGAATCTCAGGAAGAAAAAGGAACAGAAAAGAAAAATTAAAAGGAAAAAAAATTAAATTAAAGCTGCTGCCCAGTCAGGCTCTAGTGTCCCCCTCTGCCCCTCACCGTAGAAGGACAAAAGGAAACTGTTTGGATTTGGAATACAAGCCCTATCTGGAATCTGGAAGTGCCCTGGAAGGTACATCCAAGAATGTCTGAGCTGGAGAATCTGGAGATTGTGGACCAACGTCTCATTTTACAGATGACAAAGGGACTCCCAACTTCCATTCCCATTCACAGTAGCCACATCCTCCCAGGCTGGAAGCTCCCAAGCCCCTGACCTGCTGTGCTCGATCAGCCACTGAGTTCCTCCAGCCTTCTTTGAGGTTCCTCTTCTCTAGGTCACCTCCCAGCATTCCACGTTGCTGTTCTAGTCTGACACCTCATTGCCTCTCGCTTTGATGCTGAGTCTGGCCCCACTATTTGGCTGGCACAAACACCAACTTCATCCGCTAAAGAAGTTTTCACAGCCAATACCAACGTCCAAGGGCTCTCAGGCCCTCTAAAACCGGCCTTCCTCAATCTGCTGGGCCATTCTTCCCCACCCACCCCTCTCGTCAGGCTGCTAGGCAGAGCCAGGCCAAGCTGATCCCAGGTCTGCACCCCACCACGCCCTGGGTGAGGGTGTCTTTCCTCTTCCAACTGTGACCCCTTCCTTCACCCCTCCCCCTCCCTGTCCTTGTCCCCAGGGCCTCCCAGCCTCCCTCCACTGCAGACCCTTCTGTACCCCCAGGCCACAGCTCTACCTGTCTTCTCCCGTACACCTTGAGCACCCAGGTAGGGCACAAAGGAAGAAAGATAATGGGGTGAAGATCCAGGTGAGGGGCTCCTCTGAGGGGAAACCCTCCCTGTGAGGAGGAGAATTGAGAACTTGAAAAAATACCCACCAGGTTTCCCCTGGGAATTGTCAGCTGCCAAGAACAAAAGTTTCCACGCTGTGAGATAACAAGGAAGGAGTGCACACAGGAAGGTGAGCACACAGGACGGCTCGGGAGCTCACAGGACGGAGGTCTCTAAAGCAAGAAGTGGACGGGGTGGAGGAGGGAGTGAGAAATAAGAACACTACCCCCAAGTGAGCAGAAAAGCCGCCATCATACCGGGCATGCTAACTGCTCATCTCCATGTCTCCTTACAGTGGAGGAAACAGGCACAGGCAGGTTATGTAATTTGCTCAGTGTCACACGGCTTGTGAGTGGTTAAGACCATATCCTGATCATGTCTGGACTCTCAATTTAGTGCCTGGAGTACTGCTCCCGAATGCTGAACTCTCACCCCCAGGACACTAACTCATCCATTCATCCTTCCAGGGACACAGGCATGAAGGCAGCTCATTTCCCACCAGGACAAGCACCCTCTTTTGGCTGGCAAGGAGACAAGAGACCCAGCCTTCCCAGGCTCCAAGCCCATAGCAGGAACAAAATAACTCTGACCACTGGTCCACGTCTCCTCACCAAACTCTCTGTTCTAGGAGCTAGGGCCCCGACCAAGGACAGAGACAAGGCTTAGAGACAGAGCAGGAGAGGCAAAGTTGGCAAAGTTCGGGGAGGTGCACCCCTACAGTTCTTCCTAATTCCCCAAAGTGGGACTGGCCGACTCTGCCCACAGACTCCAGCCATACACGTACTCCCTCTCACAGCCTAAGCCCTTGCTCCTCCTACTCTCTTATCCCAGGGGTGTCCTCCCCAAAAGTTCAGTTTCCCCACCAGTTATCACCAGTCTGCTCAAGCAATACAAAAGTTACATTCATATTTTTGGCATTTCCGGGGCTCGTTGCCATCTCTGCAAATGCTAGCACAAACACAAGCATACCTAAAACCCAATTATATTACAATGGCTCCAGTCTGGGCCGGGCTGGGCTAATTTCTAACTCACAAATAACTTGGAGGGAGGGGCTTTCTGCCAGATCAGTAAATAGATGTGGGACTATAACAAGTGCTGGGGGTGAGATGGGGTGGAGGGAGGACAGGAAGAGGGGCAAGGGTTCACAGAGGCTGTGGCCACCCAGTGAGACGCCAGAGTTATTCTTCAAGGAAACGTAATGCCACCAACACTGAGTTCAATTCTAAGCTGGTTCCCCTGACAAAGGTCTGGAACTGGTGCTAAGGAGAGGGTGAGTTATGGTGGCTTTTAGTAGAGCAACGACCATGCGCGGCACCATCTGTGTGTGGACTTATTTTGGACTCGGTTGGGGGAGGGGATGGCCAGATCAAAAATGAGGACAAACCCTAGCTGCTCCTCCATTTTTGCTTTTGGTGATTTGCTGGTTCCCGCTGGAAACTTCACGTTATTTTAAAAGAATTAAAGGGGAAAAATTATACATGAGATCTACATGATATTAAAGGTGACATTCTCTGCAAAGAAACACGACAGACTGTCATAGCTCCAGGCACCTAATTTAATTTCCTTTGGGAGTTAAACCTTAGAAGGTTGGATTGAACAAACAGGCCCTGTTCTTTGTATATTTCAGACCTGGAGCTGAGAATGTTAACAGATCTTATCAACAGGACACTGGAGATAGACAGCTAAGATGGGGCAGCTCCTGGGAGCTCTCCCGAGTAACAGACTTGCCCTTGTGATGCAACTGTGGGAAAAGCCTGTGCAGTTCTGGGGCTTGGCACTCCTGAGGCTCACTGGGTCCCTACAGAGCTGCTTGGCTCTGTCACGAATAATAATGGGAATGGTGATGATAAAAATGACAGTAAAAATGGCCAATAGCAGAAGCAGTACCTCCACCATGTGCTAGGCGCTGTGCTAAGAGCTTGATCAGTGTCATTTCATTGAATCCTTATGGCAGTTCTGCTAGGGAGGTGACTATCATCCCCACTTTGCCCAAGGGTAGGTACCCAGAGGAGACAAGGCTCTGGACTTTTCTTTTTATTTTTTAGATGGAATCTCTTGCCCTATCGCCCAGGCTGGAGTGCAGTGGTACAATCTTGGCTCATTGCAACCTCCGCCTCCTGGGTTCAAGCGATTCTCCTGCCTCAGCCTCCCGAGTAGCTGGGATTACAGGTGACCATCACCATGTCCGGCTAATTTTTGTATTTTTAGTAGAGATGGGGTTTTGCCATGTTGGCCAGGCTGGTCTTGAACTCCTGACCTCAAATGATCCATCCGCCTTGGCCTCCCAAAGTGCTGGGATCACAGGCAAGAGCCACCACGCCTGGCTCAAGGCTCTGGACTTTAGAGGAACGGCTATCTGATCTCATGGTGATAGAGGATGCTCTTTTCCTGTCTGGGGAAGACACCCCAACTGTAGAAGCCTATATAGATGGGGATAACTTCTCTGTCTTCTGATGAGGGAGGTGAAGGTAGCTTTGGTTTTTACCAATGACCTGGAAAATCAGCAGTCCCAACCTCCACCAGCCACACATTTCCTGGCCACCTGCTCAACTTAAGAGGGCTAGAAGCCTGAGAGTCACAGACACTGCTAAAAAACCAGACTGGCCAATGAAAAGGAAGGCAAACCAATGCCCAGAGATGGTTCCCAAGTGGGGACGGTGGGGCAAATTCCCAGGCCAGCCTAGTGAATACATATATCTTGACAGTTCTCTAGCCCAGAAAGTAGCAGTAGAAATAATATTGATAACAGCACTCACTGATATTTGCACTTACCAAGAGCCAGGCAGAAAACACTTATGTTTGTACACAAACAGCCCTCAGAGGGAGGAGACCCTCTAGTAAGAGAGGAAGACCCTCAACCAATCTGAGCAGCACACTCCCCTGGGAAGCTTCTGAAAATATGGCGATGCTAGGCCCCATTCACACTTCCTGAATCAGAATACTCTGGGGTAAGGCCAAGGCCCATGCTTTTTTTTTTTTTTTTTTTTTTTTTGAGACGGAGTTTTGCTCTTGTTTTCCAGGCTGGAGTGCAATGGCACGATCTCAACTCACCGCAACCTCTGCCTCCTGGGTTCAAGTGATTCTCCTGCCTCAGTCTCTCAAGTAGCTGGGATTACAGGCATGTGCCACCATGCCCAGCTAATTTTTTTTTTTTTTTTTTCTTCTGAGACGGAGTCTCACTCTGTCACCCAGGCTGGAGTGCAGTAGCATGATCTTGGCTCACTGCAAGCTCCGCCTCCTGGGTTCATGCCATTCTCCTGCCTCAGCCTCCCAAAGTGTTGGGATTACAGGCGTGAGCCACTGGGCCCGGCCAGGGGCTGGAGTTTTGTCTGCTGTTTAACAGCAGACAAACAAGCTGGGACTACAGGCGCCCGCCGCCATGCCCGGCTAATTTTTTGTATTTTTAGTAGAGACGGGGTTTTACTGTGTTAGCCAGGATGGTCTCGATCTCCTGACCTCATGATCCGCCCGCCTCGGCCTCCCAAAGTGCTAGGATTACAGGTGTGAGCCACCGTGCCTGGCAATTTTGTATTTTTAGTAGAGATGGGGTTTCTCCACATTGGTCAGGCTGGTCTCGAACTCCCGACCTCAGATGATCCACCCACCTCAGCCTCCCAAAGTGCTGGGACTGATTACAGGCGTGAGCCACCGCACCTGGCCAGCACTTGTATTCTTAAGTGGTGCCCCAGGAGATCATGGTGAGGGGCTGCTGGGGAAATACTCAGGCCCACAGGGAAAGGGGGTTTGGGCACAGGCTTAACCAACAGGGGTGAGTTGGTGGCTGTAGCTTCACCACCATCAAACGGGCTGAGCTGCGAGGGGGGCAATGGATCTTGGTTACCCCCAGTTCCCACCTTTGGCCAGGGAGGGGGGCTTGGAATCTAGGCCAGCAGCTACTCCAGTGGGCTCACACCAGCTGCCTTAACCAGCTTGGCTGGGTGGTGGTGAGGGAGGACTGTCAACAACCTCCCAATTCCCCAGGCCCCAGCAAGTTCCAGAAAGGAACCCGAAAAGTGATCTTGTGTCAGTGCCTGCCCTGGGCAAGCCAGGCTGCACTGCAGGCAGGGGCCCAGCTGCTGCAGATCTGACGCCGATTCAGATGTCTGTGGTCAATGATATTTCTGAGTCTGCAAAGAGTGGCTGACAATGCCCACTCCTTCCCTTTGGTATGACAATCCACACTTTGTCCAGGGCATTGTTTGTTCTTCATGTTGACACGTTGTACTTGCTTCCCAACAAATTTGGCTTTCTTTTCCCTCCCTTTCCTCCTCTCAGGGAAGGAAATGTGTTGTTTACAGTGGAAGAGCCTGCCAAGGAGCTGCTCTGGCACCCACGATGGCAGTGGAGGAGGCAGGGACGGGGAAGCAGTCCTGTCTGCATCCCTTCCCTCCCACCCCCACTCCACAGGCCAGACAAAAGCCAGAAAACAGCCTGGAGAACACCCCCAACCCAGGTCAGGGACAGAGGCGTGTGGTGCGGCAGGTAGCGGGCTGCAGTTGGGGCACAGGTCTCGCTCATTTCCTGTTCTTAGTGGGCGGTGAAAAGTTGGCTCTGGTGGCCAGAAGCGGGCTCAGACTCCTGCTCTGGCTGTGGGCTGCCAGGGACACAGGGCGGCATCACAGTCCTTTCCTACAAGGGAGGGTACTTCCCCAGGCGCATTGCTGGGCTCTAAACCTTAATGGGTGTCCCCCTGGACAACAAGGTCTCGGGGCAGTCCAAGCAAAGGTCTCCAGGGAGAATAAGTATGCCTGGGTTCACCCGTGGAAGGAGGAACAGTAGAGGCACCAAAGAGGAGGTGCCCAGGGCATGGGCTGGGGATTCCCAAGTCATCTTCTACACAATATCCAAATGGGTAGCAGAAGGCAGGGCTTGCCCAGAGGAGAGCTCGGCAGCACCTTCCCAAGCCTGGCCTGGAGCAGCAGAGCCCACTTGGAACAGCTGCTGGGCGTCTTCTCCCACGCCTGGGGCTTCCCATCAGGACTGGCAGAGAATGGCTGGGACTAGGGGCGCAACCTGGGTGAGCTGTCAGACACCACACAGCTGAGAAAGCATTGCGGGGCCTAAAACAATATTCTCATATTTGGTGATGTGACCCCTATGTGACCGCTGGGGCTGAGACTTATCCCCCTTCAGATCAACCCTGGCTGGGGACGGATGAACAACTCAGCTCTGGGCCGGGCTCCCGCTCAGAAGACTAACAGCCCAGTGTTGACAGGCTCAAGGGAGAGAGGCTTGTTAAAGCCACCAGGATGAGGAATGCTGGGGGAAGGAGGTGCAGGAGCAGACCTTGGCAGGCCCCCTCCCAGGGTCTGAAGAGCCTCCTGCACAGCCCCGGAATTGGCTGATAAGCTTTACAGTCTCAGCAAGGATGAAAACAGCAAATGGCAGGGCAGACGGAGTCAAGGTGCTGTTCTCCAGAAAGTGAAAGCCTGTGGAACTGGAGCTGGCTTCCTGCACCCCCAGATCCTCCATAAAGCAGGGAGTGTCCACTGTGCTCCACCTGGTGCTGCAGACAAGCCCTGCTTTGCCACATGCTGGGGCCCTGACTCTCCTGGGTCTGGACTGATGGGGGAAGGCTGTGGAGCAGGTGGGTGTGGAGGCCTGTCTGGGGCCATTCCACAGGCTCCGGAAAGGGGCTCGGGTTCCTAAACCTTCTGCCTTTTCCTCTCGGCCTCTCCTTGTCACTCTTCCCCCTGCAGGATGTCTCTGCCACGCTTTCTCCCAAGAGATAACAGGCCTGGGCTGGGCTGGTGGCCAGAACAAGGTGCCAAGGCTGGGAGTGAGGGCTTCCAAGGCTGCTGTAACAAAGTCATCCCAGCCCCTCCATTTCAGCTGGGACCAATGGGAGAGTTCCGGCAGCAGTTAAGAGAACATAAGACTGGGTCTCGTCATGTCCTGGGTCTATTGGATTTCACTCCTTCCTACTCCTCTGCCTCCAATAGGCCTGGGCACACAAGGCCCAAGAAGACACCTCGGAACCCTGGGGGTGCGAGCAAGAGATGCCTGCAGGGAGCAAGGGTGGGCCTCTTTGTGCTGGGGTCCCCTCCTGAGGGACCTATGGCTCTCCTTGGCCCAGTGGAGTGGCCCTCACTGGCGACTGCAAGTCTAACCCCAGGCCTCTAGGAGGTCCTGCAGACTCCCAGGGAGACAGCCAGCCCCAGAGGGAGATCTAGAGGCCCACAAGTAATTACAAGCCCAGGTTCCCACAAGCAAGGGAGCTGCCTGTGACCACAGTGGCAGGACCCTAACAGGGGCGGCTGGCTGGCAGTCAGAGGGAGAAAGTGCTGACTGCCTGGCAGGGGGAGGAGGGCTGGTGTGGGTGTTGGCTCCACTGCTGAGAATCCGGCTGGGGGCAGGGTCAGAGGGTTTCCCAGGGCTCCTTGGAAAGGGCCTGAGAAACCCCTCGGTGATCAAGGGTGGGTGCTTGGGGTGTGGGGCCTCCGCCAGCCTTCCCAGGAGCTCTCCTGTGAGCCGGCCCCGTGGTGGACCACACTAATGAGCCCATAACACAGGCCTTTGATTGAGTAGCTCCCAGCACAGCAACTTTATTGAAACATGCCGAGGCCAGCAGCTCGTTCCCACCGCGCCCCGGTTCCCTGGGCAACAGCCCATGGGAGGGGACCATGTGCTGGGGAGCCAGCGGGTGCTGGGCCTCAGGCTCGCTGAGGGGCTGCCAGGGAGGTGAGGGGGTTGTGGCACTGGGAGTGGGAACCCCGGCAGCTAGGGGGTCAGGGGCTTGGGGAATTGGGGTTGGGTCCGAAGGGCATTCAGGGGACTGAGGGGCAATGTGACATCTGCGAAGTCCTGTGGGGGCCAAGGTTCTTGAGCTGCTGAAAATTGGAGATGCTGACTACCCTCTCCTCAGGGCAGAAAGACGTTCCAGGACGGGAGGGCAGAGCTCCGAGGATAGGTTCAGAGCTGAGGATGTCAAACATAACTGGGTAGATTCTGCAGTTTGGGGAGGCCCCAGTCCCGACTGTCCCAGGAAAACGTGCTTGAACATTACACACACACACACACACACACACACACACACACACACACACACACACGCTACCTGAGGACACTTGGGAATGATGACCTGTGAACTCTCAGGGGCTTGTCCTTACCTCCAGCCTCCTCAGCAGCTCCGCCCAGGAGACAGGCCTGCTCCCTCCCTGTTCTCCACAGGGGCAGACGCAGCAGCCCGGGACATGGCTGGGGGTAGGGAATGGAGGGAGGCCCTTTCCACTTGTGCTGGGCTAATTTCAAATATTACACTTCAGAGCTTTTGTTACAGTAACTACCAACACCACATGGACAGAAATCTAATGTTACCAAGTGGGACTTTTAAAATGTATTTATAACTTTATGGTTCAAAGTAATTTTGTTATGAAACGATATAATAACAACAGTGGAAAAAGGCAAGATAATTTATGGAACACAATATCCCTAAAGCACTAGCTTCCATTTCTATCTCGGCTTAGTCTGGGGAGTGTGGTTGGTGTCCTTTGTTTGCTGTTTGTTTTAATTAAGGGTTGTATTTTGGTGGTGGCGGGAGAAGAGGGGCCTGGCCTGAAGGAGGAGAAATTCTGTAGACATGCAGGGACAAAAAGTGTGTCTGTATTGACTACATATGCTTCACAGACTCCCCAGACTGGGTGAAACTCACAAACCTAGCATCATTCTCTTCCCCTCTACTGTAATGCTGCATGCCTCTCCAATACATTCACAAACCAGGTATGGCCACCTTTAGGTTTAGGGTCAGGTTCCCTTTCTTGATACTTGCGAGCGAGGTGAGGTTAAGGGTTCAATCCTCTCCCCACCCGCAACAAACAAATGCCAAAAAAGGATGCTGTCCCTCCAAGACACTCGGGAGTGTGGTGGAGTAGGTTGAGCACCTGTTAGAGACCCGGGACGGGGTGGGGACTGGAAGGAGGCCTATGGCTCTGAGGCCCTGGTACCCTGCTTGGCAACAGCTCTGAAGCTCGCTCCAGCCAGAAGAGCAAAGGAAGGACAAAGTGCTCCGGATAAGCCAGCAGGTCTCTGGTCACACAAACTCAGGAGGAACGGGAGGGCTGTCAGATGGGGGTAGGCTAAGAAGGGGAGGCTCTTCCCACTGAGGCCTGCCCAGCCCTGGTCCAGGCACACATGCCACTGTCTGAATTCTGGTGGGATTTCCATGTAGCCATTGGAGAGTGGCCTCCACACATCCTCCCATCTTGCTTCATCCTTGAGTTCTTGTACCTTGGTTTACCCAAGGTGCAGAAAGTCTTATATCCCTCCAACCTGGATTTCCACGGGGAACCAGAATTACCAAGAGCCAGGGCCTGGAGAGTTAACACTTGTGTCTCAGGTGACAGGGGGAGAAGGTCAGGAAGTGCTCCTAAGCTGCTGGAGTGGGTAGCAGCATCCACACTCCATACCTACACACAGGCCCCAGGCCCTGAATCCATGAGGCATTCATGACCAGCCCCCCAGGAAGGGGTGCCATCAAGAGCTGCCAAGGGAGAAGAGGAGGGGTGGGCAAGGAAGTCTATGAAAGGAAGGAGGGAGAAGAAAAAGGGCCTTCTCACTTGTAACCAGGGTCCATGAGCCGCGTAAGGATGCTCCTCAGTGGCAAAGGCGCCTTCCACTCCCGTGGAGACAAACGTGATGGCCATGTCACCTGTGATACTTTTATATGTAAAGTGCCGTCCATGCAGGAGCCTGCCCCTGGAGATGGGAACATGGAGACAGTGAGGAGCTGGGCTTGGAAACAGTTCCAAGCACAGCAGGCCTGGCCAAGGCTCTGGGACAGTGGGGACTATGGTCCGCGGGCCAGGTAACATGCCCTCCTGGCTGCCCACCTGCCCATCAACAGGGGACTGTATCCAAACACGCTCATTTCAACACCTTCAAAGAGAAGCTCCTCTCACAAGTTCTCTAACATCATCCTTCCAAAGTGCTCAAAGCTAGCAGAAAACACTGAGTTCAAAAGCCCTGCAGAGATCCTGGAGCTCACCTCCCTTAGGAAAATTGAGGGCAGAGAGGGAAGGTAGCAATGTGCTGAAGGTCATGCCCAGAGGTAAGAGGGGGGTCACATCCCCCCTTAGGGGACGGAGGTGAAGTAGCGTCTAGACAAGTTTCCCTGGGACGATGGGATAGTGCCTCCGCAGTGGGACCCTTCAGTGTCCAGGGCAGAATCTTCCACCTGCTCCTGGGCTTTCCCATAACATTCAAGTGGCTGGCCCAAAGGCCACAGCACATCTTTAAAAAAAAAGCAAGCAAGCAAGCTGAAGCCAAGTGGGGTCACTCAGGGAGCCACAGAAGTTACTGTTAATCCCTAGTCTGGAAATACACCTGGGGGAGGGGCAGGCAGGGGCAGCTAATGGGCAGAGCCACTCATCAGCAAAGGAAGTGGAACCTGCCCTCTGCCTTCTCAGGCTGCCTCCAATTAACCCTTCACCAGTTGAAAGGCCCTGGGCCTGGGCCAGAGAAGTGGCTGGGGAGGATGTGGCTGTGGGATGGCAGTGGGCCCCTCCAGGTCCTGTTCATTCTGGCCATTTGCTCTCTGTCTGCTGCCCAGGGTGGCTGGCCAAGGCTAGTTACCCTTCAAACTCACTCCCAGGTGCTGGGGACAGTGGGGAGTCCCCAAGTGTGCAAGTTCTTCTTCCCTGTCACTGTTCTGTGAGTTTAGAATTACTCTTGGTGACTCTGCTGCTCAAAGTGTGGGTGGAGCCCCTGGGCTGTGGGGTAGCCAGCTGTAGCAGATGCAGCCGTGCAGCAGCCCTGAGCACAGAGCTGAGTTCTGGCCATAGGGCTGGGCTTTTGGCACTGTGGACAGAAGCAGAAGGGACACAGCTGGGCTTCCTGGTCCCTCAAGGAGTTTGCTGGGCTGGCCACTAGGTTTTAGAACTGAGTGTTTTGCATGGGAAAAGCAGCAAGCAGGAGAAAATAGAGCCCAACCCACCCAACCCCACCCTGACAAACCAGTGCTACTGGGGACCCTGCCATCCCTGCCCTGGGCTTGTCGGTGGCTGGGGGCACCTGAGACTCCCTGGGTCACAGAGCCTTCCTAAGGGGAGCAGGGCTGAGGAATACTTCTCCCTGTGGATTCTGACTCCAGAACTTGCGAACGAGGAAGGTCTGTCAAACAAGCAATAGGAGACCAGTGGGGCTCTCTGGTCACAGTGCTGGGCGCATTGGGGACTGTTGCTGCTCTGGGCTAGACAGGAGATGCAGATAAGAGAGCCCCGCTCTAGGAAGCATGGCAGACTTCTCACCACCTAGGCCAGCCAGAGGGTTGGGCAAGGAGAACACCGCATGGCCCAGTGACATGGGGGCGACTGGCTGGTTCACAGTCCCCAGGCTCCTAAACAGGCCCCATGTGGAGTAGCTCTCCTCCCTCCCTGAGACCCAGCCTGCTTAGGTGTGTAGGCTGCCAACAGGCACCTCACCCTCATCAGGGAGACAGGGAGACGGGAAGCACGGGCCTGGTGGCTCCTTGGAGGCCCTGGAGGACGCCTGCTGGGGGAGGGGGCTGGGGAGGCTCTGAAGTGCCCCCTGGAGGCTGAGCTGGGTGCTGTGGGGTAAACTGTGTGGCAGGGCTGTCTCGCTCACCTTAGGCAGAGAGGAATGAGGGCTCCGGACTCCTGGTTGAATTTCAGATGTACGCTCTCAAGCTGCCGCGTGCGAATCAGCTCATGGGGAATGATGGCCGTGGAGCTGTCACTTTCCAGGCTGTCTTTGCGGCTCCTGTGAAGCAAGCACAGGAAAAGGTTCGGCACAAGGTGAAAAGCTCAGGGAGGAGCAAGATGGGAGTCTCCAGCTGGGCTCCTGAGTAATAAAGACAATAATGGTGACTGATGATAATGATGGTGACAGCCATCATTCTGTATATGCCTGGCGAGCGCCAGCCACTGCACCAAGCACTTCTCACTGACTGGCTACTCCTCACAATGCCCCCAAGAGGTGGCTGCCACCATTGTCTCTTTTTACAGAGGAGGAACTGGGGACAGGGAGGCTAAGTAATTTGCACAGGTTGCACAGCCAGGGAGTGGGCAGAGTTGAGATCCAGTCTCGGGCAGGTCTGATTCTATAAAGCCTGCATCTTTGGCCAACATTCTATTTTTTTTTTTTTTTTAATTGAGATGGTGTCTCGTTCTATTACCCAGGCTGGAGCACAGTGGTGCGATTTCAGCTCACTGCAACCTCCGCCTCCTGGGTTCAAGCAATTCTCCCGCCTTAGCCTCCCGAGTAGCTGGGATCACAGGCATCCACCACTACACCCAGCTAATTTTTGTCTTTTTAGTAGAGACGGGGTTTCACCATGTTGGCCAGGCTGGTCTCGAACTCCTGACCTCAGGTGATCTGCCCGTCCTGGCCTCCCAAAGTGCTGGGATTATAGGCGTGAGCCACTGCACCCAGCCTTTGGTTTTTGTTTTTTTGTTTCGTTTTTTTTTTTTGAGATAGCATCTCGCCGTGTCACCCAGGCTGGAGTGCAGTGGCACGATCTTGGCTCACTGCAACCTCCGCCTCCCAGGTTCAAGCAATTCTCCTGCCTCAGCCTCCCAAGTAGCTGGGATTACAGGGACCTGCCATCATGTCCAGCTAATTTTTTTGTATTTTTAGTAGAGACAGGGTTTCACCATGTTGGCAAGGCTGGTTTCAAACTCCTGACCTCAGGTGATCTGCCTACCTCGGCCTCCCAAAGTGCTGGGATTATAGGCATGAGCCACCGTGCCTGGCCCCAACATTCTATATTAAAGTTTATGGCACAGTGGCTTGTCTTTCCCTGTGATCAGCAGGAGCTTCTGGGAGCCCTTCCTCTCCTGCCCTGGAGCCTCTGAGCCCTAGCTCTGAGCACCATGAGATGCGGCTCCAAGAGTTTCTGTCCAGCTGACCCTGAAGGCTCTGAGGATGCACATTCCGCCAACAGCCAGGAGCTGCAGGGACATTCACACCCTTCATCTAACCAGATGATGATACAATCTGTACTGCTGAGTACAAGCTGGGCTCTTACGAGTCAGACCAGTGGGCTTGGCTGGAAAGCAGAACCGGGCCCCCGCCCTGCTGGGCTTTAAGGCCCCAGGAGCCTGTACCAGATTCCTCCTGACTGTGGCCTTGGCACGGTGAGCTGTCACTGCTGCCCCACACTCCCTCCTGCCTGCTCCCCACCAAAAGTGCGGCCCACGGCTGGGACACAGGGTCCCTTTGCATTCTAAGATTTGCTCTTTCAAATTCAGCTGCCCCCACTGACAACCTCTCAAATCTGCCTCAGCCAGAAATAAGAGTTACCCACTGATCCCATTCAAAAGGCCGGATCCTGGTTTGGGCTGTGAATCTCAGAACAATTCCCCAAGTGTCCATCAAAAACTGGGTGAGAAGCTCTAGTTATTTATCATTCAAGTGGCAGGCAGGAGCCACCCAGGATGACAGCCAGACAGCCACTGAGGGGCAGGCCCAACCTCCTCACACGTTGCGGGGCTAGGTGCTGGGGCCTGCAGCCAGGGTGGCACCCCAACAGGCAGGGCACCTCCCCAGGGGAAGGTGTAGGGTCCGCAGGCCAAAGACAGAGGATGGCCCTGTGGCGGCAGTGGGTTAGACGTGCCCCTGAGGTCATGGGCCGTGCCTGCCTGCTGGCCTTCTCCTTGTGAGGACTCACTCCTGGATCTGACTGTTCCTTCACAAAGCGGTCCCTTCCTCTGCTTTCCTAAAGCCAGCTCTAAAACTGCCTTTTCCCCTGGCTTCGCCTTTGCGCAAGACCTGTGAAGGAGACAAATGCTATGGCCAAGAGGGTCACAGTATTCAGGACTGGAAGGAAACTCTGAGGTTGTTTAATCTCCCTCTTTCCTTTACAAAAGAGAGTGGGTGACGCGTCCCCCCTCACCGTGCGTCAGACTTCTGATCGAAGCCTCAGACTTCCGACCAACTCTCTTTCCCTTCCACCAGGGCCACTGCACCTCCCTTCCTTCTGAGGGAGGCAGCAGTCACAGGTGAGGGCTCAGTGGAGACATAGGGTGCCCTCAGGGCCCAAACAAGAGCAGAACTCAGGAAGCAGTGTTTCCTGAGCCATGTTTCCTGAGCCCTTACTCTGCGCCAACCCTCTGCTAAGGCCATAGGTTCACTCGCTGATTCCTCCCAGCAAGCACGAGGTAGGCTCTGTTGTCAAGCCTTCTTTCACAGAGGAGGTAACTGAGGCTTAGGGAGGTGAGGTGACGAGCCGAAGGGCTCAGAGTGAGTTTAAGCGAAAGGACCAGGGGGTGACTCTCACAATCACTCCCCTGTGCCATCTTTGACCACCGGTTCCTGCCTCCAGACACACTACTGTCCTCCTGAGAGGGGCTGAGGCCTAGCTTGTCCAGGCAGGGCGTGCTAGAGAATCCCAGCCTCTATGGTGCAGGCAAAAATGCTCATGAATAGCAATGGGAGGTGGGGTGGGGGCTTGCAGAAAAGAATCAACAGCACACAGGGCTAGAGACGTCTCAAGCTGGAGGGAAAAATAAATTGTTGAAAGTCAGCTAAAGTCACCTTGGTAACTGCCACAACACACTCACCCAGAACCAGGACATCAAACCCAACTGCAAACAGCCTTAAAGAAATGGAAAAGAACTTAATCATCTGAAGAATTAATGTGACAAGTGCCCACATTTACACCTCCCACCAACCTTCAATCATTTGAAACTGTACTTTAATCTTTTAAGAGAAAAAAAAATTGCAAAATGCAAGATTTGCAGTCCTGGAGCTTGGGTATTTCCGGCATGCTGCTTCGATGGAAACGCGGCTGCTATACACACACACACACATGCGCGTGCACACACACACACACACACACACACACACACACACACACAAGAACCCAGTTTTCTGCTGATTTGTTTCTTCTGGACATCGATGCAGAAGCATGAATTATTTGTGTGGGCTAGGTGAGGTATTAAATCTGCAGCCGACACAGGTTTGCAATGTTTTGCATGGTTGTCAGCTTAATCTTAGTCATAAAAAATAAGTAGTGTGCTCGGCAGCATGGCCTAATTTTTCAGCTGGGCTGTTTTCTCCCTGAGTTCCCAGTGGAGGGGAAGGCATGGCTTTGGGGGCTGGAAGGGAGAGGGGCTCTCAGGGAGGCACAGCTCATACCCGCTGGGGACTGCCAGGGGCATGGGGCCAAGGCTGTGCTCCAGGAGGCAGAGTGGCTAACAGCTTAAGTTCTGGGTTCCAGTTTTATGTGACATTGGGCTTAACTTCTCTCTGGGCTTTGGTATCCTCTTAACAAGAATAAATAACAATAGGTCATTATGACTAAATGGGATGACTCAGATAAGGCCAATAGTGCCTGGGATGTAGTAGGTGCTCACAATATATCTGACAAGTGCATTAATGTGTTGACGTTAGCTGGCTGCCTCTAAAAGTCTATCTGCTCCTCCTGTAAAAATGTCAATGGCTTAACCAAAACTTGTTTGCCTTTACAACTGCCTCTGGCCAGGCCAGTTCCCTGCTGAACAAAGGTTCTTGCCTGGAGCTTGGGAGAGGGTACTTCTGAGATGGGGCTTGAAAGAGCTCCTGACTCCTTGAGTGGACCCTGCAGGCTTTGGTCAACCACTGGTGCTCTGGAAAGGCCCAACTACAGTCCAACAGAAACACTGAGGCCTTTGCTCTACTGAGGGAGGTGACGCCAGGGCTCTCTTCCTTCTACAGAGCACAAGCTGCCTTCCTGCAATTCTCAAACCACTGTTCTTCAAGTTGCCCAGAGCGAGCTGAATCCATCTTCCCATAACAGACTTTCCAATCCCTGAGGCTGCTCTCACATCCCACCAAGTTTCTTTTTCTACTATCTGTGGCTCTAACTTTTAACTAGATTCTTGACAAGGTTCTGAAATCCTCCATCCATTCAAGTCACCTCCCCTGGGCTCATTCTAACCTGTCAAAGTTTGATGTCCCATCCAGAAGTGAAGTGTCGTGTGTGGCAATAAACATAGTATGTGACCTCACCAGTGCAGATCACAGAGGGACTATGATCTCTCTTGTCCAGGACATTTTATTTCTATTAAAACTGTCATCGAATTATCTACTCTTTGTAACCTCCTCATACTACCAACTCACACTGCACTCCCTCTGTCAACGAAATCTCCCTCGGGCTTTCTCCCATGGGATGCCCTGGGACCCGTTCTCCCCCATATGTCTGGCTGATTACATGGAGCTAGGAGCAGAAGAACTCTGCGCTATCTGGCTAGTGTTCCGGCAGTTCGGGTATTTCTGAAACCTGACTCTGGCATCCATCATATTGGCATTCCTTCCTGACTTCAGATCACTGACAAAACTGATAAATTCGTCATCGATGTTCTCATCCCAGGCTTTGATTAAAAAGTAAACAGGAAAGGGCTAGGCAGACAGGCTGACGGACTGACATCATTACTCTTTGGGTATGCTCATCCAACCAGTTATAAATCAACCCAACCTTCCCATCGCCACGGCCCTCACCCTTCTGGATGTTCTCTGGACATTTCTGTTTTGCCTATAATGCTGTCAGAATGTTCTCAAAACATCTTGCTAAACCCCGCCTATATAAGGTCTACAGCACTTCCTTTGTCTACTTGGGCAGGTAAGCATTTCTTTTCTCTTTTTCTTTTTTTTTTTGAGACAGAGTCTTGCTGCGACGCCCAGGCTGGAGTGCAATGGTGTGATCTCGGCTCACTGCAACCTCCGCCTCCCAGGTTCAAGCAATTCTCCTGCCTCAGCCTACCGAGCAGCTAGGATTATAGGTGCCCACCACCACACCTGGCTAATTTTTGTATTTTTAGTAGAGACGGGGTTTCACCATATTGGCCAGGCTGGTCTCGAACTCCTGACCTCAAGTGATCCTGACCTCAAGTGATCTGCCCGCCTCAGCCTCCCAAAGTGCTGGGATTACAGGTGTGAGTCACCGCGCCCAGCCAGGTAGGCATTTCTAAAAAGGCAACGACGATGTTGAGTCCACTTAGCGGTCTTTGGAAAAAATTAAAAATAAATAAATAAAAAGGCAATGAGGATGGTCTGGCAAGCCTGGCTGTTTCTGACTCTCAGGACTCGCTCTTTCCCTTGGAGTGTTCACAGCCTACTTGCTGAATAATCTAGTCCAGAATTTTCACTGAGAGTGACACCAAGCTCACTAGTCTAGAGAGTGCAAGATGCTTTTTGCATCCTGAAACTTCCGAGTACTTCCAGTCTGCCAACACCTCTCTCCCATTCCCTCAAAGATTGCTGACACCAGCTTCATGACTCTCGCCTGCCAATTCTGGTGTTCTGGAGGCACAATACATGTGAGCCAGGAGAGCTGAAATAATAGATTCAACCCTCTTGTCAATGCCTGTGGGACCCTTCCTGGTCTGATAACCATTTGCTTTAATATGGAACCATAACAGAACTTAAGCAAATTTTGCTTTCTCTCTGCCACTGATAAATGTTACTCTGTCCAAACAATTGGGTCTAGGTTTTCTTCTTCTTGCTCCAAAGAGAAGTACAAAAATAATGTCCTTTTTGCTGGTCATTGCACTTTTTTTGCAAGACTCAGTTCTTGAGTTTCAGCTTTTCTTGACCCTGTTCTTTAAAGTCTATGCTGACATAACATCTCTCTCCTTCCAGCATTTGTTCAAATTCTTCCAAATTGAGTTGTGTGAAGTATTCTCTACAGACCTATATTGGTCCCTGGAGGTAATAGACCTCCTTTTGGTTTTCAGGGGACTATTCACAATAATAAGAGACATCTTTATTGAGCACAGACTATGGTGCTGGGTCCCATGCTAATCCTTTGTGTACTTTGCTTCCTTTCATTTCCATCACAACTCTATAAAGAGGCATTATTTTCCCCATTTTACAGATAAAGACACTGAAACTCAGAAACTTAAATAACTAGCCCAAGATCGCACAATGAGTAAAGAGCTGAGATAAAACCCCAAAAGTAACTATAATATTTCTACATTTCTCCTTAAGAAACTCCCATCTCTTTTGAGTGGTCTTTTCTTCCGGGGTTTCAAGACTATGAAGACATATCTATCTTTTCCTTGAATTCTTAAAAGAACTGCCTTCCTGGAAGACAGGGCAGGACTTCCCAAAGGGTATTCGATGGAATTTTAATTTAAGAGAAGCCTCTAGAAAAACAGGTGTGGCAAAGGTGGATGGAATATGTCCCATCTCAGATTAGAGATTCACAAAATGTTGGCATTTTGGACTCTGAGGAGGACAGAGGGAAAATGTACCGGTTTCATTTTGTGTAAGCCAGCATTTTCCAACTGTAGCCAGAGAACCCTCTTCTGGCTGAACACCCAAGAAAATCCCCTAAAACGCTGTGGGGACCTCCTCTAGGGACTACTGGCCCAGGGTTTTCCCTCCTGAACTCTGCCTGCCCAAGCTGCTTTCTCACAGGACTCACACTCCCTGCTGGTCAGAATTGGGTCCACAGCCAAGTTCCCCCCATTATCTTCTGTGCCCCTGAGACAGACACTTTTCAGGGGGCTGTCAGATGATTCTCCATGGCTCACCCTCAACTCTCAGCCTGAGGCTGGGGAAGCTGAAGTTCCCCTGGGCTTGCCTTGGCACTAACTGTGTGCTTTTTACCTGGCACACATCATCCTTTCTTTTCACTGGGCAGGGTAAACTGTAACAGCTCATACAATATCTTTTTCTTTTTTCTTTTTTAGTGTTTAGTCAAACGGTTTCATGAGGGTCATTACAATAGTCACTGTTTTCCCATGCTCCCCTCCTCGGAGACAACTGTCACCTCTGTAGATGATTCTTTCGCATTTTCCTTAAATTTTTTTTTTGTTTTTTTAGACAGAGTCTCGCTCTGTTGCCCAGGCTGGAGTGCAATGGTGCTATCTTGGTTCACTACAACCCCCAACTCCTGGGTTCAAGCGATTCTCCCACCTCAGCCTCCCGAAGAGCTGGGATTATAGGCACCCACCATCACGCCTGGCTGATTTTTATATTTTTGTAGAGATGGGGTTTTATCATGTTGGCCAGGCTGGTCTTGAACTCCTGACCTCAGGTGATCCACCCACCTCAGCCTCCCATCCTTGATATTTTAAATAAACTTTCCCCGGTGTTTCCTTTTCTTTTCTTTCTTTTCTTTTTTTTTTTGTTTGAGATGGAATCTTGCTCTGTCGCCCAGGCTGGAGTGCAGTGGCAAGATCTCGGCTCACTGCAACCTCCACCTCCTGGGTTCAAGCGATTCTCCTGCCTCGGCCTCCCGAGTAGCTGGGACTACAGGCACGCAACCGTTTCCAGCTAATTTTTGTATTTTAGTAGAGACGGGGTTTCACCATGTTGGCCAGGCCAGTCTCCAACTCCTGACCTCAAGTGATCTGCACGCCTTGGCCTCTCAAAGTGCTGGGATTACAGGCGTGAGTCACCACACCTGGCCTGGTATTTCCTTTTCAGGCTTTACCTACTGACTCCCCACTAGGGAAGATGAGCTTTTAGCTCTCTTCCATGCACCTTCCCACCTTTTCAGGATAACTGCACCATCAGTTTGTGTGGACTGGTGTGTTTAAATTTTATGACTATATCAATGCTGTTTACAGTTGAGCCATGTATTATATTAATATACTTTTCCTTTCTGTCATAATTTTCTATTTTCCTTGGATTTAATACCTGTCTTAGTTTTCTATGTGCTTATCACCAATTAAATCAGAATTACTATTATTGGCTGGGCGTGGCGGCTCATGCCCGTAATCCCAGCACTTTGGGAGGCCGGGTGGGAAAATCGATTGAGCTCAGGAGTTCAAGGCCAGCCTGGGCAACGCAGTAAAACCCCACCTCTACCAAAAGTACAAAAAATTAGCCAGGCATGGTGGCATGTGCCTGTGGTACCAGATACTCAGGAGGCTGAGGAGGGAAGATCACTTGAGCTCAGGAGGCAGAGGTTGAGATCACACCACTGCACTCCAGCCAAGGCGACAGAGTCAGACGCCGTCTCAAAAAAAAAAAAAAAATTACTCTTACCAATGGTCCACACATCCTCCTCCCAGGACATTCAAATACATCAGGTATTTATCAATTTTATTTTCTTGGAGACATTTCTCCAGAGGATCCTTCCAACCCGCTCCCACCTGAGTTGGCTGCCTTTCATTCCTGCTATACCGTTGTCATCTGGGATCACTCTCCCATTCACCCCGGATTCTCCTTGTCTCTTTCTCATGTTGAATCCATTTCCTACCCCCATATGTCTTCCTCACTTAGATTTGGATGGAGTGTATCCTCTAGCTGATTTCACTTTATTTTTTTAGTATGCCTCTCTCAGCTAAATGGTCTCTCCTGAACTGCCACCTTCAGGGGTTTCCAGGCAAACTAAAATACCAGCTTTCCTCTGTGCACCGGCATGCAGGCATCAAAGACCCTGTTTCCAGTTATGTTTTCTGGTGAACTGGCATGTATCCCTCCACCTTTATCCTCTTTTACAGGCAATACTCAGTGAAGAGGCTCAGATCTAGAGTCACACCACTCAGGTTCAAATCCTGGCTGACACTTAATCCCTGCAGTCTGATGCTAGATAAGTTCTACAACCTGGCTAAGTCTCAGTGTTCTAAGTCACAAGACAGGAACAAGGGCATCCCACGACGCAAGGCCTGGCACAAGGTGATGCGCAATAAAAACTGCCCACTCAGCCGCGAGGACCAGCCCAGGATTCCTTCTATATTGAGAGCACCACACCAAGGGGTGGTTTATGGGATGGCTTAGAGGTGCAATTGATCTAAACTGATCTATTTCATCTTTAACCACCTGTCTATATAACACATTCTATACTTGTATTTCTCACTGCATAAGGTGACTTTTTATAGATCCTAATATACCCTCTCCTTCCAGTGTCAAGGTAGATTCCTGATTTCTAGCAGTGTACAGTTCATAGTACATGCCTTGATCACCCTACCTACACATAACAGACCAACAGAGTCTCAACCATGCTTCCCCTCCACCCTGGTCTCTCTGAACGGAAAAGTCTTAATTTTTCACATTCGCCTAAAGGGCATTGGTCCCATTCAGTCAGTGGCAGCATGGGTGGAAAGGAGAGGAGCTGAACCATTGAGACTCCTTTTAGCCACAATCCCAGTCCTGTGAGTCATGACGTCTGCAGTGGACACACGACTTGGGGCCTTCTCCTTGGGGATGCCCAGGAACAGGAACCAGGGCATCAAGCTTGGCAACTATTCACAAGTGAAGTGGATTTGGCCTGCTGAGCCCAGCCCAACCTCTGGCTTCTGCCCCTTGCCTGGGAGATTCTTCCTTTTGCTTTCTGATTGCTGACGAAAGCTCTGAACTTTCCAGAGAAAGAACCACCTGCAGGTCTCCCTTTAAGGCAGAACTGGAAAAGGGTGTGGCTGTGGGATCGAGGGAGAGGGGACCAGCTCACCTCTGAAGTTCTTATTAAGCACAAGGCTGTATAACCTGGTTATTCTGACAAATTTTCTTATAAGGACAATATAGGAGTAAAAGGCCACAAAAGGTGAATAGTAAACACCAATAACCAAATGACAAAATGCAGTATTTTCTTTTTTTGCTTTGAGACAGGGTCTCAGGCTGGAGTGCAGTGGTGTGATCACGGTTCACTGCAGCCTCAACCTCCCAGGCCCAGGCAATCCTCCCACCTCAGCCTCCTGAGTAGCTGGGACTACAGGCATGTGCCACCACACCTGGCTAATGTTTTGTAGAGATGGGGTTTTGCCATGTTGCCCAGGCTGGTCTCGAACTCCTGGACTCAAGAGCTCTTTCTGCCTCAGCCTCCCAGAGTGCTGGGATTACAGGTATGAGCCACCACACCCAGTTTAAAAATGCAATATTTGGCAGGGCACAGTGGCTCATGCCTGTAATCCCAGCACTTTGGGAGGCTGAGGCGGGCAGATCATAAGGTCAGGAGTTCGAGACCAGCCTGACCAACATGGTGAAAACCCATCTGTACTAAAAATACAAAAATTAGCTGGACGTGGTGGTGTGTGCTTATAATCCCAGCTACTCAGGAGAATCGCTTGAACACAGGAGGCAGGGGTTGCAGTAAGCCGAGATTGTGCCACTGCACTCCAGTCTAGGTGACAGAGTGAGACTTCACCTCGTGTTAAAAAAAAAAAAAAAAAAAAAAAAGGCAATATTTTCATCGGGAATATCCCAAAGGTAAAATGTGATCATGAAATCATGAAATGGTGGGACAGAGTATGGCTAAAGAAGTCAGGGTGAGTAAAATCTGCATCAAGGTTAGGGGATTTCCTAGTCAACTATTAACTCCTCTGGGCACCAGGGGCCGCCATCCCCAGCCCTACCCTCTGACTTGGGTGGGAGATTAGGACCCCTACTCTCCTGAATGAGCTTACTCTAGCCAGAACCCCAGCTTTCCTTTTTCTGAGACACTGAGTCATTTCCTTTCTCTAGCTCTTACCTTTGAGCCTTCCTTTTCCCTTCCCTGGAGAAGTGACTCACTGCTGAAGTGTTGGGTGACACCGAGGATCAAGGATGGGCGATAAAAATACCCCTGATTGTGCAACTCGAGGGAGGGGGATGCAGCGTTTGGACTGAGAATTCAAGCACCAGCAAGGAATTCTGAAGTTGAGGTGTTAACAATGGCCGTGACTTCATCTCTTTGGGGAAGCGGAGCAAAGAACGGAGTTAAAACAGAAATTTACCCATGCCAGACTTGCTGTGGAGCCCCTTGCTCTGCCCTTTCAAATATGTATTTCTGAGAAAGGCCTGTAAAGGCACTTGGCATGACAACATGGATCACAGTGAGGGAGGCAAAAAGGAGCCTGCTGTCCAGGACGCAGGGAGCAGAGAGGCCTGGGCTGTTCCTCTCATCAGCCCTGCAGAGTCTGGCTGGGGCCCTAAGAGAAGGGCTGTTTCTTTCTGGGCTTTCTTTCCAGTGCAAGCAACTGTACTTCCCCAGCGTGGGAGTGTGAGGGAAGCCAACGTGACAGAGAGGGCTCCAGGCTGGCCACTGCGCTGACAGGAGAGACCCCTTGAAGCAGGGTTACCCAACACTGCCCTTCGTGCGAGCGGCACCAGCCACAGCCCAGCTGTTTCCCCAGATGGAAACTCACCTTCCTTCACCCCAATTCACTGGTAAGTTGGATGCAAACAAGATATTTTCTTCCTCTAATTAATCTTCATGGACCTCACAAGCTGAGCAAAACAAAACACAATTTTCTCTAAAGGATGACTCCCTGGCCAGGTTACAAGGTATTCAAGATGGGAATTAGAGGGAGCAAAGTCACCCCAATCAAAGGCCAAACAGACAAGTGCAGAGACACTCCTAAGAGTAGAGAGAAATCTATGTATATGTGTGTGTGTGTATGTTGGGGAGGTGTTGCAAATGTGAATGTTACAGCAGAGGAATTCATGGTACAGAATCTTAATTCTCCATGAAATTAAGGCAAAAAAAATTTTTTAAAGGTCTTAAAAGCTGCTGGTGTGATTCTAGAAGACTGAGAAACTCAGCAGTGATGGTGAGTTCGCTTTTTAGAGGTGCCTCAACTACAAAGTGCTTCTCCCATAGTCAGGAACTTTTCCCCTCTAACATAAGTGTGCACACCTGCATGTGCCCTGTCCCTCTCTGGGAGGGCACACAACTCAGAGAGCTTCCTAAGAGTTCCCAGCCTCAGGTGGTAAGTCACTGGCTGAGGGAGGAGGTGGCCCTAGAATACTGGTGCAGGTTCCCAGCATCTGAGCAACAGTTTAGAGAAATACAGGCCAGGTGTGGTGGCTCATGCCTGTAGTCCCAGCATTTTGGGAGGCCAAGGTAGGAGGATCACTTGAGGCCAGGAGCTCGAGGCTGCAGTGAGCTATGATCTTGCCACCACATTCCAGCCTGGGTGACAGAAGGAGACCCTGTGTCTAAAAAAAAGAAATAAATAAAAGAAAACCTCTACACACAATTCACCTGACCACACGTATCTTCTGTGCACTGTAGAGAGACCAGACTCCGTAGACCATGTCTGACCAGGTGACCTCAGACAGAGAGGATGCCCAGGAACTTTTCCCTCCTCAAATCTCTACAGATATTGGCAGGCACAGTCTTTAAGCCAGGCTGTCCTCATGTGGCACAAAGGAACTGCTTCCCATCCTTCCCAAACTCACCCGAGCAGGCAGTGGGAAGGGAGGCGCCAGCAAGCTGAAGGAGGCTTTTCTCAACTGATCATCTTGGGAAAAGCCAGATACAGATTTCATGGCTGGAATGCAAGGGTTGTGAAATGCTGAAGAAGCCCCAAAGAGGGCCAAGGACTCTCCTTCCGGGAAGGCAGTGGGAGGAGGGCTGGCAATGAAGAGTAGGAGAGGAGCGGGTTACCCAGGGGGCCTGCCTTTCTGGAAAGGAAGAAATAGACCCTCAAAATGGAAAGAAATCCCCTAGCCCTGAGGTGGTAGAGGGACCAGAGAGAGGGTTGTTTTAGTTTCTGCACATGAAGAAAGTAAGGCCTTGTGTCACAAAATAATTTTGGTATAAATGAGCCAATTATGACATAGCTTGTTATTTCTGGGATTTGGAATCATCAAGGCTCATGGCATCTCATAGGAGTTATTTAACTCCCCTAGAGTTTAGTTAAATAAGCCCAATAAGCTTCTAATATGAGGCTTTGGCCTTGTCCTTGGTGCCATGTGAGAGGTCCTGATTCATGCTGCAACTAGTTAGATGAATTCTACCAGTAAAGGTCATTATTTTCTCAGAGACACAGTCTGATGTGTCCCCCATGGGGTCCCTGAGAATGGGGTAAGGAAGATTACATCCATTTTAATGGCTGATAGATGGCTGTAACTAAGCTCTACCCCTTTCCAACCTTGGAAAAGATACTTATTAGCCTCTCTGTACCTCATCCATTAAAGGGGAATATGTAAGATTATCGACCACAGGATGGCTATGAGGATAAGATAAATGAATGGCAGCACATAGTAGCTGGCACATTACCTAGCACAGAATGAGCACTAATAAGGTTTTAGCTGCTGCTGAAGTGTGAAAAGAGCAAGTGCTTGACACCCCCAAGTAGGCCGGCACCCGGCTGCTATTGCCCAGGCTTGATCAGCTGCTCTGAGCCTCTGATTTAGCTCTGTATCTTCCTTAGACCACAGACAAACCCGCGAAGACCCATGCATAAGAGCTCCCTGGCCCAGAAGTCCTGACTAAGGGGAAATCAGACCCGCAGACAAAATATGGCCCACGCTGGCTGCCCCCCAACAGGGAGAGGAGCAAACACTGGTGCCAGCACATTTTGGGTCAGCTTTCTCAGTTGCAATCCATGTGGTGTATGTGAAATGGGGTCAGGTCCCAGAGTGGGCAGCACAGATATTACCGTCACGCTCACTGATCTGAACTGAGTCCATCATCATCGATCCTGAGATAACAGGAAACTTGAGTCTGACAGGCTTGAGGGGTGTGTTGGAGAATGTTCTTGGCAAAGGAGGAGGAGAAACCATTTCTCAACCAATTGCTAACAAATTGGTAACCAATACTGACAGCCTCAGAGGAAACATTCTATTCCCCTCAGACTACAGGTCCTGGTGCTTTAGAGACCTTACTGGGCACTAAACCTTCAGGAAGGGGAGACAACCCCGGCACCTCGAATCTATTCTCACCCATCTCTCTGTATCTCAGCCAACTCAAGCCAAAGGGTAGAAGCTGCAGCCTCTCTGCCTTATGTTTACAGAGAACCCTTGGGCCAGAACCAATACCCGACTGCCCAGTTAGGGTGTAGGCTGAGAGTCTCGGCTTATGTGTATATCTAGGAGCACAGAGCCTTGTGCCCCATTGCAATGTCCAGGGGTGCAGTAGCTGGAAGTGCCCCCAAGCCAGGGAGTGAGATCTCAGGCCTGTTCCAGATACACAAGCGGGGCAAGAAGGTTGTATCTCTGCAGGAGCTTGTGCCCTTCTGCCTAGAAACCCCAGGCTTCCAGAGGCAGAGAGCCATCTGGACTGAGACTGTGTCCATGTTATAGGCCTTCCAGTACCTCTGGCCTGCCAACAGTGCCAAGGAGGCCCAAAGCGAGAAGCCAAGCTCAGGGAATGGGAAGGAGTGTAGACCCGGGACAGGGTCCAGACTCACAGGTAGAGAGCTTCCATATGTCGTATGACCTGGTGTGGCCATCTGCTGCTGCCAGGGGATGATCAGGATGCCTCCAGCCAGCTACTTCAGGGCAGCTGGCTGGAGAAACCTACAGGCCGGAGTTAAAAGCTGCTCTGAGGTGGCGGTGGAGGCTTCTCCAGGCTTTTGCCAAAGAGCTCAACTCTCAGTACAGCCCTGTTCCCAGAGTAACTCTAGTTCCAGTCAGGTCCCAGCAGGCAGCCTCAACTTTAACCAGCCAGGCCTCCCCTGTGCTATCCTCTTGAGTTCCTTCCCCTGCTTATTAAAATTCTAAGGTGCCCTCAAGGTCGATGCTATGTTCTTCCTCCTCCAAGATGCCCTCCCTAACTACCCCAGATCCTGTGGACCTGTCTTTTCTGTAGTGCACTGAAGCATTACTACTTCTGGGAAACACGATCAGCAACTAGAGCTAGAATCCAGAGAAGCAGCCATTTCCAACAAATCACATCGACAGCCAGATGCACACCATTAAAAGGTAACTGTTTCACTCATGTTCTCCCAAAGGAAGAGCCTGTGCACCCCAGATGGCCCCCTAGGTCCGAGCTTGTCAGACAGCAAATGTGTAATAAAGACTTCATAGAAGAAGGCTAGATCACCCTGGTCTTGCAGGATGATCAACCTCCCTTTCAGCCCAAGGCACAGCAATTTCCTCCCTGGCAGGCAAGGTTCCTGCTTTGGGCTGCCAGCCCCCAGGTATCTCCTGCCAGCAGCTATTCCCTAGAGCTGCCCTGGGACTAAGGGCAGAGGGGGGTGCCCAGCTTCAGCCCTGCCTATCACTCATCCCCTCTATCAGAGGAAGAGAGGTTGGCAGGAAGCGGATCTGACCTCTAGGGTGGCCACAGTCTCTCCGGAGGGCTACAGGGGCCCCTGGACAGGCAGCAGAGGCCTGCAAAAGACTTCCTTTCCCTTCCCTGGGCCCCAGGGAAGAGAGGCAGGAAGAAGGGCCTCAGCCACAGGCATCCAGTATGGGGCTGGCCAGAGAGGGAGGCCCCCAGGGTTGCAGCTATCAGCCGGAGACCAGGCTCCAGGAAGGAAGGAAGGGCAACTCTGGCCAAGACTGAGATAAGGAGGGAACCGTGCTCAGCACAATGGGCTCCCACAAGGCTGGGAGGCCCCAAGTCAGATTTCTCCCCAACCTGGCCTCCTGTCTGTTCACACGGCTCATGTAAATATTTACTGATGTTAATATTCACGGTCTGCTGGGTCCCCTCTGAGGCCCTCTCCTATGACCCACAGATAGATCTGTGTGCCCCAGACCATGCCTGCCCTTAAGCCTAGAGATCCTGGGCCCATCCAGCAAGGGCTATGTGCATTGTTCTCTCTCATGCAATCCACAGGGACAGGCCCTTCAGAAAAAAGTCGTCCTCTTGTTCCAGCCCAGGGACACTGGGGAACTTACGGGGCCCGGTCGTGGGCGAGGCCATTCTGCCGCTGAGGGTTGATTGGTGGAAGGACAGGTTTGCTGTTGATCTCGAGTCCTCTCCTCAGGGTCTCCCGGATCTGCTCTGTGTCTGCAACGACACCACTAAGTTGCCCAGTGGCCCAGTGGGCTCCCAGCAATTCTCACCCCGCTCTTGAAACCTGGCTCAGCAGAGGTGCTAAGAAAAACTACCACGCTGGCCAGTCCTGAGCCCACTCTACGCATCCAGATGTAAGCGCTGAGTGAGTACAGATTGCGAGGGGACAACCGCGCTCTTAAGAAGCTCTGGGTTGGAAGAGTACCATTCTTGTAGAAGCCAGGGGCAGCCTCTAGAGTTCAGAAGAGCGCTCTCCACCATCCTTTTCTTTCCTGTGTCACAGGCCCGAGGTTTACCCTTAACATGGCTCCACACAGTGACTGACTACTGGGGATTCTGCCCACTGAAATGGATGTGAGTTAAGGCTGCAAGCACCCTGCCATGAATGGGCAGGTGCCTCTAACACACCTTTCTGGGTTCTGGGTAGTCAACTAGCATCTGGTCCCGCCACTCCTTCCCCTTGCATTCAAGTCAGTGAGATGCTAAGATCATCTCTCCACCTTGGTCTATCCCAGGAAACTCTGCCTCTCCATGGAGAGGCAAGGGCCAGGAAGTGAAAGAGTTCCCTTGGTGGGATTATTTCTTTGTAAGGTGCTTTGCTGGTCTTTGGGATGAAGCTTACTAGTCTGGTCCCCTGTATTGAGATTTGGATCTAAATTTACCTCTGCAAACTGTAAACAGATACAAAAAAGCAAATTAAAATTAGTTGCTCAAAGAGTGGCCTTAGAGTGGGAAGGAGATGATTACTAACTTTTCTAACTATTTGACTTGTTACAGTGGAATGGATTACTTTTACAATTTTTAAAAATAGCCAGTAATGACTGAAATTTTAGACAAGACTATGACTCCCTCTTTAAATCACCTCTTTTGTCAAAAGCAACCAAATGATTCCAATAACTGTATACCCTCTCTTTGAGCCTCCAATAGGCTTGGCATGCCATTAGAACAAACAGGAAGGAAAGAAAGGGCTTGGCCGGGTGCGGTGGCTCACATCTGTAATCCCAGCACTTCGGGAGGCTGAGGCGGGTGGATTGTTTTGAGCTCAGGAGTTTAAGACCAGCGTGGGCAACACAGCGAAGCCCTGACTCTACAAAAAAATACAAAAATTAGCTGGGCGTTGGTGGCTCACGCCTGTAGTCCCAGCTACTTGGGATGCTGAGGCTGGAGAATCACTTCAGCCTGGGAAGCAGAGGTTGCAGTGAGCCAAGATCAACCCACTGTACTCCAGCCTGGGCAACAGAGACCCCTGTTTCAAAGAAAAAAAAAAAGAAAGGGCTCAAATATTTGCACTAGGAGTTTAAGTTTGTCCTTTACAGAACGAACAAAAACCTTTTATAAGTGTTATCATATATGTAAGGATTTTATTCAGGGCTGTAGACATCTTATTCTTCAAAAAAAGAAAAGATGGAAGAATGAAGAAAGGAAGTAGACAAAGAAGCTGTCAACACATGTATATGTAAGTGGCTGCTTCTCCTTTGCAGTTAGCTGGGGACGCCCTCTACTAAAAACCACAACTGTTTCTGTAGCCAAGATCAGCACAGGGAGATTCCAACAGGACAGCCACATCCTCCTTCCCAAAGACCCCATCCGGAACACGGTGGGTCCAGAGGCCCTGCCCACAGCCCCTAACCCTGTATCTATATGACAGGAGGTGGGCAATTTGCAAGCCAGCCTCACACTCAGGCCTCATTTGTTGAAGGCCTGGGAGGGCCCGAGGCCAGAGTGATCCTTGGATCTGGCATGGCCTTCAGGCCAGAGCTGGGCCCTGTGTCAATTCCGTGGGTGGCCGACACTTTTCTCTTGCACTTGGGTGGACTATGGACTTTTCCTGTAACTGTTCTGAGGCTTCCACTCACCTCCATGACCTCAGATTGCAAAGGGCATATCTAAAACACAACGGTGCCTGCTGGTGATGCATTTGAAATACACACAGGAAACACAACTAGGAATGGGCCAATAAAGCTCCCTTAATTCCGCCCTGCTGGAAGACTTCACTTGCTGTTTAAATCATGCCAGGAAATAAACTATTGAATGGGTTGTTTTTGTTAGAGACCCATCCTAGAGAGACTGGAAACCAGGCCCTGGGGAAAAGGAAGGAGGAAGGCTGGTGGAATGCTGAGTGATGGCTCCCACCTTTGCCAGAGAGTCGCCGGGGCTGTGTGCCGATGCAGATGCTCCGGCTGTCCTCGTCATCCTCGGGGGGCCGGCTCAGGTCATCCCAGGCACACTTGGCACTGACACCACTCAGGTTGGAGCCATCTGTCTCGATGCCTTTGTCAACTCTCTCCTGCTTGAAAAGAACCAAAGAGCCAGAGTTCTTTCAGAGAACTGGTGACCCAAGGTGACCACCCTTTCAGCCACTGCTCTTACAGTATTTACTGAGCCCTTGTGGTGCTGAGCATGGGACAAATGCTGGAGAGCAGGATCTCTGACCTTGTTCTGCCCTGGTTACCAATGCATGATGGTCTCTGCCAGCTCCTGGACTCCTCCAGGGGAACCAGGGATTAGGGGAAGCCAGGAGGAATGCAAATCCCAAGGGAAACATCTCTTCTACCATCAGCCTTCCAGCACAATGGCCTCTACCTGTTTCAGAGCCCCAAACCTGTCCCCGCCACGCTGGCTGGTGGGGCTGATGTGGCCATGAGAGAGCCTACTTCTCTGAGGAGAGGTGTGATCCTTCCTCTCCTCCCGATCTTCAGGCAGAACCTCCCAGTCACTGCTATAGAAAACAGGGTGGAAGCCTGCCACAGGCAACAGGCCACACCTGCAGTTTCCCCTTCTAACAGCTAGAGGGTGTGGTCACACAGGGAAGAGCCACTGGAGAACAAAGGCTGGACTTCCCTAGATGCATTGGTTCCCTTGTTTAGCAAAGGACTCTGGATGGAGATTCCTTCCCATTTCTTAGACTGAAATGGGGGCCTAGAGTGCAGTGACTATCTGCAGACACCCTTCTCTCCCCATCGAGACCCTGCCTTTGTGCAGGCCTTGGTACTGCTGAGTACAAACACTCTCCAAATGGCTTCAAGGAAGAGTTGTACTCAAAACATCCCTGGATTTTCTGGTAAAACACAGTTCATTGATGCTGGACCTTGAATTAAAAGTCATCTGGAAGGCTCTATGTCCATGTGGGCCAAATCAAGCTTGTGACTGAGCATCTCAACAATAATCTGTGCTTCCCGGCTCCACAGGTACCACACTGGCCTGCTGATCAGCCCAGAAGCCCCATGTGGGAGAAGTACAGGTACTGTCCTTATTTCCTGGGACCAGTCAGCAAGTGGCTCTGCCCCAGACGCCTCCTTCCCATCAGTCATCTCCTCCTTTCAAGTGCTAATGCTGGCCTGGGCAAAGCTGTGGGTTCCGAGCAGGAAGAGGCTAAGCAGGGAAGCGCTCTGTGTACTCTGGGCAGGGAGCATGTATACCCTGGTGTGCTCAGGGGATAGTCTGAGCTTTTTCCTCTGCACTGGCTGCCCTGGGGTCCCTCACTTAGGTAAAGAGTTGCAGACAGACAATTCTTGGCTCAACTTGTCTGGGCTATTTACTTTATAAGTAAAAAGAAAAAGTTAAGACCCAGAAGGCGAGGGACTTATTTGGGCACACAGCTGGTTAGTGTAGAGCTTGAATCACAGGAATATATGCCAGCTCTAAAGAGACTGATAGCAAGCAGGCCCCAGAAAGGCACAGTGAATACAGAGGAGTTCACACTTGGTGCACAGAGCCACCAGGAAAGAAAGCTGTCCTTTGTTCCTGTGGGACCCTGGCTTGCTTTCAAAGACCACTAGGTGCTCCGGGTCCTGTGGGCTGCTCTCAGGGGATCCTGCAGACTAGGAAGAACAGCCCTTGGCATGGAAGGACAGCTGTTTACCCTACTAGTGCAAAGGACCAGGTTCTTTCTTAGTACTTGGCACTTATGACAGGGGCCAAACAACGGCCCACAGTGCCCCATGCTGGATCCCAGTGTGGCTACAGAACAAGGGCTTAGGGAAAGATAGCCTTCCTGGTTCCTGGTTCTTGCATATGCAGAAGATACAAGGAAACCAAGTTTAAAGCAGAGAGAACAGAGGATCCTGGCAGCAGTTTGAAATGTTCAGTGTTAAAGGCACTAGGAAAACAGAGGAGCATCATCTGTGAATGAAGAGGATTTATGCCCAAGAACTCACAAGTCTACAGTGAAGAACTCAGGGGCTGCTGGCTACATGTCCATCTGCCACCTTTCTCTTGCTCTAACACATGGAACTCCCGGCAACTGCCTGTGGCCTACCAGATATTTTACAGAAGCATGGCAGGTTTAGAGATGGCAATGACCTGCATTTGGTCAGGGGAGTAGAAGGAGCCAGACACCAGGCAGGTAACATTATTAGCTGTCTGTGGCTCCTGCTTCAAGAGAAGCCCATAAGAAAGGCAGTTATGGGCCAGGCGCACTAGCTCAAACCTGTAATCCCAGCACTTTGGGAGGCCGAGGCGGGCGGATCATCTGAGGTCAAGAGTTCGAGACCAGCCTGGCCAACATGGTGAAACCCTGTCTCTACTAAAAATACAAAAAATTATCTGGGCGTGGTGGTGGGCGCCTGTAATCTCAGCTACTCGGGAGGCTGAGGCAGGAGAACTGCTTGACCCTGGGAGGCGGAGGCTGCAGTAAGCCGAGATTGTGCCACTGCACTCCAGGCTGGGTGAGAAGAGCGAAACTCCGTCTCAAAAAAAGAAAAGGCAGTTACGTTCTTGTGGCTTTCAAACTTTACCTGCATGACAAAGGAATGCTTCTAAAACAGCAAAGATGACACTGAAACAATGTCCAGGTGGGCCACAGGGAGTGGGCAGCTGCCAGCCTGTGTGTCTAAGGTGCCAATCTTTCCAGGCTAGGAGCTCTGCATCTGACTGTCCAAGATAGAAAATGTGGCGAAAATGGGGATAGGACCATTAGACCAATCAGCCCTCACTCCTGCAGCTGAGCCATGGAGTCAGTATCACCTACACTACTGTCTGGTACAGGGCGGTGGTGGCCGTGGTGGCTCCCTAAAAGAAAGTCTGGGAGGCAGGAGAATGAATACTGGGCAAGCAAGCAATATCCACTACACTTATCTTTTATTGCTGGCAATCTAATTTTTTAAGCCAATATATAATTTACATACAATAAAAATATCCTTTTAAAATGCCAAAATACATATGTCTGAGGACTAGCTTTCCTGGGCTGAAACCTCTGCTCCCTACGTGCTCTGCAGAATTCAGGGGACAAGTTCCAAGTGATGCCATATTTCTACTCACTCACACATAAAGGTCCTCTGTTTTCCCAGGATGAAAGCCAGTGTTATTTGGAAGAGGCCTAGGCACAGGGTGCTAGAAAGGTTTTCCTCACTCAAGACATACTTGCAGGTGTGGATCGATCTCAAATATGGTCTCTCCCCTCCGCATGTCAGTTATCAGCCAGGGGCCGCCAGCACTGTGGACAAGGAAAGGGGATACAATGGTAACTGAGGGTCTGGGGCTGATGGGCTGGGCCTACAGCCTGCCCTGTTTGCTGCCCCAGGCCTAGGACACAGGGGAATAGTTCGTGGTCAGGGACTGTCAGGGAGTGAGTCGTCAGGAAGCCCTGATGTGAAAAACCAGGGTCTGAAATAACAACGCAAGAGGGAGCCCCACATGGAGGGTAGTGGAGGGACTCCCACCCCCAGGCCCAGGGAGCCGCGCTCCCACCTTGCATGGGTACTCACATAGGCACTGTCCGCAGCAGCTCCAGGATGCCCTGCCCGTTCCACTGCTGGGCTGAGTGTAGCTCTTCAGTGCAGACACCAACGATCTGAGGCCCAGGATAGAAAGCCCATTGTGTGTTAATGGCCACCCCCCACCCCAAGAAGGTCAGCTACCCAGGCTCTCTGAGTCACCTCCAGTTGGGAGACCACAGGCAGGATCTGTGCTCAGGAGCTGGTGCAGCCAAGATTGGATGATTCCCTTAGGAGGGAGTGGCTGCCTGGCTGGGAAATGGCTGGGTCCACATGTGGGCCCTGAGGCCTGACCCTTGCCCTTGCTGTGTCTGGATGACACCAAGTCTAGCTCTTAGCTACAAAGGAGAAAACCAAGGCCTGAGCAACTCAAGATGTGTCCTCAGGCCATGTCTCTGGAAGTAGGGGAGGTTCAGGGAGCCATTCCTACCCAGTCTGGTATCATGGGGAATGTAAACAAGAGACTTTGAGACCTATCAGGCTTGGAACCACCACCAATAGGTCATAGCAGCCTGCAGAGAAACTCCTCCCTTCCTTATTAGGGGATAGGCCTTTGTGTAAATATCAAGGGAATCAGTGGAACCTTCACATAGACTTCGTGACCAAAAACAAGCACTGGTCAAAGCTGGGCAGGTTCCCACAGCTTCTGGCAAAGAGCAAGGACGACCCAGAGCTGGCTTCCCGCTGGAAAGTCCTGTTCCTGAGACTGGGTCTTCACTGTTCAAAGAATACCCGCCACCCCATTACTCCCTCTCAGCTACAGCCATTCTCTCCCAACCAAATGCCCCCTTCCCTTTCTCCCCTCTCCCATCTCAGCAGGTTAAATCAGACCATCTGAATCTACCTGACAAACCATCAGAGGAAACAGAAATCAGGACGAGGCCAAAGGAAACCTCCCACTCCCTTCACTCCCCCTCCTCAAGCCTCCTTGTCCTCCCAGGACCCTTCCCACAGGAAGGCTTGAGCCAGCGTCCAACCTGTGCCTCACCTGGAGGAAGGTAACTACCCCAAAGGGTGTCTGCACGGGCTGCATCTGTGGGTCCTCTGTCAGCAGCATGTGCTGAATTCTTGACTCACTGTTATCCAAAGGGCTGTGCCAGGACACATGGTCCCCACTGCAGAAGGTGTTCTCTGTGGGAGAGATACAAGGATCCTCATTGTTCAAGGCCCCAGATCCAGGCCTGGAATCTGGGCTGGGATCTCACTAGCCCAGGCTGGGAGGCTTCCCAGCCTCTTAGGGTAGCCCCTGTGAAGGAAGAGAAGCATTCACTCCGGATGGAAGCAAAGAGTTTGTGGATATTTCCAAAAACCTAAATTGTTCCTGCTTGCCAGTTCTGTCAGACTTGAAAAGGACAGGCTATTAGTGTGAAAGCTCCTTCGGCCTGGGAAACCAGAAAGACTTCTGGCATCTGCTTCGCTTCCCCAATATCCCGACTCATGGTGGGAGGCAGGAGCCATGACTGGATCTGCCAAGAAAGAATAAGGTGCTTTTCTGTAGGGCCACCTGGCCAGAAGTCCACAGAGAGGCAACAGGGCAATGAAAGCCCTTCACCTTGGAGAAACAGACCGAAATTCCTATGTTGCTGAAATGGCACTCAGAAGGAAACATCGAACCTTGGAGAGCCTTTGAAATCTATCACCATTTTCCCACAGGCAGATGTAGGAATTCCTGAGGAACACTAGGCTTCAAGTAAATGGAGGTCTAAATAGTGCCTCCCACACCGTGGCAGAGACAACTCATGAGGATCCTCAGGCCATGTCTCTGAGATGTTCAGATTCTGCCAAGGGTAGCTGTTGCCATGAGGGCATAGCCTCCTCACACACAGGCTCACCACTGCACTTCAAGCAGGTACGTTACTTTAGAGAGAGTTTTGTTTAAGGCCACATAACCACAAGGGAAAACAACCCCACAGGGTACTAAGTCTCTCACCAGCTCTGACTCTCATCGTGGGTGCCAAGGTGCTCTATATGTCCAGCCTATGCATCCACAGGCTCCCTTCCATGTTTTGTCCTTACACAAATGGAAGCACACTATTCTGCAGATTTCACTTAATTATATATCTTAGACAGCACCTTTTTTTTTTTAATATGGAACACTTCACGAATTTGCATGTCATCCTTGCGCAGGGGCCATACTAATCTTCTCTGTATCGTTCCAATTTTAGTATATGTGCTGCTGAAGTGAGCACGAGATCACCTTTTTTTTTTTTTTTTGAGATGGAGTCTCGCTCTGTTGCCAGGCTGCAGTGCAGTGGCGCGATCTCTGCTCACTGCAACCTCCGCCTCCTGGGTTCAAGCGATTCTCCTGCCTCAGCCTCCTGAGTAGCTGGGATTACTGGCATGTGCCACCACACCTGGCTAATTTTTTGTATTTTTAGTAGAGGTGGGATTTCACGGTGTTAGCCAGGATGGCCTCGATCTCCTGACCTCGTGATCCGCCCTCCTCGGCCTCCCAAAGTGCGGGGATTACAAGTATGAGCCACAGCACCCAGCAGAGATCACTGCTTCTCAGCATATGGAGAGCTATCTCATTCTTTAAATGGCTGTTCCAGAGTTCACTATGGTCTGTCATTCACGATCTCGGAATCTCAACAGTTGAGGTATCTTTCTTCACTTTTTATCAATATTTAAGGTAAGGCAGAACACACACATACACACACAGACACACCTTTTCCATCCAAGATACGGCTTCAGTTATTGGTCCTAACCTCAATAGTGTTCATTCAGGCAGGAGAAGGAAGACTGCTTCATCTGAGATGTGATAATACAGGGGAGAGGAGAAGGCACAGCTTCAGGTAGAGCCAACTAGAAACCCCTAAATTTCCAAATTCCTGCTAGGCCCACTCTTCCCAGAATCTCTCTCCTTTTACGTAAGTGTGTTTCTACAAGCAACCTGCATGTTCTGCAAGCAAGAAACAATGCAACAGGTAAAAGGAATGAATAAGTAATTAACCCCCACCAACAACATACACAATACAAACAGTCCAGGTCCACCAGATGACTCCACTGGTAAATTCTGCCAAAGATTTAGAGAAGAATTAATATCAACTTTTCGCAAACTCTTCCAAAAAATAAAAGAAATAATTTCTAATTCATTCTATGAAACCAGTATTACCATGATATGAAAAGCAAAGGTAAGACAAGAAAAAAAACAACTATAGACCAATATACTTTATGCATATACAAACAAAAATCCTCAACAAAATACCAGCAAACAGAACCCAGCAACATATAAAAAGGGTTATACAGGCCTGGCGTGGTGGCTCATGCCTGTAATCCCAGCACTTTGGGAGGCCGAGGCACGCGGATCACGAGGTCAGGAGTTCAAGACTAGCCTGGCCAACAAAGTGAAACCCCGTCTCTACTAAAAATACAAAAAATTAGCAGGGCGTGGTAGAAGGCGCCTGTAATCCCAGCTACTCGGGAGGCTGAGGCAGGAGAATCACTTGAACCTGGGAGGTGGAGGTTGCAGTGAGCAGAGATTGCGCCACTGCACTCTAGCCTGGGTGACAGTGTGAGACTCTGTACTCTGTCTCAAAAAAAAAAAAAAAAGAAAAAAGAAAAAAAAAAAGAAAAAGTCGGGGGGGAGGTGGTTATACACAATGACCAAGTAGAATCTATCCCAGAAATGCAAGGTTAGTTATACACAAGAAAATCAATGTAATACAGATTATAAAAATTACTACATGATCATGTCAATAGACACAGAAAAAGCATTTGACAAGATCCTTTTCATGATAAAAAAAAAAACTCAGATTTGGAATAGATGGAACTTCCTCATCTTGATAAAGGACATTAACAAAAAACCCCACAGCTAACATCATACTTGATTAATGGTAAGTGACTGAACTAATTCCTTCTACGATCAGGAACACGACAGAGGTGCTTACTCTCACCACTTCTATTCAACACTGTATTAGAGTGCAAGCCAGGACAATTAGGCAAGAAAAAGAAGTACAAAATAAAAGGCCAGGTGTGGTGGCTCACGCCTCTAATCCCAGCACTTTGGGAGGTCGAGGCAGGTGGACCACCTGAGGTCAGGAGTCTGAGACCAGCCTGACCAATATGGTGAAACCCTGTCTCTACTAAAAATACAAAAATTAGCCAGGCGTGGTGGCGTGCACCTGTAGTCCCAGCTACTCGGGAGGCCAAGACAGGAGGATTGCTTGAATCTGGGAGGCAGAGGTTGCAGTGAGCCGAGATCATGCCACTGCATTCCAGCCTGGGTGACAGAGTAAGACACTGTCTCAAAAAAAAAAAAAAAAAAAAAGAAAGAAAGAAAATACTTCCAGATTGGAAAGGAAGAAGTAAAACTGCCTCTATTCATGGATAGCATGATATTGTATACAGAAAACCTTAAGGAATGTGCTAAAAATTACTAGAACTATTAAACAAGTTCAGCAAGGTTGTAGGGTACAAAAACAATATGCAAAAGTTATTTGTATTTGTATATACTAGCAAGGAACAATCCAAAAACAAAACTAAGGCCATGCATGGTGGCTCATGCCTCTAATCCCAGCACTTTCAGAGGCCGAGGTAGGAGGATTGCTTGAGCCTGGCAGTTAGAGACCAGCCTAGGCAACAGAGCAAGAACACCCATCTCCATACACACACACACACAAATTAGCCAGGCATGGTAGTGCACACCTGTAGCTGCAGCTATCTGGGAGGCTGGAGCAGGAGGATGGCTTGAGCCCAGAAGTTGAAGGTTGCAGTGAGCTATGATCACATCACTGCATTCCAGCCTGGGCAACAGAGTGAGACTGTGTCTCAAAAAAATAAATAAATAAATAAATAAACAAAATAAAAAATGAAAGTAAGAAAAACAATTCTTTCACAGTAGCATCAAATATAATACAATGCTTCATTTAACAAAGGAAATGAAAACTTATACTCTGAAAACTACAAAACATCATTGAAAGAAATTCGAGAAGACCTACATAAACGGAAAAATATCCAACATTCATGGATCGGAAGACTTAGTGTTGTTGAGATGGCAGTATCCCCAAATCCATCTACGGGTTCAGTGCAATCCCTATGAAAATGCCAGGTATGCTGTTTGCAGTAATTCACAAACGGATTCAAAACTTCACGTGGAAATGCAAGACACCCAGAATAGCCAAAACATTCTTAAAGAAGACGAGCAAAGTTGAAGGTCTTAATTTTCCTGATTTCAAAACTTGCTACAAAGATATAGTCACCAAGTCAGTGCGGCACTGGCATAAGGACAGACATTTGATCAATGTAATAGAATTGAGAGGCCTGAAATAAACTCTCACATTTGTGGGCATTAATTTACTTTTCTTTTTTTTTTTTTTTTGAGACAGAGTCTTGCTCTGTCGCCCAGGCTGGAGTGTAGTGGCACGATCTCGGCTCACTGCCAACTCCACCTCCCAGGTTCACGCCGTTCTCCTGCCTCAGCCTCCCGAGTAGCTGGAACTACAGGTGCCCGCCACCACGCCCAGCTAATTTTTTGTATTTTTAGTAGAGATGGGGTTTCACCATGTTAGCCAGGGTCTCGATCTCCTGACCTCGTGATCCGCGTGCCTCGGCCTCCCAAAGTGCTGGGATTACAGGCGTGAGCCACTGCGCCCAGCCTGTGGGCATTAATTTTCAACAAGGGGGCCAAAACAATTCGATAAAGGAAATAGTCTTTTCAGCAAATGCTGCTAAAAGAACTGGATACTCACACGCAAAAGGATAAAGTTGGAGCTCTTTCTTATATCACAAACAAAAGTCAATTCAAAATGGATCACAGACCTAACTGTAATAGCTAAAACTATAAAACTTTTAGAAGCAAACATTGGAGTAAATCTTTTGACCTTGGATTAGGCAAAGGTTTCTTCCATACAATATCAAAAGCATAAGTAACAAAGGATAGGTAAATTAGACTTCATCAAAATTAAAACCTTTTGTGCTGGCTGGGCGCAGTGGCTCATGCCTGTAATCCCAGCACTTTGGGAGGCTGAGGTGGGCAGATCACCTGAGGTCAGGAGTTCAAGACCAGCCTGGCCAACATGGTGAAACCCCGTCTCCACTAAAAATACAAAAAAATTTGCCGGGCGTAGTGGTGGGCACCTGTAATCCCAGCTACTCGGGAGGCTATGGCAGGAGAATTGCTTGAACCCGGGAGGAGGAGGTTGCAGTGAGCCGAGATCACGCTACTGCACTCCAGCCTGGGTGACAAGACCAAGACTTCGTCTCAAAACAAAACAAACTGTTTGTGCTGTAAACAATACCATCAAGAAAGTAAAAAGAAATGCAAAGCAAAATCACTTTTGAGATATCACTTTATACCCATTAGGGTGACTATTAATAAAAAAAAGAAAACAGAAAATAAGTGCACAAGTGTTGGTGAGGATGCAAAGAATTTGGAATCCGTGTGCATTGCTGGTGGAATATAAAATGAAGCAGCCGCTGTGCAAAACAGTACGGCGGTTCTGCAAAAAAAATTTAAACACAGAATTACCATATGATCCAGCAAGCTCACATCTGGGTATATAGCCAAAATAACTGAAAGCATGGTCTCAAACAGATATTTGTATACCTATGTTCACAGCAGCATTATTCACAATTGCCAGAAGGTGGAAACAACCCAAATGTCCATCAAGAGATGAATGGATTAACAAAATGTAGTATTTACACACAATGGAATACTATTCAGCCATAAAAAAGAAATTCTGGCAAATGCTAAAACATGGGTGAAACTTGATAATATTATGTTAAGTGAAATAAGCTAGACACAAAAGGACAAATACTGCATGATTTCACTTACATGAAGTACCTAGGGTAGGCAAATTTATAGAGACAGAAAATAGAATGGTGGTTGTCAGAGGCTGGGGGAGAAGCGAGTGGGGAGTTATTGCTTAGTGGGTACAGAGTTTAAGTTGGGGAAGATGAAAAACTTCTAGAGATGGATGGTGGTAATGTCTGCAAAACAATGTGAATGTACTTAATAATGTCACAGAACTGTACACTTAGAAATTGTTAAAATGATAAATTTTATGTTACATATATTTAATCACAATTTCTTTTTTTTTGAGACGGAGTCTCGCTCTGTCGCCCAGGCTAGAGTGCGGTGGCGTGATCTCGGCTCACTGCAAGCTCCGCCTCCCGAGTTCTGGCCATTCTCCTGCCTCAGCCTCCCGAGTAGCTGGGACTACAGGCACCCGCCACCATGCCCGGCTAATTTTTAGTATTTTTAGTAGAGACAGGGTTTCACCGTGTTAGCCAGGATGGTCTCGATCTCCTGACCTCATGATCCACCCGCCTCGGCCTCCCAAAGTGCTGGGATTACAGGCGTAAGCCACCGTGCCCAGGCTTAATCACATTTTAAAAGAAAAAACCCAGAGAATGAGAGAAAATATTTGCAAATCATATATCTAATAAGTATCCAGCATATATTAAGTATTTTGTATCCAGAATATATAAAGAGTTCTTACAACTCAATAATAAAAGATAAATAATTCAATTTAAAAATGAGCAAAGGATCTGAATATATTTCTCCAAAGAAGACATACAAATAGCTGGCCGGGCATGGTGGCTCACACCTGTAATCCCAGCACTTTGGGAGGCCAAGGCGGGCAGATCACCTGAGGTCAGAAGTTCAAGACCAGCCTGGCCAACATGGTGAAACCCCGTCTCTACTAAAAATACAAATATTAGCCAGGTGTGGTGGCATGAGCCTGTAATCCCAGCTACTAGGGAGGTTGAGACAGGAGAATTGTTTGAACCCGGAAGGCAGAGGTTGCAGTGAGCCAGGATCGTGCCATTGCCTTCCAGCCTGGGCAACAGAGTGAGACTCTGTCAAAAAAAAAAAAAAAAGATATACAAATAGCTAATAAGCACATAAAAAGATCCTCAATGCCATTAACCATCAGAGGAATGCAAATCAAAACCACAATGAGGCCAGTGCAGTGGCCTCCCAAAGTGTTGGGAGGCCAAGGTGAGAGGATCGCTTGAGGCCAGGAGTTTGAGACCAGCCAGGGCAACCATGGCAAAACCCCATCTCTATAAAAAACAAACAAACAAACAAAAAATTAGCTGGGTGTGGTGGCCCAAGCCTGTAGTCCCAGGTACTCGGGAGGTTGAAGTGGGAGGATTGTTTGAGCCCGGGATGTGGAGGCTGCAGTGAGCTTTGGTCGCACCATAGTATTCCAGCCTGGATGACAGAGTGAGACCCTGTCTCAAAAAACAAAAGAAAAGAAAACAGAAAACCCACAATGAGACACCACCACTTCATATCCACTAGAATGTTTAAAACAAAAAAGATGGCAATTACAAGTATTATCTGGCAATAAAAAGGAACAAAATACTAATATATACTATAACATGAACCTTAAAGACATTATGCTAAGTGAAAAAAGCCAGTCATAATAGACCTTATATGATTCCATCCATATGGAATGTCCAGAATAGGCAAATCTATGGAAACAGATAGTAGATTAGTGGTTGTCTAGGGCTGTGATGGTTGGAGGGAATAGGGAGTGACCAATATGAGGTTCTTTTTTTATGGTGATGGTTTCACAACTGTGGATTACATGGTATGTGAATCGTATGTCAATAAATCTGTTATTAAAAAAGAAAATATAGCAGGCAAAAGGAAGGAATCTTGAGGCACAGGCAAAGTAGGGGAAGCAAGGCCAAGCCTTTAAATTCCTTGTTCCCACCACCCCAGGCACAGCAGCCTGGCCTGGGAGAAACCTGACCCATAATGCTGAGACATCACAGCACTGTGTATGTCTACATGACCTGAACAATCACCTACTAACATGTTCTTTTCTACAAATGAGAAAAGGATGCTTGAGATTGCCCACAGTCTCACAGTACGTCAGTGATGATGGGCATGGCCCAACACTTTCCAAACTTTGGGCTCATCCACAACACCCATCAGCATGTTTGCCATATCTGTGCACCATCTGTACCATTACTTACCTGTATTTTTCCCCCTAAAATTGACTTGCCTTTTTTTTTTAACCTAAACAAACTTACTCTGAAAAGGCAACTTCATATCACTATACTAAATAAGGAAAATTAATGGCAAATTAGCGTTGCTTACCTCAAGTGGTAACTTCAGGATAATATAACAAAATGTTATTAATTTCTAACTGATATTGTTGCCTACCTAAAATTGTTTAAAAAATGAAATAAACAAGGGTCAAAGAGCTGTTCAAGGTTTAAAGAGTCATATAGAGCTGAGACAAAATCACCAAGACTGAGAGAGAACAAACTGGGCCGGGCATGGTGGCTCATGCCTGTAATCCTAGCATTTTGGGAGGCCCAGTGAGAGGATCTCTTGAGCCCAGGAGTTCAAAACCAGCCTGGGCAACATAGTAAGACCCCATCTTAAATTAAAAAAAAGACAAAGAGAACCAAAGAGAGAAAAGTGGCTTCACTATTCATGCTACCAGTTACCACTCTTGTGCAGTTACCAGCTGAAATCGCCTGCTGGTTTTGGCAAACCCTGGCTTAGTGGTGAACTTCGGAGTTGGGAAGGCCCTGTTTCTATTTGCCTCCATCCCTAACTGGATGTGACCCTGGGCAACTTGCCCAAACACAGTATCTAAGCCTGTTAACAGGAAATAGCGTGCCTACTCAATATGCTTTCTACTGCAGTATGTTATTACTCGTGTACTGGAATACAGTACAGATACTCTCACCCAAGTCACCAGAAAACAGGACTGGCCACAGAGCTTGTCGCTACCAGCAAGTGCCCAGTAGGTGGCACCATTGCTCCTGGTTTAAGAAACAGATGGGCCAGTTCCCTGGAGCTCTGCATCCCTATCTGATGTCTAGTCTGTAGAAACATACCCCAAACCGAACATCACACACCAGGGCCTGTTGTGGGGTGGGGAGAGGGGGGAGGGATAGCATTAGGAGATATACCTAATGTTAAATGACGAGTTAATCGGTGCAGCACACCAACATGGCACATGTATACATATGCAACAAACCTGCACGTTGTGCACATGTACCCTAAAACTTAAAGTACAATTAAAAAAAAAGAAAAAAGAAAAAGAAACATACCCCAAACCGGGTGGGGATTTATTTAGGCTGGAAACAGGGAAAAGGCTGGAAAGATTTGGAGCCATGACCTTTGACCTTTTATTAACCAGAATTAACATGATTTTAAAATACTGTGCAAACCCAAACTGTTTGAACCAGAATGACCAAAAAGCACTTTGTGCAGGCTTAATAACTTGGGAAGAGGCTTAATTTAGGCAGCTGGGAAAGGGAGACTCTAAGGCAAGAAAAGGGAGTCGGGCCCAGGTGTTGCTCTAGGATCAACACGTTCCACCCTGAGCATGTGTGATCAGGCTTTGGCCAAAGGTACTCCTGAGTTAAAGTGGGGAGCAGAAAGTGCAACTTCCATCAGAAATGCTTGGAGAGCAGGACACTAACAGAAACTTCTAGTGAGGGGCAGGGTCTTCCGCAGCTCTGCCTGATGAAGGAACTAGACTTATGAGCTCTTCTGTGGACAAGAAATGGTCTTTCTTAACAATGAAAGAGCCCTGGTCACAGTTTTCAAGCATGGGACAAAGCCACAATGAGTTCATTCTTGAGTCCGGTCTGGTCTTTATGCCCTGGATGCTCAGACCCATTCTGTTGGAGCCACTGTGGGGTCTCAGCACTCAGGCCCCTGCGCCCACCCTGGGAAGCTCTTGGCCCCTTCAGAGGGGCTTTCAAATGCTAATAATGTCTCAGTTAGAGGCCCAGCTGTTCAGTCCAGCGGTTACAGGAGCTGGCTTCCTCTCTCTTGCTCCCCAAGGTATCCTCATTGAAAAGTCAGGGTGAAAATCCCAGAGACCTCCACTTAAACCACACAGCAGAGGCTCCCCCGCACCCAGTGTCTGAAAGAACGTCGCCATTCCAGGTAAGGGCTGGGTAGACACTTTCTATTCCCTTCCCTCCTTGGAGCTTTGCCCCCAGGTACCAGGAGAAACCTCCCTCAGCTACCCGACTTTTATGTTGTTTGGCAAATTCACTGGAAGGGAAATACCACTCCAGGATAGCAAAAGGAGTCTCTCCCCTCCCCGCCAAAAATGCTAGTTACAGTTCTACACCTTGCTCACTTGGGAGAAAGATTTCATTCCTCCACGTCTCATTCCCCATTAACAAACAACTCCTGGGCAAGAACTCTGAAAACGTGGGGGGTGCTGAACAGGCGCACAGAATCCTACTGGCTCCTCCAATTGGCCATCACCCCACCCCCACCTCCCTGACATCCAGCTTCAGTTATGGTGGTTTGAAGTTGGACTGTCCCGGATATAATAAGTTAGCAAAATCTAGGGAGAGGGGTTGCAGAAGAAAACAGCTATTGTTTGTAAAATAGTGCTGCCTTTGAAACATAGAAGCAAATACATTCCTTGAGTTCTTACAAATACATTCTTCAAGAGTTCTTAATTCATCCTAACTCTAGACAGTGCCAGCCTGCCTCCCTTCTGTGCAAAAGTACAGGCCCCGTGATGTTCTACATAATAGCCTGGAAACTAACACCCCAACCCAGGGTCAGAATTAACATGCTTGGTCTGTGGAGCGGGGACTAATGTTCCCTTTGGGAGCCCAGGAGCGTGAAGCTTGGCGCTGTGAAAGCCAAATGCCCCTTTTCTCCAGGTGCTCTTCTGCGTGCTCTGAGATTATTCCGTGCTTTCCAGGGACAGAGAACAAGGGCAGGAAACGCAGCTGGACTGTGCCAGGTGTCACAGGAGTGGCTAGTCTGCAAGAGGTGTTTTTGAGAGAGCAGGAAAATGGGAGGTGACCCAAAGCAGGCTGGGAGACTCAGGTCTGTCAACTTGGAGGTCAAATATTTGACAATGGCACAGCCATCATAATCTCTCAAGAAAAAATCTCCACTCCTCTTGCATTTCTGGTGTTCACAAATCATTCTGATAACCAGGGCTTAAGTGTCTTCTGTGAACACCCGGAGCTGGTCCTAGGGGGGCTTAGCAGTTCTTTCCCAAAATGTCAGATGTGCCAGACATGTCCCCAGTAACACAGACTGCTGAGGAGGAAAGGTTCAGTTAGCCTATGCCCCATATCTGGAAGTCCCAGGATGAAGCCGACACCTGTGGGGAGACTGGCAACTGCCTAACCCGCCCTCCTTCCTGAGAAGGCTCAAGCTGCTACTGCTGCGGCCATGGTGGACTGCGCAGCGGAGCTGGGCCCAGAGGAGGCTTCCTCTGAGATTGGAAGACAGCTCCTTCTCAAGTCAACAGAAGGCCCACGAGCAGAAATATATTTACGGGGGCAGAACTACAGGTCCACACAGGCCTGGGAGCTTCATGACTCCCCAGTGAGAGGAGGAGAAAATCTGGAGTTTTTGTTGAACAAAACATCTCTGGCTGAGGCAGTGAAGGAAATAAAGTTCAAAGTTAGTCCTGTTGGCTTCTGCCCAGCCCAGATGCTCCTAATGGGGGCCACTCAGTCTGCCTACTGCCCCCACTGGATCTCTCTGTAAGCCCATACTAATTTCTAAAACCCATGCCTAATTTCTTCTTCTTCTTTTTTTTTTTTTTTTTTTTTTTTTTTTTTTGGAGACAGAGTCTCTCTCTGTCGCCCAGGCTGGAGTGCAATGACACAATCTCGGCTCACTGCAACCTCCACTTCCTGGGTTCAAGTGATTCTCGTGCCTCAGCCTCTCAAGTAGCTGGGACCACAGGTACACACCACCATGCCCAGCTAATTTTTGTATTTAGTAGAGATGGAGTTTTGCCATGTTGGCCAGGCTAGTCTTGAACTCCTGACCTCAAGTGATCCACCTGTCTCGGCCTCCCAGAGTGCTGGGATTACAGGTGTGAGCCACCACGCCCAGCCCAAGCCTAATTTCTAGACCAGAGAGGAGAATAGGGATGTGTGTGCCTAGTCTATTGCCAGAAATGAAAAGCCTACAAAGTTTTAGGCCACAGGGTGTAGCACAGCCACAAATGACATTTCTGGAGCCCTTAGCACACCCGCACAATGCTACCCTCATTTTAGGGAGGAGTAACCCCAGGCACTGTACAGAGGGCACTGCCCTCAGGAAGACACAGAGCCTCCTCCAGGCAAATTCTCCCTCAACCTAACAGTACCCACCCACCAAAGGAAGGCAGCAGATCCTCTTCTTGTCTGATCAACACTGACTTTTCCTGGTAACAGCAACTCTCCTTCCTCCAGGAATCCAAATAAAGCTGAGAGTGAGCACCTCCCTCCACTTCCCTGCCTACCCGGCTCCATACCCCCTCCCCAAGCCAAAGAACCTTACAGCAGAGTAATGACGCAAGACCCACACTAAGAACTAGGACAGAAACCTTGCAGCAGAGTCTTGAGACAAGGCCCACACTAGGAACTGGGACAGAAATTGAATACAATGATGTATAAACAGCGTAGGAGCAAAAAAAATAAACACATCCTGCGTAATTCCCCTTTAACAGTGGACCTCCTGCAAGGAGAGGAAAAGATGGGATACTCCCCAGCTCAGAAGCTACAATTTGTTACAAACCAACAGAATTTCGCACCCCTGCCTTTCTCCCAACACAGTGCACAGCAGACAGATGCTCCAAAGGAAGGATAATCCCAGGAACATGGCTGACTGCTCAACAGCCCCTCTGCAGGGCTTCCAATCAAACTCCAAAGAAGGGGAAAGACAGAAACTCTCTTTAAGAAAGAAAAAACAACAAAGCAAACAAACTGGGGGCGGGGGGGGGGTGCGGGGGAGGAGACCCAAAACAGATTCTCTGTACATGTGGCTGAGGAGCTCTTGGGGCTAGAAGGTAAAGTTCTTCATAGCTGGTCAAATGGCGCAGATGGTGACCAGTTGTAGAGTTTCCCAACTTGGTCATGTGGTAGAAGCAAGAATTAACCCCTACCCTCACCCACCTACCTTTTCAAAGTTCTGGATGCAGTTTTATCACTTGAAAAGTTCATTTGAGTGTTTGGTTTGAGAGCTTCCCTCAGCTAGCTCTGTCTGATATTAATTTGGCTAAATGTGGTTGCAAGACATGGAGACGGGAAATGAATACGCAGTCCCACTTGATTAAAGAAGACTGAGAGAAGACATATTTGCTCTTGCAAAACTGAAAGGAAATGTAAAGGCTATTCCTTCCAGGTTTTGCCTGGAATCAAAGGAATCGCACAGCTAGCCAAAGGAGACTCAAAACTGCTTCCCTATGCATTTTCTCCAGAACCGCCCGCTCTTCAGCTTCCTTCCTGTCCCTCAAAGCCGCAATCATAAAGGCAAACAGTGAAGTGTAAGGAAAATCCCTTTATAAGCAGAGATGCTCAGTAAACTGGAATACAAGTCACAGCAGGGGAGGTGGGAGGCTGGCGGGCTGCCAGAGACCCTGCAGGTTCTCACCCCAAAGCGAGTGTAGGGGGCTGCAAACCTTTCAGAACTGGACTGATGCAGTTTCGCTAGCTAGAGATAGACTGTGGACCTGACACTCACCCTGTGCCCACATGGGCAGGGCACACAGCAGACAGCCTCATTCTCCCCCCAATGAGGGTGAGGACCCTGACTGCCCACAGAGCTCAGGAGGGTTCACCTGGCCACAGCTTGTAGCTGTCACTAGTCAAACCTCATTTACTCACCCATATATGCTATGCCCACCTGTAAAGTACACAGGTCCTTGCTTACCCCTTAGAGAGAGCCTGAAGTCCTAATCTAGCAGATGCCTTCACTTTTCTTTTTAAGCAGCTCCATCTGTTTAGACACCTGTCAGCATGAGAAGGCAGAATCTTCTGCCCACAAGCTTGTAACTGAGCAAGACCTGCCCTTGTTCCTCTCTCCTTCACCAGCACGAGGGCCTGCCACCTACACACAAGGCAGAGCCCAAGCCTCTTTGCTCTTTTTTTTTTTTCTCCCTTTGAGACAGAGTCTCACTCTGTTGCCCAAACTGGAGTGCAGTGGTGCCATCTCAGCTCACTGCAACCTCTGCCTCCCAGGTTCAGGCAAGTCTCGTGCCTCAGCCTCCCGAGCAGCTGGGATTACAGGCGCGCACCATCATGTCCATCTAATTTTTTTTTTTTTTTGAAACGGAGTCTTGCTCTGTCGCCAGGCTGGAGTGCGGTGACATGATCTCAGCTCACGGCAACCTCTGCCTCACAGGTCCAAGCAGTTCTCCTGCCTCAGCCTACCGAGTACCTGGGACTATAGGCACGCGCCACCATGACCAGCTAATGTTTGTACTTTTAGTACAGACAGGGTTTCACCATGTTGGCCAGGATGTTCTCAATCTCTTGACCTTATGATCCACCCGCCTCAGCCTCCCAAAGTGCTGGGGTTACAGGTGCCACTGCACCCAGACTAATTTTTGTATTTTTAGTAGAGATGGGGTTTCACCATGTTGGCCAGGCTGGTCTCGAACTCCTGACTTCAAGTGATCCACCCACCTCGGCCTCCCAAAGTTCTGGAATTACAGGCATGAGCCATCATGCCTGGCCCCAAGCCTCTTTGTTCTTTGTTTTTTGTTTTTGTTTTTTTTTTTGAGACGGAGTCTCGCTTTGTCGCCCAGGCTGGAGTGCAGTGGCGCGATCCCGAGTAGCTGGGATTACAAGCGCCCACCACCACGCCCAGCTAATTTTTTTGTATTTTTAGTAGAGACGGGGTTTCACCATGTTAGCCAGGATGGTCTCGATCTCCTGACCTCGTGATTCACCCGCCTCGGCCTCCCAAAGTACTGGGATTACAGGCATGAGCCACCAGCCTCTTTGTTCTTAAAGCCAAAGGGACTAAGGAGGTTTTAAACTCGTAGTCCTGGCCAGGCACGGTGGCTCACGCCTGTAATCCCAGCACTTTGGGAGGCCGAGGCGGGCAGATCACGAGGTCAGGAGATGGAGACCATCCTGGCTAACATGGTGAAACCCCATCTCTACTAAAAATACAAAAAAATTAGCCGGGCATGGTGGTGGGCACCTGTAGTCCCAGCTACTCAGGAGGCTCAAACAGGAGAATGGCGTGAATCCGGGAGGCGGAGCTTGCAGTGAGCCGGGATCGTGCCACTGCACTCCAGCCTGGGCAACAGAGCGAGACTACGTCTCAAAAAAAAAAAAAAAACAACTCGTAGTCCTATATACATTTCAACCAAAGAATGCCAGGAGGGCTGGGTGCAGTGGCTCACGCCTGTAATCCTAGCACTTTGGGAGGCTGAGGTAGGTGGATCACTTGAGCACAGGAGTTTGATACCATCCTTGGCAACATGGCAAAACCCTGCCTCTGCAAAAAATACAAAATTTAGCCAGGTGTGGTGGCACATGCCTGTGGTCCCAGAGGCTGAAGTGGGAGGATCACTTAAGCCCTGGGAGAGGGAGGCTGCAGTGACCCATGATCACACCACTGCACTCCTGGGTGACAGAGTAAGACGTGAGACTCCATTTCCAAAAAAAAAGAAACAAGAAAAAAAAATCCCAGGAAATCCTTTGAAGCTTTAAAATCCAAGACTAGCCTGGCCAACATGGTGAAACCCTGTCTCTACTAAAAATACAAAAATTAGCTTGGCGTGTTAGTGGACGCCTATAATGCCAGCTACTCAGGAGGCTGAGGCAGGAGAATCGTTTGAACCTGGGAGGCGGAGGTTGCAGTGAGCCAAGATGGTGCCACTGCACTCCAGACTGGGCAACAGGGTGAGACTCCATCTCAAAAAAAAAAAAAAAAGAAAAGAAAAAATCCAGGACATGCTTCTACTCCTCCCATCTTCTTCCTGAAGAGACCAGTTAAATCAGGAATGAAAACCCATTTAGACTGGGTACAGTGATTCACACCTGCAATCCCACAGCTGAGGCAGGAAGGTCGCTTCAGACCAGGAGTTCAAGACCAGCCTGGGCAACACAGTGAGACCCTGTCTCTACAAAAAAATTTAAAAATTAGTCAGGCATGGTGGTGCACACTTGTAGTTCCACAGCTACTTGGGAGGCTGAGGCTTGAGGATCATTTGAGCCAAAGCATTCCAGGTTACAGTGAGCTATAATTGTACCATTGCACTCCAACCTGGGCAACAGAGAAAGACCCTGTCACTGCAAAACAAAACAAAACATTTAGTTGCCATGGACCTATAAACTAGTATGGTCACTTTGGAGGACCAAATGGCAGAATCTATTAATATAAAAGGTAACTTCCCTTTGACCCAATCATTCTACTTATAAATATCTACCCTAGAGCAAAACATGTCACAAGGAGGAATGAATAAGGATGGTCACTGCATCTTTGTACTGTTTGTAATACTGCAAAAATGGCAACAACCTAAAGGTGCATCACCAGGGGAATAGTTAAATTATGGTTTATTCATACAATAAAATCACAGACAACAGTAAAAAAAATTAAATAAAGATCTTCAAGACATACCGTCAACTGAAAAATCCAATTGTGAAGGGCAGTACAGTTTCATTTACATTAAAGAAAGAAAAAAAAACATAGAAACCCAAACCATTTCATAGGTACCCAGAAGAAGGTGAATACATAGAAAAAAATCTGGCAAGCTGCAAGGACGCACACCAAATGGATAAAGAGGGTTTCTTTAGCGAGGGCCCTGAGATTGGGTGGGGTGGTCACAGAGAACTTTGACTTTATCTGTATAGTCTAAGTTTTTAACATCTGAGGTCAGTTGCAGTACCTCATGCCTGTAATCCCAGCACTTTGGGAGGCTGAGGTGGGTGGATCACTTCAGTCCAGAAGTTCAAGACCAGCCTGGACAACATACCAAGACCCCATCTCTACAAAAAAAAAAAAACACAGAAAAATTAGCGGGGTATGGTGGCATGTGCCAGTAGACCCAGCCACTCAGAGGCTAAGGTGGGAGGATCACTTGAGCCCGGGAGGTTGAGGCTGCAGTGAGCCAAGATCACGCCTCTGCACTCCAGCCTGGCCAACAGAGACCCCGTTTCCAAAAAAAAATCTGAAATTTATTTATGTATTATCTATATACTTAATGTTGGAAAGATGATCCTCCTCCTTGACCCCTCTGCTATGTGGCACCAGCAGCCATCACACTGGCTACTGTGGCATCACTCCAAATGCAGTGGCACTAATCTGGACATGCCAGGAAGCTAGGTGGTATGATTTGAATGTCTGCCTCCTTCAAAAGGTATGTTGAAACTCAGTCTCCAATCTAGCAGTATTGAGAGGTGGGGCCTTTAAGAGGTGATTGGGTCATGTGGGCCCTGCCCTCATATATAGATTAATAAGTTAATGGATTATCACAGAGGTGGACAATGGGGGTAGAAACTGGTGGGTTTATCAGAATAGAGACCTGAGCTAGCAAGTTCAGCCTCCTTGCCATGTGATGTCCCTGGGACTCTGCAGGGACTCCTCACCAGCAAGAAGGCCTTCATCAGATGGGGCCCTTTAACCTTGGACTTCTCAGCCTCCATAACTGTAAGAAATAAATTCCTTTTCTTTATAAATTAGCAGTTTCAGATATTCTGTTATAAGCAGCAGAAAATGGACTAGAACATTAGGAGCCATCCTTGGCTGGCAACTAAAATGGCACCACTGGCATTTTCAACCAGGCTAGCTTTTTAAAAAAATTTTGAGACAAGGTCTTGCTCTGTTTCCCAGGCTGGAGTGTGGTGGCACCATTATGGCTCACTGTAGCCTTAACCTCCTAGGCTCAAGCAATCCTTCCACCTCAGCTTCCCGAGTAGCTAAGACTACAGGCACACCACCATGCCTAATTTTTTTTTTTTTTTGAGACAGAGTCTTGCTCTGTCACCCAGGCTGGAGTGCAGTGGCTCAATCTCAGCTCACTGCAACCTCCGCCTCCCGGGTTCAAGTGATTCTCCTGCCTCAGCCTCCTGAGTAGCTGGGACTACAGGTGCATGCCACCATGCCGGGCTAATTTTTTGTATTTTTAGTACAGACAGGGTTTCACCATATTGGCTAGGCTGGTCTTGAACTCCTGACCTCATGATCCGCCTGCCTTGGCCTCCCAAAGTGCTGGGATTACAGGAGCCACTGTGCCCGGCCTGTTTCAAGGCTTTTTTAGTGACGAAGATAAAATACATTTTTTTTAAAAGAAAGAGAAAACACATCTTTTGTTCATCTTGCTAATTAGAATCCAAATTTAAGAATATAACATTTTTACTTATTTGATTTTATATTTGTATCTTTTATTTATTTTATTACTGTTTTAGAGACAAGGTCTCACTGTGTCACTCAGGCTAGAGTGTAGTGGCACAATTACAGCTCACTGCAGGCTCAAATTCCTGGGCTCAAGCAATCCTCTCGTCTTAGCCTCTCAAACAGCTGGCACTACAAATGTGAGCCACAACGCCTGGCCATATATTTGTATCTTTCTAATCTTATGCTGAACATCTTGCTTTCTAACATAATTACTTATTTGCTTTATCCTATTATATCCATATACTAGTTTTAGGTTAAAGTCAATATTTTTATTAACAACATGATTACTGAAAACAGTTTTTTCTGTCTTTGTGTATATATTAGGGATATACAGACAAATTACTATAGTTTAAGATCTCTGTATATTGTTTTGACACCAATTTGGTATGCTGTGAATTTCACTTGTTTTATTTTGCTTCTGAGTTTTAGGAAATGTGGCAGACAGACTCTAAGGTGCCCCCATGGTCCCCAATCCCCTTGGTACTCAAGCCCTGTCTAATACTTTCCCCCAAGTGTGGGCGAGACCTATAACTTGCTTCTTGCTAACAGAATATGGCAAAAGTAAAGATATTTTAAAGATGTAAAGTAACATCCCAAATCATTTATTAATTTTTTTTTCAGTTTTAGTTGTAGTAAAATACATCAACATAAAATTCACCAATTTAGCCATTTTTAAGTGGCATTAAGTACATTCATATTGTTGTGCAACCATAAGAAGCTTCCATTTCCAGGACTTTTTTTCATCTTCCCCAACTGAAACTCTATACAGTAAACAGTAACTCCCCATTCCACTGCTTCCAACCCCTGGAAACCAACATTTTGCCTTCTGTCTCTATGAACCTAACTACTCTAAGTACCTTATGTAAGTGGAATCATACAATATTTGTCTTTTTGTGTCTGGCTTATTTCACTTGCCATAATGTCTCCTGGGTTCATCCATGTTGTAGCCTGCAGCATGTGGCAGAATTTCCTTCCTTTTATTAAGGCTGAGTAATATTCCATTATATGTATATACCATACTTTGTTTACCCATTCATCTGTTGATGGACACTTGAGTTACTTCCACTTTTTGGATGCTATGAAAACTGGTGCACAAATATCTGTTCAAGTCCCTGCTTTCAATTCTTTTGGACACATACCCAGAGGTGAGATTGCTGGATCATACAGTAATTCCATTTTGAACTTTCTGAAGAAGCACCAGACCATTTTCCACAGCAGCTGCACCATTTTACATTCCTATCAACAGTGTACAAGGGTGCCAATTTCTTCACATGCTTGCTAACATACTATTTTCTGTTTTGTTTTGTTTTTTCTTTTTTTGATAGTAGCCATTCTAACGGCTGTGAGGCCAAAGTAGATGATTTTGTGTTAATTAAAATGGAGGCCCTTTTCACAAGACGGTGCCGAAAGCAAAGAAGGAAGCTCCTGCTCCTCCTAAAGCCGAAGCCAAAGCAAAGGCTTTGAAGGCCAAGAAGGCAGTGTTGAAAGGTGTCCACAGCCACAAAAAAAAGAAGATCCGCACGTCACCTACCTTCCAGCGGCCCAAGACACTGCGATTCTGGAGGCAGCCCAAGTACCCTCAGAAGACCAACCCCGGAGAACAAGCTTGACCACTATGCTATCATCAAGTTTCCACTGACCACTGAGTCTGCCATGAAGAAGATAGAAGACAACAACACACTTGTGTTCACTGTGGATGTTAAAGCCAACAAGCACCAGATCAAATAGGCTGTGAAGAAGCTCTATGACACTGATGTGACCAAGGTCAACACCCTGATTCAGCGTGATGGAGAGAAGAAGGCATATGTTGGACTGGCTCCTGATTACGATGCTTTGGATGTTGCCAACAAAATTGGGATCATTTAAACTGAGTCCAGCTGGGTAATTCTAAATATATGTATATCTTTTCACCATAACAACAACAAAAAAAAGGCTGGGCATGGTGGCTCACTCACACCTGTAATCTCAGCAGTTTGGGAGGCCAAGGAGGGTGGATCACGAGGTCAGGGGTTCAAGATCAGCCTGGGCAAGATGGCAAAACCCCATCTGTACTAAAAATACAAAAAGTAGCCGGGTGTGGTGGCAGGTGCCTGTAATCCCAGCTACTCAGGAGGCTGGGGCAGGAGAATTGCTTGAACCCGGGTGGCAGAGGTTGTAGTGAGCCAAGATCGCGCCACTACACTCCAACCTGGGCAATAGAGTGAGACTCTGTCTCAAAAAAAAAAAAAAAGAAAGAAAAAGGGGAGAGGCCGGTCACGGTGGCTCACACCTGTAATCCCAGCACTTTGGGAGGCCGAGGCAGACGGATCACCTGAGGTCAGGAGTTCCAGACCAGCCTGACCAACATGATGAAACCCGTCCTCTACTAAAATTACAAAAAAAAAAAAAAATTATCCAGGCGTGGTGGCCGGTGCCTGTAATCCCAGCTACTCGGGAGGCTGAGGCAGGAGAATGGCTTGAACCTGGGAGGCGGAGTTTGCAATGAGCCAAGATCATATCATTGCACTCCAGCCTGGGCAACAAGAGTGAAACTCCATCTCAGAAAAAAAGAGATTCTCCTGGGTGGACTTGACTGAAACAGGTAAAAGCCCTTTAAAAGGGAACTGTACCCCTACACAAACGTCAGACTCTTCCTCCATTGCTGCTTTAAAGAAGCAAGCTGCCTTGAATCCTAAAGTTGCAAGGAAAGGAATTCTGTCAACAACCTGACGGAACTTGGAAGCATATTCTTCTCCAGGGGAGCCTCAAATAAGAATGCAGCCTGTATATGAACAAGGAAAAAAAAGAAAAGAAAAGAATGCAGCATGGTAAACACCTTAATTGTAGCCTTGCAAGGCCCTGGCCAGAGGACCTAGAGATAAGCTGTGTCCAAACTTGAGACACACAGAAATTGGGTTTTAAGCCACTAATTTTTTGTTGTTGTTTTGTTTTTTGAAACAGAGTCTTGCTCTGTCGCCCAGGCTAGAGTGCAGTGGCGCAATCTTGACTCACTGCAACCTCTGTCTCCCAGGTTCAAATGATTCTCCTGCCTTAGTCTCCCAAGTAGCTGGAATTACAGGTGTGCACCACCATGCCTGGCTAATTTTTTGTTTGTTTGTTTGTTTTGTTTGTTTGTTTTTTAGTAGAGACAGGGTTTCGGCATGTTGCCCAGGCTGGTCTTGAAATCCTGGCCTCAAGTGATCCACCCACCTCAGCCTCCCAAAGTGCTGGGATTACAGGCGTCAGCCACTGTGCCCGGCCTCCTTAAACATCAACTTTTAACCCAGAGAGAATTTTGGTTGGCCTCATCCCCAGCAACCCAAAAAAAGATAAATTAATGAAACACTAACTTCTCTTTAGCTCAGTCACTGGCCATCTTAGTGTAAGGTGAAACCGTTACTTATTAGTACTGACTATTTTTCTTCTATCAGGTCATGGGTGCAAATAGTCACCCAAAATGTATTATGTATACCCTCCTGTTCAAGACAAAATCAGATCCTCTAGTTAAGAGTCTCCTCTCTTAGCTTTATTCTCTGATACGATTTTCTTACTGTGTAACCTTGAAGAAGCCACTTAACTTCTCTGCATCTGTTTTTTCACCTACCAAAACATGATGTGATGATATACTGTACACCTTGAAGGTTTTGGTTTTTTTTTTAGAATCCAAGAAAACAAAATATGTAAAAATTGCCTTGTGTACTGAAAATACTGTACAAATTAAACAGTTGCTATTCATTTGAAAGATCTGACCACTGGAAAATATGGCCACTATTTACACAAAAAGAAATGAAGACAGAAGGATCCAGTAGAACTGAGACACAGACATAGAATCCACCCACATAGGAAGAGCAGATGTTTTCTTCGAGGAGCCACGATTCTAATTTTCAGCTTAGGAAACTAACTCCCTTCTTCCTGCCTTAGTTTACACCAAGAAGCACAGCTATAGTACTTATGGATGTTCTCAGAAGTCACCCAGCTGGGTCAGACCTGGAGGACCTGGGAAGCATCGAGAAGAGGAAGGGGGAAGGACTTGTTTGCAAGAAACCAGACTGGAACACAGAAGAAGGGGTCACAAAAATACCGATTAGAAAACAAACAAACAAAAAACTAAAAAAACCCCAGCATTAATAAATGGTCTCCTTTGGGAGACCGAGGCAGGCGGATCACAAAGTCAGGAGTTCGAGACCAGCCTGGTCAACATGGTGAAACTCCGTCTCTACTAAAAAATATAAGAATTAGCCAGGCGTGGTGGCGTGTGCCTGTAGTCCCAGCTACTTGAGAGGCTGAGGCAAGAGAATTGCTTGAACCTGGGAGGCGGAGGTTGCAGTGAGCCGAGATTGCACCACTGCACTCCAGCCTGGGCAACAGAACAAGACTCCGTCTCAATAAATAAATAAATAAATAAATAAATATTCTCTCGGTTCGGCAATCTAGATTCCCAAATCACCAACTGCACACCCAGCGCTTAAATCCCCTCTACAAGCGCCTGGGCCAGCAACTGCCCAGACGACTAGGAAAACTTCAGGGATGGTGAGTTTACTGCCTCCCAGTGCCTATCCACATTTGGAAATTCTTCTACATCCCAATGAAGAGTTAACAGCTTTCTAGCTCTCTATTCTGAGTAACAAAAAGTCAAATCCCTTTTCCATATGGGAAGACCTCAGCTATTTTTAAATACCTGTTGTGGGTCATAGTTCAACTCCCTACATATTCCATCTCAAAGTCTTTTCGTCTTCAAACTAGAATATTTCCAGTTACCTCACTTTTATAGTCATTCCTCATAGATGGACAGTTTTGAAAGGTTTTGCCAGTTTGAATGCCACCATTCTCTGGACACACTCTGATTGGTTTAAATCCCTTGTTGAATGTTGCACCCAGAAGGGGCTGTTGGGTCAGAGACGGACATGAGGCAGGCACTTACCTCTGAGTATCTGTATAAAGAACAGCCCCTCAGCCGTCTATGTACCTGCCCAAATTTCAAAGTTTCCCTACCAATCAGATACAGGAAAGGGGTTTAGATAACCAATTTTGGGTGATTTGATTATAGGAAGAGATAGCAATAAATCATTAGTGAACCCTTTTGGTGTTCAGGCCAGACTCTTCCAGGACATTTCTACCTGCTTGGAGAGATAGAGAAGGGACTGAGTTGTGAGGGTGAACTCAGGTAGTGCAGGGCTTTCCAAGAGCCACAGAGTCTGAGTAGCCTGTGGGCCTCCAGCCTCAAAGAACTTCCTTAATGTTGGAATACGGCCAGCTTTAAAGCTATCAAGAGTGGGAAGAGTCCTGTGTCTTATTTTACGGACTTGAAAGACTACACAGTGCTTCCTCAGTGCCTGGACTGCCAAATGGCCATGACTACAGGTGAGAACACAGTGGCAGCCGCGGCAGGGGCCACCCTGCCTAGTGGAATCACCTTCAAAAGGAGAGCTGGGCATATGTGCCAAACTGTAAAATCTGCGGACCTTGTGACCCACAATCCCACTTTAGAAACTGATCCTGAGATAATTGGACGCAGTTGCCAAGATGTTCATATATGGGCAACAATCTTATAGTGTTGTTTAAAATAGGGAAAACTGGAAACTATCTGCAAGTTCATCCAGAGGGGTCTATTTATCCTAGAGGGGCCTGTTATGTTAGTATCATACAATGAAATGCCATACAATTACAAGCACTGCTATAGATATATATATATATATATATATATATATATATATATATATGTGTATATATATATATATATATATATTTTTTTTTTTTTTTTTTTTTTTTGAGACAGAGTTTTGCTCTTGTCGCCCAGGCTGGAGTGCAATAGTGCAATCTTGGCTCACTGCAACCTCCGCCTCCCAGGTTCAAGTGATTCTCCTGCCTCAGCCTCCCAAGTAGCTGGGATTACAGGCGCCCGCCACCTCACCCAGATAATTTTTGTATTTTTAGCAGAGACAGGGTTTCATCACATTGGCCAAGCTGGTCTTGAACTCCTGACCTCAGGTGATCCACCTGCCTTGGCCTTCCAAAGTGCTGGGATTACAGGCGTGAGCCACTGTGCCCGGCTGAACTATAGTTACTTAGCTAGAAAGACTTCCATGACATGATGCTGTGTGAATAAAGCATGTTAATATATACAGTACTTAGTACAACTGCCTATTTTTTGTATAGAGACATATCTAGAAGGATAGTAACCAAATAAAAATGGCTGTCTCAGCAGCATAATATTTATTTTTGTTTTCAACATATATTTATTTAAGTTACAAAGTAACATAGGCTTATTATAAGAGAGTCAAACAACAAAGAAATGTATAAAGTAAAACATGAAAATCTCTTTTCCCATCAGTCCCATTTCTCAGCTATTAACATTTGCTGTTAACATCTGATATGCAGTCTTTAAGACTTTCTTTTCAGCATGTATAATCAAAGTCATACTTTTTTTTTTTTTTAAGTAAAAATGAAACTCCACTCTACCCATTGTTCTGCGACAAGGTTTCTTTATGTTTTCAGTGTTGCCTGGATTTTTTTAATGTCCTTTTTGTAATTAGGGAAAACAATAATGTTATATTTGTTTGGGGGAATAAAAGTGTACCAGCCAAGGACAGAAGACAATGAATGTGTGATGTGAGTGGCCCAGTAAAGAGAAGCAAAGGACAAGGTTTTCCTGTGTTCAGATCACCACGGTACTCAATACAGGAGGACCTAGACATGCCCGGTTGGCCCAGGAGGTTGATAGTGTCCTGTTCTTCCTAAATCTTCAAAGCCAAACATAGGCTGCTGGAGCTAGGCCTGGGGCTAGGGGATATTGGGCTATAGCCTCTCCCAGAGATGTGTTCCCTGCCCAGCACAGTGCCCCAGGTATGCAGCTTCCACTGGGCCAAGCAGGACAAGGCAGAGAAGGACCCCCACTGCTGTTTCAGAGTCTACCTGCTGCATGCCAGCAAAACAACAATCCACTGCCTGGGTGTGCTGCAATCCCTCTTTAAAAGCACCCGAATTCCCTCCCTTTTCTCTTCCTCCCCTGGCTCAAGCTCCAACTGTCATCTGTCCAGAGAGAGGGCTCTGTGAGGAGTCAGAAATGCTGCTTGAACCTCATCAGAACCCTCGAGGGAGGGCCATTCTGTTCTCTTGGTCCTTGAGTCCTGGGAAGAACCTAAACAACAAGCTTGTCCTCATGTCTGCCCTGCAAGGCAAGAAGACAGGCCTGGCGGTGGAGACCCACTCCCAGGGAATCTCAAGCAGTACTGTGTATGGCTTACGGGTGCCAGTCATTTTCCACTGAGAGAGCTATGAAGAAACTGAGTAAGAAAGCCACTGCCCTGGCCTTTTTTTTTCTTGACAGGTTTTGGATGGGGCGCAGTGGCTCACGCCTGTAATCCCAGCACTTTGGGAGGCCGAGGCAGGCGGATCACGAGGTCAGGAGATCGAGACCCTCCTGGCTAACACAGTGAAACCCCGTCTCTAATAAAAATACAAAAAATTAGCAGGGCATGGTGGTGGGCACCTGTAATTCCAGCTACTAGGGAGGCTGAGGCAGGAGAATGGCATGAACCCGGGAGGCAGAGGTTGCAGTGAGCCGAGATTGTGTCACTGCACTCCAGCCTGAGCAACACAGCGAGACTCTGTCTCAAAAAAAAAAAAAAAAAAAAAAAGAGCCTGTTTCCTTTTCTTTTGCAATGTGCTTCTTAAACAACAACATAAACTTTTTTTTTTTTTGAGATGGAGTCGCTCTGTCACCCAGGCTGGAGTGCAGTGGCACAATCTCGGCTCACTGCAACCTCCGCCTTCCGGGTTCAAGTGATTCTCCTGCCTCAGCCTCCTGAGTAGCTGGGACTATACAGGTGCCCACCACCATGCCCGGCTAATTTCTGTACTTTTTTTTTTTTTTTTTTTTGAGACAGAGTCTCACATTATTGCCTGGGCTGGAGTGCAATGGCATAATCTCGGCTCACTGCAACCTCCGCCTCCCAAGTTCAGGCGATTCTCCTGCCTCAGCCTCCCAAGTAGCTGGGATTACAGGCGCCCGCCACCACGCCTGGTTTATTTTTTGTATTTTTTAGTAGAGACGGGGTTTCACTATGTTGGCCAGGCTGGTCTAGAACTCCTGACCCTGTGAGCCGCCCCCTTGGCCTCCCAAAGTGCTGGGATTATAGGCGTGAGCTACCGCGCCTGACCTAATTTTTGTACTTTTAATAGAGACGTGGTTTCACCATGTTGGCCCCGCTGGTCTCGAATTCCTGACCTCAGGTGATCCACCCATCTCAGCCTCCCAAAGTAATGGGGTTACAGGCGTGAGACACTGCACCCAGCCATAAATAATATTGATTGTTTCTATGTATAATGCTAGGGTCTGCATTAGGAACACTACCTATATTATGAAGTAGATATTACTATTACCTGTGTTTCACAGATGAAGTAACCAACTGTTAGAGATGTTCAATTTTGGTCCTACATGGCCCAACTAGGATTTGAACCCAGGCAACCTGCCATTTGGATTCCTGCTCTCAGCCATGTTCTTTTCCAGCCCTCTTCGCTGAACACTCTATCATGAGCAGTTTCCAGTCATCAAAGTGCTTTACCTCCTGCAGAGATGCTAGTTCTACTGTCCTAACTCTCCAGCGGCAATCTCTGCTTGCCAGTGGGCTTCACTGCCCTCTGCAGAAAGCATCCCTGAATTGCAAGTGCTAGAGACAAAAGGGCCACATTCCGCTGAAAGAGCCAACCAATTAAAACTCCACAGGGGTCCAGAGATGAGAGACCTTGTCCGAGGGTGAATTATCCTAGCTGAATGCCTGTATCAAATAAATGCTTTCGGCCAGGCGTGGTGGCTCACGCTTGTAATCCCAGCACTTTGGGAGGCCGAGGCGGGTAGATCACGAGGTCAGGAGATAGAGACCATCCTGGCTAACAAGGTGAAACCCCATCTCTACTAAAAATACAAAAAAAATTAGCCGTGCGTGGTGGCGGGCACCTGTAGTCCCAGCTACTCGGGAGGCTAAGGCAGGAGAATGCCGTGAACCTGGAAGGCGGAGCTTGCAGTGAGCCGAGATCGCGCCACTGCACTCCAGCCTGGGCGACAGAGCGAGACTCCGTCTCAAAAACAATAAATAGACTCTTTCTACTAAGAGTTTCAAGTCATTTAATGTAGTTCTCCAATGTAGGATACAGACCTATAGAAGCTAAAGGAACTTGCTAAAGAAAATCCTTCAGCAACACAGCAGGAGATGCATACCCCCCAACCCCAACAAACTCTAGGTACTGTAATTGATTCCTCTACCACAGGCCACAGAGCACAGGACCCAGCTAAGGCAACTCATTTCTCGGGACCTCTGAAATCTCACAGAGATGGCTACCTCTCCACCTGAGTTGTTATTCAGAAGTGGAAAACATTCTCTAAGTCAGTTGTCGGCCGACTTTTGCAGTGAACGGCCAGAGATAAAATATTTCAGGCTTTGAGGGCCATATCATTCTTGTTACAACTAGTCAACTCCACTGCTGTGGCACAAAAGAAGCCCAGGTAATCCATGATGGGTATGGCTATGTTCCAATATAATTTTACTTATAAAAACAGGTGATTATCAGGATTTGGCCTGCAGGCTGTACTTGCCAACCTCTGCTCTCAGGGTTTAAGTTTTCCCTAAAAATACCCAGATTTATATATTGGCTAAATCACTTAAATTTTAGGGCACAAACTCATTTCTGAGGGACTGACCTGTTTTTCTTCAGTGCAGTAGGAACACAATCTTTCAACTATTAATCTAAAATCTTAGGAAAGTGCAGAGAAATCAAGAGTTGTTTTGTCTTACAGTTGGTCAGTATTACTAACTGATAAAAGTGAAAATATTTCACAGATCCACAGCAACCAGAAAAGAGGATGAATCAGGTTGAGGCAAAGAAAATGTCAGGAAAATTAAAAAGAGTGTGAGGGAGAAAAATGATATGAATATAACCAGGCAGCTCCATTTGGCTTTAGTTAGCTGACTGGGGCAATAGGCAGCTTAGCGAAACCAGGAAACGAGAGCTTGAGGTTGGGTGCGACGGCTCATGCTTGTAACCCCAGTACTTTGGGAGGCCAAGGCGGGTGGATCACTTGACCCCAAGAGTTGGAGACCAGCGTGGCCAACATGGCGAAACCTCATCTCTACTAAAAATACAAAAATTAGCCGGGTGTGGTGGTGCACGCCTGTAATCCCAGCTACTCAGGAATCTGAGGCATGAGAACAGTATGAACCTAGGAGGTGGAGGCTGCAGTAAGCCGAGATCACACCACTGCACTCCAGCTTGGGTGACAGAGTGAGACTCTGTCTCCAAAAAAGAGAGATACAGCTTGACAGCTCTCATTGGTAATGATGGAGCACCTCTTTCCAGAAAGCTTTACCTGAGGAAAAGATATTAAGACCACATACATTTGGGACATGAGAGAAGAAAGCCAGGTGAGCTGTAGATGAGAAGCTGCCTGCAGCCTAGTAACATCTTACCTGGGGACGTACTCTGAACTCCTCACTCAACCTTCCTGACTTCCTTTACTCACCTGCAGGGCAGGGAAGAGGAGGCAAAGCCTGATCTCCCTCTTGGATCTGAGAAGACAGCCCTGTGGTGTGCTGCTGAGCACAGCAATGCTGAGGCTGCTAACACCCCCAAGATAAGAGGGTCCCCTTCTTAGGCTGGAGAGCCTCAGGATAGAGCAGGCTTGAGACAGGATTCTGCTGAGTTCAAGACCCCAGGGACTGGAATGGCAGAGCTGAGAAGTATCCATGACCCTGAGGGCTGCGCTCCAACTGCTGCAGCAGCCCCTGTCCCTTCTGCGTAAGAGCCACTCTCAAAATGCAGCTAGAGTCTCAAATACTTCAAATCCAAGTACATCTTAATTTAACAACAAAAAAAAAAGGACTTCACTCCCCAAACTGGCCATTTCACCTTCCTCCTTAACATGCTTTCATTTTCTTTTCTTTTTTTGTTTTTTGAGGCAGGGTCTTGCTCTGTTGCCTAGGCTGGAGTGCAGTGGCATGATCCTGGCTCACTGCAGTGGCATGATCCTGGCTCACTGCAGCCTCAACCTCCCGGACTCAATCTATCCTCCCCACTCAACCTCCCAAGTATCTGGGAGTACACGTATAAGCCACCACACCCAGCCCTTAACATGCTTTCGTAGCTTTCCATTACCCTTAGAATCAAGACTCTATTGAGGCAAATGCACCATGACTTGCCTCAAGCCCAGCACTTTCCTATTCTTGCCAGGCCTCCAGCTTTTCCTGAGCCCTCGCCTCTCCCTCACCTCCCTCCAGCTACATAAGCCTTCTTTCAGTTCCTCACCTTTCCCTTTTAGTGATCTTATGGAATCAAATATTTATTTGCTTATTTTTTCAATGTCTGTCTCTACTAGCTAACGGCAGTGGAAAGTTTGTTCCACACAGCTTACCTAGCATTTGACAGAGCCTCTGGTATGTCGCAGGCACTTAAATAAAATAAATATAACTGATGAAAAAGCTCCTTTTCCCCAAGTCCTCTCTCTTCATCTAAAATGGACCCTTGGCGGCTGAGAGGCTGGAGCACGCAGAGCAGGCTGGTTAGACTGTCCCTGGAGGCTTGCTCTTGCCACTCAGCAGCTATAGGAAGTTCTCCAGGGCCCATCACCTCCCTATCGCCTCATCTGAAAAGGGGCAATATGAACCAGTATCTTCCTCACCACGCTACCCACCGCACAGGTTAAATAAGAGAAGGTAAGTACCTATGATATTGGTGCTCAATATCTACTGTTTTGTTTTTTTGAGACGGAGTCTCACTCTGTCGCCCAGGCTAGAGTGCAATGGCACGATCTCAGCTCACTGCAACCTCCGCCTCCTAGGTTCAAGCAATTCTCATGCCTCAGCCTCCTGAGTAGCTGGGATTACAGATATGCACCATCATTCTCAGCTAATTTTTGTATTTTCAGTAGAGATGAGGTTTCACCATGTTGTCCAGCCTGGTCTTGAACTCCTGGCCTCAAGTGATCCAACTGCTTCAGCCTCCCAAAGTGCTGGGATTACAGGTGTGAGCCACCACAGCCAGCCAATACCTACTGTTTTATTTACTTACTTTTAACTATAGAAAAGCAAGTTTTGTTGTTGCTGTTGTTGTTGTTGTTGTTGTTGTTTTTGAGACAGAGTCTCGCTCTGTTGCCCAGGCTAGACTGTAGCGGCGCGATCTCGGCTCACTGCAACCTCTGCCTCCCAGGTTCAAGCAATTCTCCTGCCTCAGCCTCCCGATAGCTGGGACTACAGGTGCGTGCCACCACACCCAGCTAAATTTTTATATTTTTAGTAGAGACGTGGTTCCACCATGTTGGCCAGGATGATCTCAACCTCTTGACCTCGTGATCCACCCACCTGGGCCTCCCAAAGTGCTGGGATTACAGGCGTGAGCCACCGCACCTGGCATAGAAAAGCAAGTTTTAAAAAAGGGCCTCAACAGGAAAAGACTGAATCACATCTGTTAACTTTTGGGAAGGCAAGAGGAGGCAAACCCCAAGAAAACTCTACAATGCATTGAGGTTCCTTATGTAAAACATGACTTGCTGTCAATATCTGGAAAAGTCTCTCTGACTTACAGAGGCAGGCTGTGTCCCTCAGCACTTCCAACTTCAGAGACAGGAAGCATGATGGATGGATTCCTGGAACTCTAAACTGTGCAACACACTGTATAAGGTTTGCTAGCCAGGCGCAGTGGGTCATGCCTATAATCCCTCCACTTTGGGAGGCCAACATGGGCAGATCACTTGAGCCCAGGAGTTCAAGACCAGCCTGGGCAACATGGCGAAATCCTGTCTCCACAAAAAATTTAAAAATTAGCCGGGTGTGGTGGCATGCACCTGTAGTCCCAGCTACTTGGGAGGCTGAGATAAGAGGATCAACTGAGCTCGGGAGGTCAAAGCTGCAGTGAGCCATAATCGTACCACTGGACTCCGGTCTGAGCAACAGAGTGAGATCCCATCTCAAAAAAAAAAAAAAAAAAAGCTTGCTGGTCTTTCCTAACCCTAAATGCATGCCACATAGTGTGTATGAACCAATCTCTCTGGCCAAGGAACCTAAGAAGGGGGACCTATTCTCAAGGACTCAGTAAAGTATTTTGTTGCTATAAAAACACTAGGCTCGGTGCAGTGGCTCACATCTGTAATCCCAGCTACTCAGGAGGCTGAGGCAGGAGAATCACTTGAGCCTGGGAGGTGGAGCTTGCAGTGAGCCAAGATCATACCACTGCACTCCAGCCTGGGTGACAGAGCGAGACTCTGTCTCAAACAAAACACACAAACAAAAACAACCACTTTTATATAATGATCCTTCTATTGTTTGTTGAAAATAACGATAACATTTACTGGATGGCCCCAATAGTATTATTTTAATAACATATTAATTTATCTAATTCCTCCTCACTTTAAAAATCCTTTAGCAATGGTTATTAACATGTAAAGGTTAATTTCTCCACACCTGGCTAAGTGATCCCATTTAAAGGAATTTATCCTGAAGAAATACTCCGGTAAGGCTGGGTGCAGTTGCTTATGCCTGTAATCCCAGCACTTTGGGAGGCCAAGGCGGGCGGATCACCTGAGGTCAGGAGTTCGAGATCAGCCTGGGCAACACGGTGAAACCCCGTCTCTACTAAAAATACAAAATTAGCCGGGTGTGGTGGCACATGCCTATAATCCCAGCTACTCGGGAGGCTGAGGCAGGAAAATCGCTGGGAGGAGAACCTGGGAGGCGGAGGATGCGGTGAGCCGAGATCGCGCCATTGCACTCCAGCCTGGGCAACAAGAGTAAATCTCCATCTCATCAAAAAAAAAAAGAAATACTTCGGTAAGAATACAAAGATGTACATATACGAGGACGCTCACTGCAGCTTTGTGAAAGGAAAAAATTAGAAATGACCCAAATGTCTAACAATAGAAGACTGGTTAAATAAAGTACAGTATATGTAGGTATTAAAAAAGTGTCGCGTTAAAAAGAACATCCTGACAGATGTCCAAATGATAGTAAGTTAAAAAAGCAAGGTGAAAAACAGTATGAAAAGCATAGTCCATTTTTACAAAATACTGCAAGTTCTTTTTTTTTGAGACTGAGTCTTGCTCTATCACCCATGCTGGAGTGCAGTGGCGTGCTCCCAGCTCACTGCAACCTCCGCCTCCCAGGTTCAAGCAATTCTCGTGCCTCAGCCTCCCAAGTAGCTGGGACTACAGGCATGTACCACCACACCTGGCTAATTTTTGTATTTTTTTTTTAGCAGAGATGGGGTTTCATCATGTTGGCCAGGCTGGTCTCAAACTCCTGACCTCAAGTGATCCACCCATCTCAGCCTCCCAAAGTGCTGGGATTACAGGTGTGAGCCACTGCGCCTGGTCAAAATACTGCAAATTCTATCCAGACATACGCATGGCAAACAAAACCTGGAAAGAGGAACACCAAAGTTTTCTCTGTGAGGGAATGAATTATGAAGGACTTTCACCTTCTGTGTCAGATTTTAAATTTCTAAGTTTCAATTTTATAATGAGCAAGTATTTCTTTTGTAAACAGGGGAAAGGGAAGAAAATGTGAAAACAAAAAAAAATCTCTGTTAGCATTAGAGTCTGTCAGTACCACAGGGTTGGATCAGCCATGAGCTCTGATGGCCTGGGAGAGATCCCTACTCATGCAGTGCCATCCCAGCACTCAGAAATCGAGCCACTCACAAATCGAGCCAACTGAGCACATGTCATGAGGTTGCCATTAAACAGCAGCAAGTGAAGGCACTTCAATTTCCAGTGTCAGTTACAAGGTTGGGGAGATACGTTTTTCCTAAAAACGCAAATGAAATTGCCTTGGAATTTGTGGTTAAAGCCTACCAATGGCAGAACTGAGAGCAGATAGCCTCTCCAGCAGAATTCTAAAGCACAGTTCAGAAATCAAGCCCTGTTGAGTTGGGGAATGGTTTCTTTCTAATGAAACCCAGAGGATGGGGGGCAGGGGAAGAGTAACTGGCAATCTGAAAAGAATAAACTGATCGTAAAATGAAAGGGGAACAGGGAAGTAAGAAAAACTGGCTGCAAAGTAGGACAGACAGACATGGATGTGTCTACTGGTGAAGTTACTGATACATTTATTGCAAAACTTTCCAAACGACTCATGCCACAGGCTAGATTTGTTTGTAAATCTGCCATAGCAGGTGAAATGACAGCCATCCTGTCCTCGTGACTGGAACATTCTCTTCCCAGGCCCAGTGTCCTGATCAATAGGCAAGGTTCCTCTGATCCCAGGCAGGGCTGGGGCTTCTTAGGTGGGGAGTGTTTTGCCCACACGATGGGCATTCCCCTCCTTACTAACAGAACCCCAATTTTGGTTTTCTGCCTTTTCCTGGCCATTCCCTTCTGCGAGCCAGGCCCATTCCCAGCCAATATCATCCTTGACCTAACTCTAGCCAATGAGATGCAAAGGGGACACCAATGAGGGCGGTTCTGTGGAGGTTTTGGTTCATCTTTAAAGGACATAGGACAGAAATGTCTCTCTTACTGCCTGTAGACTCTGTCAAGGGTGATCAGGACGCTAGGATCATGGCAGCCATCTCTGGAATATGAGGAAACCAATTTAAAAAGACAAGCCAAGTGCTAAGGAAGGCAGAGAAGTTAAGAACAACTCAGGTCCTTGAGAACATCGCTGAACAGATGGCAGCCAACCCTGGAATTGCCCCTCCTCCAGATGGCTTGCCATGTAAGGTAAGTGCCCTTATTGTTAGGCCACTCTGGTCAGGGTGTTCTATTACTTGTAGTCAAAACCATCCCAACACATACAAGACAGAACAGAAAGTGCCCGCTCCATCGACATCTCCTCTAATAATCTGACTTCCAAGTGTTAACTGTACACCATGATTACTGAGGTAAGACATGTCCCTCCAGTCCCGTGGCAGCAACTGATTTTGCCTATGCAAAGCCGTGCTATTCTTCTGCTGGTGGTTAGCCTTTGCTTTAGAGGACTTCCCTCCTATTCCATGTGCTTGGAAGTGATGAGCAGAGGGAAGACTTTCAACGTAAATCCTGGTGGTCCATCTGGACCACTGCCACCAACCAAGGTGGTCACATGGCCAGACAGAACTAATCTGTGTCCTACCCCAGAACTGATGTAGAAATGTCCAAAGTTTAAAGCCTTGGCTGGGCGCAGTGGCTCGCATGTGTAGTCCTAGCACTTTGGGTGGCCAAAGTGGGTAGAGCACTTGAGCCCAGGAGTTCAAGACTAAAACCTGGGCAACAGCGAGACCCTGTCTCTACAAAAAGTTTAAAAATTAGCTGAGGGTGGTGGTGTGCACCTGTAGTCGTAGCTACTCAGGAGGCTGAAATGGGAAGATCACTTGAGCCCAGAAATTTGAGGCTGCAGTGAACTAAAAAGGTGCTATGGTACTCTAGCCTCTAGTCTGGGTGACAAAGCAAGAACCCTGTCTCAAAAATCAATTAAAAAACAGGCCAGGTGTTGGGGCTTGTGCCTGTAATCCCAACACTTTGGGAGGCCATGGCGGGTGGATCACCTGAAGTCAGGAGTTCGAGACCAGCCTGGCCAACATGGTGAAACCCTGTATCTCTACTAAAAATACAAAAGTTAGCCAGGCATGTTGGTGCATGCCTATGGTCCCAGCTACTCGGGAGGCTGAGGAAGGAGAACTGCTTGAACTCAGGAGGCGGAGGTGCAGTGAGCTGGAATTGTGTCACTGCACTCCAGCTTGGGCAACAGAACAAGACTCCGTCTCAAAAAAAAAAAAATCAGTAAAAAACAAACAAAACACCGAAGTTAAAAGCACAAAGCCCTGTGCCTGCTGGGACTACAAACTGAGAGAAACTGAAACTAGGAATGATGGTGCTCATCTCCCCAGTGGTGGCACATGGGGAGAGTCTGCAGAACAAGATCAACATACAGAGAGTCATAGCTATAGTCATAGCCCAGAGGACCCCATTTGAACATACAGATCAAGCCACACCTGAAACCCTTGTTGTCCCAGTCACCTGAGCCAATGAAGTCTGTTATTGTTTTTCTTTGTTTTTTGTTTTTGAGACAGGGTCTTGCTCTGCTGTCCAGGGTGGAGTGTCCAGTTGTGTGATCATGGCTCACTGCAGCCTCGACCTCCCTGGCTCAAGGCAGCCTCGACCTCCCTGGCTCAAGTAATCCTCCTACCTCAGCCTCCTGAATAGCTGGGACTACAGATGCATGCCACCATGCCTAGCTAATTTTTTCAATCTTTTCACTCTACCCCTGTGGGGTTTCACCATGTTGCCCAGGCTGGTCTCAAACTCCTGGGCTCAAGCAATCTGCCCGCCTCACTGCCTCAGCCTCCCAAAGTATTGGGATTACAGATGTGAGCCACCACGCCTGGCCCTGTTATTGTTTAAGGTAGTTTCAGTTGGGTTTCTGCCATTTTCTTTTTCTTTTTTTTTTTTTTTAGAGGCAGGGTCTTGCTCTATCACCCAGGCTGAGTGCAGTGGCATGATCACAGCTAACTGTAGCCTTGACCTCCTGGGCTCAAACTCAGCCTCCCAAGTAGCTGAGACCACAAGTGCATACCACCACATCAAGCTAATTTCTTTTTTTTTGAGAGGGAGTCTCGCTCTATTGCTCAGACTGGAGTGCAGTAGTGCAACCTCCGCCTCCCAGGTTCAAAGTGATTCTCCATTCTCCTGCCTCAGCCTCCTGAGTAGCTGTGATTACAGATGTGCACCACCATCCAGCTAATTTTTTGTATTTTTAGTAGAGACAGGGTTTCACCATGTTGGCCAGGCTGGTTTCGAACTCCTAACCTGAAGTGATCTGCCTGTCTCGGGCTCCCAAAGTGCTGGGATTACAAGTAATGAGCCACTGTGCCCCACCCATCTTCCTTCCTTCCTTCCTCCCTTCCTTCTTCCCTTCCTTCCTCCCTCCCTTCCTTTTTTTTTTTTTTGAGTCTCACTCTGTCATCCAGGCTGAAGTGCAGTGGCACGATCTGGGCTCACTGCAATCTCCGCCTCCCGGGTTCAAGCGATTCTCCTGCCTCAGCCTCCTGAGTAGCTGGGATTACAGGCACGTGCCAGCACTCCCGGCTAATTTTTGAGTTTTTAGTAGAGACACGGTTTCTCCATGTTGGTCAGGCTAGTCTCAAACTCCTGACCTCAGGTGATCCACATGCCTCGGCCTCCCAAAGTGCTGGGATTACAGGCCTGAGGCACCATGCCTGGCCCATTTTCTTATAACTAGAAGAATCCTAACTAAATCACCCTAATCTGTCTATATCTAGCCATATCTGGAAGCCTTCACTGCCTCTGGATGCTCTTCATTCTCAGATCTCTCCCATTTCTACTTCCTTTTCTCTCCAGCTCAGCTTCCACCTCTGCGCAAACCTCCCAGAGGGTAGCTGTCTGCCAGCAGGTCAGGGCTGTTATAGAAGCCATCTGAGTCATGCTTCAGAGCAGGCTTCCAAGGCTGCCTCATACAGCTCCATGGCTGGCTGTGGGCATCTCCGCCCCCGCCCCCACACCCACCGGAGCCTCATCGTTCCCCTTTCATTCGCCTCCCACTGCCTTGATGCTATTTCCAAGGCTGGGTTGTAGGACTGCGGATGTCACTTAGATCTGGAAAAGCAGGTCTAAACAGTTCACTTGCTTGATTACACTGCTGAGCATGTTCTCACGTGCAAATGGGTGGGTGGAGTGCTCCCCATAAACTCACTAAGTTTAAGGTGGACAGCACAAGTGAGGCAAGACCATCAAACAGAATTACAACACTATGTACGTAGGCAGGTATATCTGTGTACACATCAAACATAAATGACACACGTTCTGTACAGTACATATGCATGTAACTCTTGTAGCGTGTAACCACACAGGGGTAGAGTAATGCCTACAAGTCACAAAGGAGGTGCTCTGCAGCAGCAGCTGAGTGATCTGCTCTGAGAAAACCTGATAGACCTACACCCAATCTTACAAAATATTTACAATAAGGGGCAATTACTTACACTATAGAAAGATTCTTCACCTTATTAAAGGATTTACTACAAGGTCCCACTAAACTGCATAGGCTCTACCGGACTTAGAATAGGGTTTGATTTGCCTAAGACTTCACAGGCAACTACATAAATCAACTACAAAAAACCAAGGAGCCACACCTGAACTGAATGTTTTCAGCTATATAATATGATGTACAAAACGAGGTAATTTTATTTGTATCAATATTACTGATTTTCCGTGTGAGTAAGATAATGCCTCCAAATGTCATCATGTCAGCTGAGGCTGCATATCTGATTCAGGGACGAGCAAGACATTTCCTAATACAGTTTTGCTGTTAAGTAGGGTCTGTCATTGAGGAAAAAAAAAAAAAAAAGACCAAGGTGTCCATCTTGATCCATATAAAGTTTTTTTTTTTTTTTTTTTTTGTGAGACGGAGTCTCACTCTGACGCCCAGGCTGGAGTGCAGTGGCGCAGTCTCAGCTCACTGCAAGCTCCATCTCTTGGGTTCATGCCATTCTCCTGCCTCAGCCTCCCAAGTAGCTGGGACCACAGGCGCCCACCACCACGTCCGGCTAATTTTTTTTATTTTTAGTAGAGACGGGGTTTCACTGTGTTAGCCAGGATGGTCTTGATCTCCTGACCTTGTGATTCGCCCGCCTCGGCCTCCCAGAGTACTGGGATTACAGGCATGAGCCACTGCGCCCGGCCAATCCATATAAAGTTTTTAAAGACTGAATAATGATAATGATTGCAGGTAAAACATAGTACTTACTGCGTACCAGGCACATTCTAAGTGTTTTACAGGTATTAATTCACCTCTCGATAACTTCATGCGGTTACTATTATCCCTGCTTTATAGCTGAGCAAATGGATGTACATGTTGCCCAAGAAGGCAGTAACTGGCAGAGCCAATATGAATGCAGGCTATCTGGGTCAGGAGGCCACACTCTTAAACCACCACACCATGCTGCTGCCTTGATCTGGCAGTCACAGGCAGATGGAGAACAGTTCAGGCAAGAGGAGTGGGGATGCGGAGCTACTTAAGCTATTAGCAATGAGTTCAGACACACAGTGCTAAGGATCTAACTATGCAGTGAAATCAAACAAAAGAAAAGAATGATGTTGGAAGTCAGGAGACGGTAAGAGTATTGACTAAAAGGAGACGTAAGGGAGGTTTCTAGAGAACTGGTCTGTTTCTCAATTTAGGTGCTGGTTACATGGGTGTATGTGGTTTGTGAAAACTCATCAAGCTGTACAGTTATGTGTACTTTTTTTTGCTTTGTTTTGTTTTGAGACAGAGTTTTGCTCTTGTTGCCCAAGCTGGAGTGCAATGGCGTGATCTCAGCTCACTACAACCTCTGCCTCCCAGGTTCAAGTGATTCTCCTGCCTCAGCCTCCCGTGTAGCTGGGATTACAGGTGTCCACCACCATGCCCAGCTAAATTTTCTATGTTTAGTAGAGACGAGGTTTCACCATGCTGGCCAGGCTGGTCTCGAACTCCTGACCTCAGGTGATCCAACCACCTCGGCCTCCCAGAGTGCTGGGATTACAGGCATGAGCCACTGCGCCTGACCTGTTTTTGTTTTTGTTTTTGTTTTTTGAGACAGGGTTTCACTCTGTCATTCAGGCTGGAGTGCAATGGTGCAATCACCATTCACTGCTGCCTGTACCTTCCAGGCTTATGCGTAATCCTCCCACCTCAGCCTCCTGAGTAGCTGGGACCACAAGCACGCGTCACCACAATGGCTAATTTTTAAAATTTTTGTAGAGACAGAATATCCTTATGTTGCCTACGCTGGTCCTGAACTCCTGGGCTTAGGCCAACCTCCCACCTTGGCCTCCTGAAGTGCTAGAATTACAGACATGAGCCACCGTGTCTGGCCAAGAGCTGCCATTCAGAGCTACACTGTCTGGGTTAAAATTTGCCTTTGTGGCCGGGCGCGGTGGCTCACGCCTGTAATCCCAGCACTTTGGGAGGCTGAGGCGGGCGGATCACGAGGTCAGGAGATGGAGACCATTCTAGCTAACACAGTGAAGCCCCATCTCTACTAAAAACGCAAAAAATTAGCTGGGCGCGGTGGCGGGCGCCTGTAGTCCCAGCTACTTGGGAGGCTGAGGCAGGAGAATGGCGTGAATCTGGGAGGCGGAGCTTGCAGTGAGCCAAGATCACACCACTGCACTCCAGCCTGGGCAATAGAGCGAGACTCCATCTCAAAAAAAAAAAAAAAAATTTGCCTTTGTACCCACTAGATGTGTGATCTTGAACATGCAGCTCAACCTGTGTTGTCTTGCTTGCTGCAACTGAAAAGCTGGTATATCACAGTCCCTAACCTCACATATTCAATGGCACACAGAGCACAAGTCTAAATGTTAGTCATTCCCATCACCATTTAGGCCCATAGCCATGGTCTCCTATCTTAAATCAGTTACCATTTACTTTTCTTTATCATTTTCCCATTATTTAAACAATTTACTATTATTTCCTACCATGTTCTAAAAAAAATTTAAAGTAGATTTGTTTTACCTGTTATTTAAATAATACAATCATATCACAAGAAATCTGGAAAATAGAAAGTCAAGTATTACACTTTTAGGAGTGTAGTCACCCTGTCCCGTTCTGACGTCCCTAAAGTGATCTGCAGACACAAACTACAGCAGGCACATTATAACGACCATAAGTGGGGCCATCAGGTACAGAAAGGGCCTCAGAGCACATATTAGTCAATGTATACTCAACAAACAGCCACAACTTTTATTTTATTTTGAAAATTTCCAATCCTACAGAAAAGTTAAAAGAATGATACAATGAATAACCAAATACCATTCACCCAGCTTCACAAGTTGTTAACATTTCGCCTCATTTGCTTTAGCTTCTCTTCATACACAGATGTTTTATTTTTTGACAATTAAGTTAAATCATTTGAGTCATTTGACAATTAAGTTAAAGACATCAGGTCCTTTTATCCGTTAATACTTTAGCCTTTATCTCTAGCAACAGGGACATTATCCTGTATAACCATAATACCATAATCACATCCAGGGAATTTCACATACAGTACTATTAACTAATACACAGTGTAAATTCACATTTTTCCAATTGTCCTTAAAAAATGACCCTTTTTTTTCAATTCAGGATCTAATCAAGGATCAACAATGCATTTAAACTGCCATGTTTCCTTTAATGTAGAACAGTCCCTGCCCCTTGCCTTTTTATGTCTTTCATAGCACTGGGGTGCGTGTGTGTGTGTGTGTATTTTTTTTTTAGGTGGGGTCTCACTGTGTCGCCCAGCCTGGAATGTGGTGGCACAATCATGGCTCACTGCAGCCTCAACCTCTTGGGCTCAAATGGTCCTCCTACCTCAGCCTCCCAAGTAGCTGGGACTATAGGCATGCCACCACACCTGGCTAATCTTTAATTTACAGGGTCTTGCTTCATTGCCCAGGCTGGTCTCAAACTCCTGAGCTCAAGTGATCCTCCTGCTTCAGCCTCTCAAACTGCTGGGATTAGAGCATTGACATTTTTGAAGAATATAGGCATTTGTCTTGTAAAGTGTCTCACAATCTGTATTTGTCTGCTTATAACTTGATTCAGGTTAAACATTTTTGGGAAAATGCTACATAGTTGATGTTACATACCTCACACTGCAACACATAAGAAGGTACATAATAAGGTCGGGCACAGTGGCTCACGCCTGTAATCCCAACACTTTGGGAGGCTGAGGCGGGTGGATCACGAGGTCAGGAGATCGAGACCGTCCTGGCTAACAAGGTGAAACCCCGTCTCTACTAAAATATACAAAAAATTAGCCAGGCGTGGTGGCGGGCACCTGTAGTCGCAGCTACTCGGGAGGCTCAAGCAGGAGAATGGCCTGAACCCAGAAGGCGGAGCTTGTAGTGAGCCGAGATCGCACCACTGCACTCCAGCCTGGGGGACAGAGTGAGACTCCATCTCCAAAAAAAAAAAAAAAAAAAAAAAAGAAGGCACATAATAATAATTTGTTCCATTATTAGTGCTGTTCTGTTTCACAACTACTGTGATTGTTACTTTTTTTTTTTTGATACGGAGTCTTGCTCTGTTGCCCAGGCTGGAGTACAGTGGTGCGATCTTGGCTCACAGTAACATCTGCCTCCCGCGTTCAAGCGATTCTCCTGCCTCAGCCTCCCGAGTAGCTGGGATTACAGGTGCCCACCACCATGCCTGGCTAATTTTTGTATTTTCAGTAGACACAGGGTTTCACCATGTTAGCCAGGCTGGTCTCGAACTCCTGACCTCAGGTGATCCAACCACCTCGGCCTCCCAAAGTGCTGGGATTACAGGCGTGAGCCACTGTGCCTGGCCTGCCCTAGTCCCACTTCTGGCCAACTCAACTGGAGCCCCACAGGAAGGTTTGGAAATCAGTGTGTTGACAAGCTCCTCGAAGAGGTTGATGGGCAGCCAGATTTAGGAACTCCTGCTTAGAGAAGACCCATTGTAGCCTCCATGAGGGGACTGTTCCACAGGGCATACAATGGTAGGTGGTAGTTATGGATCTGCCTCATGTGCCAACAACTGGCTCCCACAGGTGTGAAATGCGGGCAGAGGGGTTCAACCTAGACAGGTCTATTGTACCCCAAATGTATAACCTACTCAAGGTTTAAAAAAAGAAGTCACTGGCCAGGCGCGGTGGCCCATGCCTACAATCCCAGCACTTTGGGAGGCGAGGCGGGCAGATCACCTGAGGTCAGGAGTTCGATAGCAGCCTGACCAACATGGAAAAATCCCATCTCTACTAAAAAAACAAAAAAATTAGCTGGGTGTGGTGGCGCATTCCTATAATCTCAGCTACACAGGAGGCTGAGGCAGGAGAACCACTTGAACCTGGGAGGCATAGGTTGCAGTGAGTCGAGATTGCGCCATTGCACTCCAGCCTGGGCAACAAGAGCAAAACTCCATCTCAAAAAAAAAAAAAAAAGTCACTGTAACTACAGAAGCTACCAGATCTATGGTTCTCCAAATTTAGTCTCTACCAGAAGCACCAAGGAACATCACCCTCAAAGATTCTGAGTCAGACATCTGCAATGGGGCCTAGGAATATGTATTTGCAACAAGCTCTCCAGGTAGTTCAGAGGCAGGTGGTATAAGAACCATGCTTTGAGAGACCATGGCTTGCTCTGAACTTTATCTGTGATATTTCAAGAGCAAAAGGTTGGGAAAAGTATCTTGGCCTTCATTTGAAGGCTACTTACAAAAACAAAGAAACAAAATCTGAGATCAGATGGGAAATGCTTCTGAGCAATTAGCCACAGAGAAACATATATCAGATGACATGAAAGAAACCCTCCATGAAACACGACAAGGGTGCAGGGTGGCACAACATAACACAGAACTTGCTGCTGGAGGGCACAGGGGAGTACCCCTCTCTGCCATGGCCCAGTTGGTTTTCCAACCAGGAAACACCAGGCAAAACAAGCCATCCTCATGGTAGAATTGGGGCATAGTACTCCCAGGAAAGGCCACTCCACAAACATCAAAATATAGCTGCTAGTACTCAAAGTCAACCAGGCTCATGGCAAAAGGACCAGCACAGCAGCCAGCCCTGGCCTCCTACCTGACTGGAACACGTATCGTGCCAAGCCCTGCATTAACTCTGCGGGCCATGTTGGTGGGGCAGACTCCCCAGTTTCTCTCTTCAGACGAAAGGTCAACTCAAAGCCAAAACCACTAGGTCCATCTGTTCCTGTAAACCTGAAAGACATAAAAAGCAAGTGTTTTAAGCTCAATTACCTTAGGAAAAACACTCTCTTGAAAGTCTAAAGTTCTCCCCCTTTTTATGGTGGCCTCAGTATCCAAATCCTCCATTCAGAGGAGTATCCCAGGATGTGAGCCTTGTGGGGAGGGAACCTGAGAAGCCCATAAGGAACCAGAACTCTTGCCTCATCCTCCTGCCAGCTGCGGGTATGTGGATGTGACCTTGGCCTGGCCAAATTCTACTGCTGGCACTCTGAATTATGAGTTCCAAATTTTGTGGCTCTGGAACATTCCTTCCTGGATGATTGAGGCAACACTGCTGAAAATCTCCCTTGTTCATGCTCCTTATTCCTTCAAGCTATTAATAGGCATCTACTTTGTTTGCTAAGGATACATGTCCTGTGAGCCACAAGGCTATATGCTCTGTGATATGGTTTGGCTCTGTGTCCCCACCCAAATCTCATCTTGAATTGTAATCCCCATAGTCTCCACGTGTAAAGGGAGGAACCAGGTGGGAGATAACTGGATCACAGGGGTGGTTTCCTCCACAGTGTTCTTGTCATAGTGAGTGAGTTCTCACAAGATCTGATGGGTTTATAGGGCAGTTTTCTCTGCTTTTGCCCACTCTCTTGTGCCTGCCACCCTCTTCTCCTTCCACCAACATTGTAAGTTTCCTGAGGTCTTCCCAGTCATGTGGAACTGTGAGTCAATTAAACCTATTTTCCTTTATAAATTACCCAATCTCAGGTATGTCTTTATATCAGTGTGAGAATGGATTAATACACTCTGTGAGGATGAGACCCTTTCTCCACTCCCACCTCCACTCTGCCCACAAGGGTACAACCTTGGGTGGCACTGGCTGGCCTCCAGACTCAGCATTTGTGGACAGGTCCTAAGGCAGATTCCAAATACTGGGTGGGCCCATATTCTTCCTGAAACTCAGCACCCAACACACACTCCTCAATTAGCACAAGCTCTTCCTGAAACCTGGCACTCCACATGTACTCTTCAATTGCTGGAACCCTAGAGATGCATGGGTTGCCCTCCCTTCCCATCCCTCAGTGACCCAGAATAATGAGGATGACTGCTTCTGTGGCCACAATTCATTAAAGTGACAATGAGAGAAAGCAGGAATCCCTGCCTCCCTGTTTGTAGGAAACACTCAGGAGCCCCAAGTCTCAGGGAAGTCCCTGAAAGGGACTTCCATCAGAGAGGGCAGTGATGTGGATCAGAGAGCTGGGCCTGGCTGGTGGGGTGCCACACCTCCCCAGGTAAGGGAAGCATCCAGGGAGAGCTACATGAGGCTTGCCAGCATGGGAAGGTTAAAATTAAAATACATTCATGATATAATTTTCAGTAATTATATCTTGTACAAACATGAGCCACAATGATTATACACCTGTAAACTCGTCAGCATACAAACACAAACCATAAACTAAGATGACAGCCAACCAAGCTCCTGAAACAGGTGATCAGAGGTGAGAATTCTCAAGGGCTGATGATGCAGTCAATGCCCAACCCTAGAATTCCACGTGGCATCTTTTCTTCATCATGATCATCATCACCCCGAGAGGCAAGGCCAGGAGATGGGATAGAAAGAGATTCCCAAGTCTCAGAAGCTGACATCTGTCCTAGTTTTCTGTGCCTGGGTGAACCCAGACCTCCTGCACTTTGCAGGGAAAGATCACCTCTGAGAAGCTAAGTTCTCCAATGGACTGAAAAGGTATCATTAGAAACCATCATGATCAAACTCTATGTATGTATGTATCTATCTATCTATCTCTCTATCTCTCTATCATCTATGTATTTTTTTGAGACAGGGTCTCGCTCTGTTACTCAGGCTGGAGTGCAGTGGCGTGATCTTCAGCTCACTGCATGTGTGAACTCCTGGGGGCTCAAGCGATCCTCTTGTCTCAGCCTCCCGAGTAGCTGGCACATCATGGCACCTAGCACCTGGCTAATTTCTTTCTTTTTTTTTAGTAGAGATAAAGTCTCCCTATGTTGCCCAGACTGGTTTCAAATTCCTGGGCTCAAGCAATCCTTTGGCCTCAGCCTCTCAAAGTATTGGGATTACAGATATGAGCCACCATGCCCAGCCTCTCTTTCTTTCTCTCTTTCTTTCTCTCTCTCTCTCCCCCCCGCCTCTCTCTCTTTCTTTCCGAGACAGCATCTTGCTCTATACAATGGTGTGAACATGGCTCACTGTAGCCTTGACCTCCCGGTCTTAGGCAATCCTTCCACCTCAACCTCCCAAGTAGCTGGAACCACAGGTGTGCACCACCATGTCCAGCTAATTTTTAAAACTTTTGTAGAGACAGGTCTCAACACATTGCCTAGGCTAGTCCTTGAACTCCCAGGCTCAAGTAATCCTCCCGCCTTGGCCTCCCAAAGTGCTAGGAACACAGGCAAGAGCCACAGCACCTGGCCCAACTATGTTTAAATGAAGTATCCACGGTTTCATTTTCCCCAGGTATCTATAGCAATGTGGGAAACAGAATCCATTTTGAGGGTACACACGTGGAATTTTGGAGACCAGGCCAGCAGAAGATGCTTGGACAACACATTGTAAGCTATTTTATTTCCTTGCTGAATTACCCTGTTTGAGGTCAATTCAGTGCAGGCAGGCTGAGGGAACAGCTATCAAACTGAAGTTGGAAGAGCTACCTCCCTGGAGCTGCAGGTTTGGGAGGGGTGTGAAAACATGGAGTAATGCAAGATTGACTAGAGTTAAAACTCTGTAAAGGGAGATGGGTCAGTAGGGCAAAGGGAAGATTTTAAGCAGCCACCAATTAGAGGCAGCTTTGTAAAATGTATTAGACTATTACTCCAGGGCTTTCATCTTGGGCCAAGAAACGTACATGATTTCTAACCACAAAAACTTGAGAAACAGACTAAAAGAAACTTGTTCCTCTTCGGCTGCACAATGGGAAGAACCCTCAAATGCAGAGAAAGAAATCACTGGATCAGATGCATCCACACAGCACCACTTCACTAAGGAGGGTCCGTGCACACGCGCCTAGAGGTGTGCATGCGTGCACACGCATGTGTCCACCATCTGCCTCCACGCAGGGTGCTTTCTGGGCCAGTTCTGTGGTGGGCAGGCCAGCCCTTACTTGGCTGGGTGGGAGGGACAGGCCCGGCCAGATGGTCTCCACCTGCATTTGATTACCACCCACGGGCTGGCTGGACGCAACCTCTAAACCCTGAAACATGAGTTTGGAATGGCCCAGCCTCAGGATAAACACACGACCTGAAGTCTGTCAGAAGTTCTCTTTTTCAAAGCAGGCTGCCCAAGCAATCACCAAGTGACAAGGTCATTCCATCTTTAAAGTCTCCTGGAGGGGCCTGGCTTGGTCTGGACTTCCTCACATGAGGGCTTCTCTAGCCAAAGTGGTTTTGTCTGAACAGAGAATGAAGCCCCTCCTAGGGAGCGGCTGTCTCTCACATCTTCCAAGAAAGGAAAGTATAAGGGGAAATTGGCATGTGCTGCAGAAGGTGGGATCTGGGTCAGAGCAAAGCATTTTTCTAACACAGAAGTCTACTAAAATACTGGCTGGTGGTAACTGGGGCCAGTGGAATTTCTTCCTATAGAAATTAAAGAAAGAAAGAAAAAAATTCTTCCCAGGCTGGCAGAGTGGGGGTAAGGGGTTCTAACTGTCTTATTGCAAAAGGAAGGATGAGATAAGACTCTCAAGATTGTTTCCTGCTCAAGAACCCTGGATCCTGTTCACGGGGGTGTCCGGGGGAAGGCTGGCTTTGTCCCAGCAGTTTGGCAAGTCTGCCTGATGGCTGTGCCAGCCCCAAGAGTAACATCAAACCAAAGACAAGAACACATGCCTTGAATCCTAGACACACAACAGCCTGACCATCAGAACTCACCCAAAGGTCTCCCCCAGAGTACCTCACTAAGAAGGTATCAGTGAGCATCCAAGAGCCCAAAATGACTGCTGAAAGTCAGCATCTCATGCTCAACACCATTATTTATTTATATGTGAGACCGAGCCTCACTCTGTCTCCCAGGCTGGAGTGCAGTGGTGCGATCACAGCTCACTGCAGCCTCTGCCTCCTGGGCTCAAGTGATTCTCCTGCCTCAGCCTCCTGAGTAGCTGGGATTACAGGTGTGTGCCACCACACCCAGCTGACTTTTGTATTTTTAGTAGAGACAGGGTTTCATTATGTTGCCCAGGCTGGTCTCGAACTTCTGACCTCAGATGATCTGCCCGCCTCTACCTCTCAAAGTGCTGGGATTACAGGCGTGAGCCACTGTGCCCAGCCCATTATTTATTACTAAGGAAATGCAAATCAAAACCACAGTGAGCTACTGCCCCTCCACACCCTCTATCATAACTAAGAGATAGTAAGTGTTAGAGAGGACGTGGAGAAATAGGAATACTTGCACATCATTAGGGGGAATATAAAATGATGGAGCTACTTTGGAAAAAGAGTTTGGCAGTTCCTAAAAAAGTTAAACAGAGTCACCATATGATCCAGCAATTCCACTCCTAAGTATATGCCCAAGAGAACTGAAAACCTGGCTGGATGCAGTGGCTCATGCCTGTAATACCAGCACTTTGGGGGACCGAGGTGGATGGACCACTTGAGCCGAGGAGTTTGAGGCCACCTTAGGCAACATGGCCAAACCCCGTTTCTACAAAAAAAAAAAAAAAAAAAAATACAAAAATTAGCCAGGCATGGTGGCTCACACCTGTAGTCCCAGCTACCCAGGGTGGGGGTGCTGAGGCAGTGGGAAAATCATCTGAGCCGAGGGAGGTCAAGGCAGCAGTGAGCCTTGATGGTGCCACTGCACTCCACCCTGGGTGACAGAGTAAGACCTTGTCTAAAAAAAAAAAGAAAAAAGAAAACCTGTTCACATGAAAACGTATACATCAATGTTCATAGTAGCATTATTCATAGTAGCCAAAAAGTAGAAACAACCCAAATGTCCATCAACTGAGGAATGGATAAACAAAATATGGTATACCTGTACAATGAAATATAACTTGGAAATAAAAAAGAATGAAGTATGCATACGCTATAACATGGATGACCTTGAAAACATCATGCTAAGTGAAAGAAGCCAGATACAAAAGACTACCTATTGTATGATTCTATTTTTATGAAATGTCCATAATAGACAAATCTATAGAGACAGAAAATAGGTTGGTGGTTGCCAGAAACTAGGGTGAGGACAGAATGGGGAGTGACTGCTGATGGGTACAGAATTTCTTTTTGGGATGATGGAAATTCTTTTTTGTTGTTGTTGTTTTTGAAACAGAGTCTCACTCCGTTGCCCAGGCTGGAGTGCAGTGGCACAATCTTGGCTCACTGCAACCTCTGCCTCCTGGGTTCAAGCGATTCTCCTGCCTCAGCCTCCCAAGTAGTTGGGACTACAGGCGCGTGCCACCACACCATTAATTTTTGTATTTTTACTAGAAATAGGGTTTCACCATGTTGGCCAGGTTGGTCTCAAACTCCTGATCTCAAGTGATCTGCCCGTCTCGGCCTCCCAAAGTGCTGGGATTATAGGCGTCAGCCACCGTGCCTGGCCTGGGAGATGGAAATGTTCTGGAATTAGATAATGTACTGGTTGTGTAACCTTATAAATATACTTAAAAACCAATGAATTACACACTTTAACAGGGTGAATTTCATGGTATATGATTTATTTTTAAAAAGCTGGCATCTCAGGTATACCTGATGTCATATCGTTTAACTCTCTATAACTCTAGGACTCAGCCATTGTTATACTCATTTAACAAACAAATGAGAAACACTGATGGAGTTTGTGTAATAGTCCATAAATCACAGAACAAGTGATAGAGCTAGAACTTGAAGTCTGTATAACTCCAAAGCTCATCTTTTTTTTGTGAGACAGGGTCTCACTCTGCTGCCCAGGCTGGAGTATAGCTGCACAATCAGGGCTCATCACAGCCATGACCTCCTGGGTTCAAGAGATCCTCTCACCTCAGCCTCCCGAGTAGCTGAAATTACAAGTGTGTGCCTAATTAATCTATTTTTGCCTAATTAAGTCTATCTTCTTATGGCTGTGTGACCAGAGGCAAGCTATTTAACCTCTTCTGTGTGTCAGTTTCCTCATCTATAAAATGGGGATAATAACAGTAACTGTTTCATAGAGTTGTTATTGGGGATTAAACATTTGGAAACAGTACTCAGAACACTATAAGCATTATATCACTTACATTAAGTGAAGAAAGCCAGTCACAAAAGACCATATGTTGTATGATTTTATTTATATTACAGGAAAAATTGTATAATTCGTAATATATAATATAAATTATACTTACATCAAATGTCCAGAATGGACAAATCTATGGGGAAAGTGGATTAATGGTTGCCTAGGACTGGGGTAGTGGGGATGAATTGGGAGTAACTGCTAATGAATATGGATGGAGTTTCTTTTCAGGGTAAAGAAAAAGTTCTAAAATTAGATTGTAGTGAAGGTTACATAACTATAAATATGCAAAAAACCATGAAAGCGTACATTTTAAATGGGTGAACTGTATGCTACATTAATTATATCAATAAATGCTTTATTCATTTATTTTTTAATTTGGAAAAAACTCAAAAACCTGATAGAAAAAATTCACAAACGAGATATACAGATATCCCTTAAGCATAAGACAAGATGTTTGACCTCACACATAATAAAAGAAATGCAAATGAAAACAATGAGATACCATTCTCACCTATCAGATTGGCAAAAATTAGTAAGTATGACATCATATTCTGTTGCTGAGGTTGTGGGGGAAGAGACACTCTCATATGTTGCCGGTATGGATATAAATTAGTACAACTTATATGGAGGAGAATTAGGCAGTACCTAATAAAACTACGTATAGGTTTATACCTTTGGATCCAGCAATCCCACTTCTAAGAACTTATAATTGCAAAATACTGGAAATCACCTAAATGCCCATTTATAGGAGAATGACTCAAAGTGCTGTAAGAAAATGCTGCTGTAAGAAAGAATGAAGAACTCTACAAATTGGTATAAACACTGTTAGGCGAAAAAAGCAAAAGAGGCTGGGCACGGTGGTTCATGCCTGTAATTCCAGCACTTTGGGAGGCCAAAGCCGGTAGATTGCTTGAGCCCAGGAATTCGACACCAGGCTGGGCAACATGGCGAAGCCTTGCCTCCACAAAAAGTACAAAAATTAGCTGGGCATGGTGGCACGTGCCTGTAGTCCCAGCTACTCAGGAGGCTAAGGCAGGAGGATTGCTTGAATCCAGGAAGCAGAAGGTACAGTGAGCTGTGATTACGCCACTGCACTCCAGCCTGGGTGACAGAGGGAGACTCAGTCTCAAAAAAAAAAAAAAAAGAGCAAAAGGATATTATAGTATGTTTTTGAGGAAGAAAGAAAGGAAGATAGGAGCCAGGCATGGTGGCTGACATCTGTAATCCCAGAACTTTGGGAGGCCAAAGCAGGTGGATCACCTGAGTTCAGGAGTTCAAGACCAGCCTGGCCAACATGATGAAACCCCATCTCTACTTAAAAAAAAATATATATATATATAGGCCGGGCGCAGTGGCTCACATCTGTAATCCCAGCACTTTGGGAGGCCGAGGTGGGCGGATCATGAGGTCAGGAGTTCAAGACCTGCCTGACCAACATGGAGAAACCCTGTCTCTACTAAAAATACAAAAACTAGCTGGGAGTGGTGGCGTGCACCTGTAATCCCAGCTACTCAGGAGGCTGAGGCAGGAGAATCGCTTGAATCCGGGAGGCAGAGGTGGCAGTGAGCCGAGATCACGCCACTGCACTCCAGCCCAGGCAACAGAGTGAGACTCCATCTCAAAAAAAAAAACGCCAAGGTGGGTGGATCACTTGAGGTCGGGAGTTCAAGTCCAGCCTGACCAACATGGAGAAACCCCATCTCTACCAAAAATACAAAATTAGTCGGGCATGGTGGCGCATGCCTGTAATCTCAGCTACTCGGGAGACTGAGGCAGGAGAACTGCTTGAACCCAGGAGGCAGAGGTTGCAGTGAGCCAAGATCGCACCATCATTGCCCTCCAGCCTGGGCAACAAGAGCGAAACTCTGTCTCAAAAAAAAAAAAAAAAAAAAAAATTAGCCGGGCATGGCGGTGTACACCTGCAATCCCAGCTGCTAGGGAAGCTGAGGCAGGAGAATTGTTTGAACCTGGGAGGTGGAGGTTGCGGTGAGCCGAGATCACACCATTATACTCCAGCTTGGGCACCAAGAGCAAAACTGTCTCAAAAGGAAAAAAAAAAAAAAAAAAAAAAAAGCCGGGCGCGGTGGCTCACGCCTGCAATCCTAGCACTTTGGGAGGCCGAGGCAGGCAGATCACCTGAGGTCAGGAGTTGGAGACCAGCCTGGCCAACATGGTGAAACCTCGTCTCTACTAAAAATACAAAAATTTGCCAGGCGTGGTGGCACATGCCTGTAGTTCCAGCTACTAGGGAGGCTGAGGCAGGGGAATCGCTTGAACCCAGAAGGCAGAGGTTGCAGTGAGCCGAGATCGCACCACTGCACTCCAGCCTGGGTGACAGAGCGAGACTCCATCTCAAAAAAAAAGAAAGAAAGAAAGAAAGAAAGAAAAGTAGGAAAATATACATTACCTACTCATTTCTGTAGAAAGCCATGTGGGAAGGATAAACCAAAAATGAATGAGATGGATTCTTACATACAGTAGGTGGGAAGGCGGTAGAAAGCACTGCAGGGTGTGGAGGTGGGTAACATTTATTTGAATATACCTTTTTGTATAGTTCTCACTTTTGGTTTTGGATCCGTGATAATGCTTTCACATACTCAAAATAAATGAAACAGAATCAATGAGGAGGGAGAAAATGCTAAAATATAATACAAACAGAAATTAATGAACCTAACAGTATTTCAAATCAACCATATAACCACACTGAAAGGGGGAAGAAAAGATATAACCCAAGTAACTTTTTTTTTTCGAGATGGAGTCTTGCTCTGTCACCCAGTCTGGAGTGCAATGGCGCGATCTCTGATCACTGCAACCTCCGCCTCCCGGGTTCAAGTGATTCACCTGCCTCAGCCTCCCGAGTAGCTGGGATTACAGGCGCACACCATCACGGCCAGCTAATTTTTGTATTTTTAGTAGAGACAGGGTTTCACCATGTTGGCCAGGCTGGTCTCGAGCTCCTGACCTCAAGTGATCCACCCACCTTGGCCTCCCAGAGCGCTAGGATTGTAGGTGTGAGCCACTGTGCCTGGTCTGAAATATATATATATATATATTTTAAAGGCAGGCAGGAATGAATGCCACGGGTATAGTATTTATTTAGTTAGTTAGTTATTATTTTTTGAGACAGAGTCTTGCTCTGTTGCCCAGGCTGGAGTGCAGTGGTGTGATCTTGGCTCACTGCAACTTCTGCCTCCCAGGTTCAAGTGATTCTCCTGCCTCAGCCTCCTGAGCAGCTGGGACTACAGGTGTGCACCAACACACCTGGCTAATTTTTGTATTTTTGGTAGAGACGGGGTTTCACCATGTTGGCCAGGCTGGTCTTGAACTACTGACCTCAAGTGATCCACCCACTTGGGCCTCCCAAAGTGCTGGGATTACAGGCATGAGTCACTGCACCAGGCCCCCATAGGTATAGCTTTAGAATTGGAGGTATCAGTATGAATTCATGGTATTTAAGAGAGAAACCAATATGGAAATAGAGTGGTATGTGTATATGTGCATGTGTGTTTCCTAGTTCTGGCCACTGGGAGCAGTGACACTCCAAGAGCAATGATAATACCTAGCCTCCGGATCATGGCTTCTATATACCATTCTCCACTAAATAAAACCAGGGCTTCCTGGATAAATGGCTGATTCCTGGGCTGGCAAAGTACAAAATGATTCTGAAATTTCCTACTGTGCCAGAAAGTAAGGAAGTGGTTCAGAGAATGATGGGAACATGCCAAAAGTAGAGAGAAGCCAAACTCAAGGTTCTCACTGGCCAAATCAACAACAATCTGAGCATTAAATTAAAGCATCCTAACAAATTATAATCTATTAATTAAAATAAAAATCTATGAGTCCACACTGATTGTAATGGACCTAGTGACACTGGCTCTAAAGATTTTGGACTTGCCAGCATCTGTAATCGCATGAGCTAATTCTTTCTCCTAAATCTCTTTATAGATTTGTATTTATATTATGTGTATAGATAATATATAGATATGTGGATGTGCATCTCCAATTGTTTTTCCTAGAGAGCCCTAATACATTGATATAAATAAATGAATAAGTAAGTAAATATGGAGAAGACTCTTCCTTACAGTAAAATCTCAATATCAATGAATGAATGTAGAAACAATTATCAAATGAGAAGTCACCATTTGACAACTATTGTAATAATAATTCAGGCAAGAATCATCAACGGGTGGTAAAAATAGTGGGTAAAAAATCTGATGAGAAACAAGATACTGACATAGCCTCAAAATGCCTTCCCACAAGTTACTTATTAATTATTAATGGAAAAGCAGTAACTATACAGAAGAGAAACCTAGCAGACACCACCTTAACCAAACAATCAAAGTAATTAGACATCATCAACAGTAATTAGACAAATCAACATCAAGTGCCTCCTGATATGATCACTAAGAAGGGCACAACATGTCTGTGATATTCCTATGGAGAAATACATACACTGATCCTACGCATGAGGAAACATCAGATAAATCCAAATTGAAGGACATTCTATAAAATAACTGACCTGTACTCTTCAAAAGGTCATGAAAAACAGAAAGATTGAGGAAACATTTGAAGGCATCTAAGAGATGTGACAATTAAGTTACTAAAAAAGACTCTGGAGTCACTGAAGCAGGGTGACCAACTTGTCTTGTTTGCCCAGGACTTTTCTGGCTTTAGAACTGAAAGCCCCACATACCAGGAAAAGCCCAGGCAAATGGGGACAGTTGGTCAACCGATCCTGAAGTGTCCACTGTCTGACCCGCACAAAGCAAAACACTGCCACACTTAAAAAGCACTGAATATGCATCAAGAGCCACCAAAATGTCAGCAGTGCCAGAGCACAGTCTCTGAAGCCAGGCTGCCTATGCCCAAATCCTAGCTCTGCCACCCTTCCTGGCTGTGTGACCCTTGGCAAATCACTTAGCCTCTCTGTACCTCAGTTTCTTCATCTGTAAAATGTAGATAAGAAGAGTTTACTTCTCTTCTTATCTACATTTCACTTATATACCTTCTCACTTCTAATGTAAACTATGAACTTTGGGTGGTGATGATGTGTCAACGTAGGTTCACTGACTGTAACAAATGTACCAATCTGGGTAAGGATGTTGACAGCGGGAGAGGCTGCATACATGTGTGTGTGTGCATGCATGCGTGTGGTAAGCAGAGGGTGTGTGGTAGCTCTCTGTACTTTCTGCTCAATTTTGCTGAGAACCTAAAACGGCTCTAAAAAAGTCTTTTTTCAAAAACGAAGATAATTGTAGTTTCCATATGGTAGCTACTAAAATGAGTTAACATATAATATAGAAAACACTTAGAACAGCACCTGGAACACAGTAGATCTTAGTGTCAGTGATTACTTACAGTAGCAGTTTCCAGTTCTGCTAATTTACCTAAGGGAATAATCTTACATTTGGAAAAAAAAAAGCCTCTTGCATAAGTATATTCAGTAGTATTTATAAGAATAAAAAATCTAGAAACAATCTAACTGTTCTACAAGTAGCGGTATTATATGAGTTCTGGCACATTATGTGGTAGGACATTACAAGTCACTAAAAACAATGGTTCTGAAAGCAGAGGGACTAATCTTTGAGAGGTGAGGGGTTCTCTTTCCACCTCTTACTGGTAAAGAGGAACAGGAACTTTACATCAGAACCCCACTCTATAGCCTCTAATGTTTTCTGTTCACCTATTATTCACTATAGCATAAAAATAAACTCCTTTCACAATGGTCATGAAATTAGGACCCTTACACATTGCTGGTGGAAATGTAAGATGATACAGCTGCTATGGAAAACAGTATGGCGGTTCCTCAAAAATTAAACATAGAATTGCCACATGATCCAGCAATTCTACTTCCAGGTATATATCCAAAAGAACTGAAAGCAGGGTCTTGAATAGAAATTTGTATACTGATGTTCAGAGTAGCATTATTAGCAATAGTCAAAAGGTAGAAGCAACCCAAGAGTCAGTCAATAGATGGATGGACAAGCCAAATTGGTATACACATATAATGGAATATTAGCCTTTAAAAAGGAAGAAAATTCTGACATCTGCTACAACATGGATGAACCCTGAAGACATTATGCTAAGTGAAATAAGCCAGGCACAAAGGGACAAATGTCATATGATTCCACTTATATGAAGTACCCAGAGTAGTCACATTCATAGAGACAGAAATAAGATGGTGGTTGCCAGGGTTTGGAGGAAGTGAGAAGGGGGAGTTATTGTTTAAGGGGTACAGAGTGTTTCTGAAAGTGGAAGGTGGTTATGGTTGCACAACAAGGTAAATGTACTTAATTCCACTGAACTGTAAATCTAAAAATGGTTAAAATGGTAAATTTTGGGCTGGGTGCAGTGGATCATGCCTATAATCCCAGCACTATAGGAGTCCAAGGTGGGAGGACTGCTTGAGCCCAGGAGTCTGCGACCAACCTGGGCAACATAAGGACATCCCATCTCTACAAGCAATTTAAAAATTAGCTGGCCATGGTGGTGTGCAGCTGTGGTCCCAGCTACTCGGAGTCTGTAGCAGAAGAATCACTGAGTCTGGGAGGTCCAGGCTGCAGTAAGTTGTGGCTGCACCACTGCACTGCAGCCTGAGTGACAGAGCAAGACCTTGACTCAAAAAAAAAAAAAAAAAAAAAGGTAAATTTAAATTATGTAGGCTGGGTGCAGTGGCTCATGCCTGTAATCCCAGCACTTTGAGAGACCAACGCGGGCAGATCACCTGAGGTCAGGAATTCAAGACCAGCCTGGCCAACACAGTGAAACCCTCTCTCTGCTAAAAATACAAAAATTAGCTGGGTTTGGTGGCACATGCCTGCAGTCCCAGCTATTCGGGAGGCTGAGGCAGGAGGATCAGTGGAGCCCAGGAGGCAGAAGTTGCCGTGAGCTAAGATCACACCACTGCACTCTAGCCTGGGCAACAGAGTAAGACTCCATCTCAAAAAGTATAATAATTTAAGAAAAAGATAAGTTATGTACATTATGCCACAAATAAGTAGTTATGAAAAAACACAAAACAAAATTCAACATAAAGTATGATTCAAAATGTTGATGTAAATACGAAATTTTAAATGTGAGTAAAATATATAAGGGAAAAAGAAAATGCAGGCCAGGCATGGTGGCTCACGCCTGAAATCTCAACACTTTGGGAGGCCGAGGCAGGTGGATCACGAGGTCAAGAGATCGAGACCATCCTGGCCAACATGGTGAAACCCTGTCTCTACTAAAAATACAAAAATTAGCCAGGTGTAGTGGCAGGCGCCTGTAGTCCCAGCTACTCGGGATGCTGAGGCAGGAGAATTGCTTGAACCCGGGAGGCGGAGGTTGCAGTGCGCCGAGATTGCACCACTGCACTCCAGCCTGGCAACAGAGTGAGGTTCTGTCTCAAAAAAAAAAAAAAAAAAAGCAATAAAATTATTATAGTGGCTACTACAGTATAATTTTTGTTTTTCAAACTTCTTTGTATTTTCCAAAATTTTCTACCATTTATAATCTCCTGGCCAGGCACAGTGGCTCACGCTCACGCCTGTAATCCCAGCACTTTGGGAGGCCGAGGCAGGTGGATCACCTGAGGTCAGGAGTTTCAGACCAGCCTGGCCAACATGGTGAAACCGTCTCCACTAAAAATACAAAATTACCGGGTGTGTTGGTGGGCGCCTGTAGTCCCAGCTACTTAGGAGGCTGAGACAGGAGAATCTCTTGAACCCAGGAAACAGAGGCTCTAGTGAGCTGAGATGGTGCCACTGCACTCTAACCGAAGCGAGACAGAGCAAGACTCTGTCTTAAAATCATCAACAACATCATCATCATCATCATCATCATCATCATCATCATCATCTCCAGCCTAGACTATAAACCCCACAAGGGCAGGGTTGTATCTTGGTCACTACTGTATCTGCAGGTCTAGCGTGCAAGGCTTCACATAGTCTGTTGCTAAGTGTTCATATGCATATGCCAAGGACATGGCAAGAGAGGCCCAAGGTCAGGCCCCTTCCTCTGGGGGTGGCCTGGATGCTTCCATTGGTCTTTGAAGCAAGGAATGCCAGGCCAGCCACGGTGGCTACTGACCCTGCAAAGGTACCAGGGTTAGGCATTATGGCTCAGTCTCAAGCCCAGTGATGGTATCAGAAGAAAGGGAAGAGGGGACCATGTGCCTCCGGAAACACATGGCATAGGAGGCCAGCCCAGTCCAACTCCAGAACCAGGGGTGATGTCACTTCTTCCCCTACAAAAGCTCTTATTTCTTTCTTTTTTCTTTCTTTTCTTTCTCTTTTTTTTTTTTTTGAGACGGAGTCTCACGCTGTCACCAGGTTGAAGTGCAGTGGTGCAATCTGGGCTCACTGCAACCTCCACCTCCCAGGTTCAAGAGATTCTCCTGCTTCAGCCTCCTGAGTAGCTGGGACTACAGGCGTGTGCCACCATGCCCGGCTCATTTTTTGTATTTTTAGTAGAGACGAGGTTTCTCCATGTTGGCCAGGATGGTCTCGAACTCCAGACCTCATGATCCGCCTGCCTCAGCCTCCCAGAGTGTTGGGATTACAGGCGTGAGCCACCGCGCCCGGCCCTGTTGTCTCTTTCTTTCCCCCTTCCTCTTCCCCTTCCTCCTGGTCCCAGGCTGGATGGAGAACTGGGCAGACCCATCCTTTATCCTGGGGTTAGTCCTCCTTTCCAACCAGCCCTTCTCCTTGGGAATCAGGCTGAGTTCTCACCTTACTGGGCTAGCTATTCCCTCCAGAAGAATGGACCTAGATCCTGTGCAGGGGGTAGGGGGTGGAGGTGGGCATGGGTGGTATAGACCTGCAGACCTTTTCCTTCAGTGGCCTCCCTCTAAGTGCACACACATACACATCTCCCATGCATGTCTCCAACAGGCATAGGGACAAGCCCAGCCTTAGGCCCAGCTGGACCCAGAGACTATAGAGAAACCTAAACCGCAGACCTCCTGTTGCTCTAGGGCTTTACAGAGGCTGCCTGCAGCTTCTCTACAATCTCTCTGTATCCCAGGGCAATGCCAAGCAAGTCCAAGGACCACTCACCCAAACTCCAGCACATGCTTGGAATGCCAGCTGCCTTTCCTATTTGTACCGTTTCCTGTCAATCTGCTCTAAGACCTTCAGTGCTGGCCCAAGCCCCATGATGCCCCAGGACTAGCCACTGCTCTGCCCCTTACACCTACGCAGAGGATGAACGACAGTCTGGCGAAGGGAGGCCGTCATTGGAAACCTCTTCACTAGGAAAGCAGAACGTGAACATTTCCCCTTGCGTGGCCTCCGCCTGTCCCCTAGGGGACTTCCTAGGTGGGGAAAGAGGGACAAAGTCAGAGTTCCACTTTCTTTTTTTTTGAGACAGAGTCTCGCTCTGTAGCCCAGGCCAGAGTGCAGTGGCACGATCTTGGCTCACCACAAGCTCCGCTTCCCGGGTTCACGCCATTCTCCTGCCTCCGCCTCCCAAGTAGCTGGGACTATAGGCACCTGCCACCACACCGGCTTATTTTTTGTATTTTTAGTAGAGACGGGGTTTCACTGTGTTAGCCAGGGTGGTCTCGATCTCCTGACCTAGTGATCCACCCGCCTCAGCCTCCCAAAGTGCTGGGATTACAGGCGTGAGCCACCGCGCCTGGCCCAGAGTTCCACTTTCTCCAGGACTCAGTCTCCGCCCCTCCTCACCACACGGTCTCCTTCAGCAACCTCATGAAATGGCTTCAGCCACCACACCTCTGTTGAGGATTCCCAAATCTATACCCAAGCAAAGAACCAGACCTAGATACTTCTAGTTCAGTCTACACAAATCCAAACTCAGTATCTTACCAAACCTGATCTTTCCATCTTTACCTAGCTTGAAGAAGAGCACCACTGTGGTAGCCTGAATAAATGTTCCCTAATGCCCACATTTGAATCCCTGGAACTTGTGATATGCTACCTTAAATGGCAAAAGGGACTTTGCAAATGTAATTCAGTTAGGGATCTTGAGATGGGGATGATCTTACAGTGAATTACCTCGGTGGGCTCAATCTAATCCATGAATCCTTAATGAAAGAGACAGGTAAAAGATCAGAGAGATGTGACGTGAGAATTTGTCTGTTGTTGCTCACTTTGAAGATGGAGGGAGTGGCCGTGAGCTAAGGAATGGACATGGCCTCTAGAAGCTGGAAACAGCAAGGAAACGAATTCTCCCTCAGGCACTTTGCTTTTTTTCAAGACAGGGTCTTGCTCTGTTGCCCAGGCTGCAGTGCAGTGGCATGATCACGGCTCACTGTTGCCTCAGCCTCTTGGGCTCAGGTGATCCTCTCACCTCAACCTCCCAAATAGCTGGGACCACAAGCACAGGCCACCATGCTTGGCTAATTTTTTTTTTTTTTTTGTAGAGATGGGGTTCCACCATGTTGCCCAGGCTGGTCCCGAACTCCTGGGCTCAAGCCATCCTCCTGCCTCAGCCTCCCAAGGTGCTGGGATTACAGGTGTGAGCCACCGCACCCAGCCTGGCACCTTGATTTTGACCCAGTGAGATACATGTTAGACTTCTGACCTCCAGAATTATAACACAATAAGTGTATATTGTTCCAAGACACTAATTTTGTGGTAATTTTTTATGGCAGCAATAGGAACTAAAAAATCCACCAGGCCAGAATCCCAAGAGTTATCCTCCAGTCCTCCCTCTCCCCATGTGCAGCTGGTCAGACAGTCAGTGAGTTCTGGCAACTCTGCCCCCTCCCTTCTCAGTGGCCCTCAATCTGTCCTCTTCTCTCCATCTCAACTGCCACACCATGCGTTAGCCTTCTGCATCCTTCACTTGGGTGGCCAACAACCTCTTCCTCACTGATCTCCTGCCTCCTGCTGTTCAGTGTTGTTCCCAAAATGGAAACGATACACCTTTCTCCTGCTTAAAAATCCTCCAAAGCCCATCCCTATCCCCAATCTGCAGAACAAAGTCCAGACTTCTCAGTAAGTCTCACTAGGCCACCGTGAAACAGGTCCTATACCTCCTCTGCCTTATACTCTAGGCCAAATGAATGGACTGGCAGATCTGTGGACACACTGATGACTCCCTTGCCTCCGAAACTCTGCGCAGGTGTTCTCTTCTTTGCCCTCTGCTCATCTTCAGGAAGGCTCAGGTGTCACCTTCTCTGAGTATCTTCTGTTTGCCCTTCCATTCCCCACTGTGCAAGACAGATCCCTGACAGCTCCAAGGAAAGGAATTCTGCCAACACAAACCTGAGGGAGCTGGGAAGCAGATCCTTCCCCACTGGAGCCCCAGATGAGGATGCAGCCCGCCTGACACTCTGACCACAGCCTTAGGAGGACCTAAGCATAGCACTCAGATGAGCTATTCCTGGACTCCTGGTGCAAAGGAGATGTGAGAGAACAAATGTGTGTTGTAAGCTGCTGATTTGCAGCAACAGAAAACCAGTATGTCCACCCTGCTCCCTGCCCTAGAGGGCTGGCCTGTGTGGGGCTCCTGGGCCCTCTGGCATCTAATTGGGTTAAGCCAGTGAAAGTTCTAACAGGAGCATGGTGGCTCACGCCTGCAATCCCAGCACTTTGGGTGGCAGAGATGGGAGAATCACTAGAGGGTCAGGAGTTCCAGACCAGCCTGGCCAGCATGGTGAAACCCTGTTTCTACCAAAAATAATAATAATAAAATAGCTGAGCATAGTAGCATGCACCTGTAATCCCAGCTACTCAGGAGGCCGAGGCAGGAGAATTGCTTGAACTCGGGAGGCAGAGGCTGCAGTGAGCCAAGATCATGCCACTATGCCACTGCACTCCAGCCTGGGCAACAGAGCAAGACTCTATCTCAAAAAAAAAAAAAGTTCTCACAGGAAATCAGCAGAAGGGAGGAGAGTGAGGCTAGAGTTCCCTCCCTTTGGGATTGCCCGAGGTGCTATGCCCCTTGATTGAAGGTCACTGCTAACAGTCACTCTCAAGAACACTCAACACAACTTTCTCCTCTAGGTTCTTGGATCCCACTCCCTCTTCTGGTCCCTTCAGCCTTAGGAGAGTGACAGCCAGGCCAACCACTAGCCCTGGGTTACATCACTATCCCCTATGCTATTCCTTTATAAATATACCTTCCTCCAATATCTTACTTTGAAGGCACCAATCCCTTATTTGGGACCCTGACCAAGAGAGGGCTCTCATCACTTCTTCCTTACCCCTGTGCAAACCTCCATCACAGGACTCTCCTTGCTGTATTGCAGCTGCCTATCTCTCCCATCAGGACAGGATTTACCCCTTTGTACACCCCACTGACTGGCACAGGAGTGCTCAGTGAAAGCAGCCGAACAAAGGAATGGGCATCAGCTCAACAAGAAAGGTGACCTGTCCAGCAAAGCCAGTTGGGACTACAAAGGCTGGGCGATGGGAGTAATGAGGCTGAACCAGTCCTGCAATTTTGAGCTTCTGATGTTGACTCTGGGGGTGCCTGGCCCCTTGGTTAAGACTCCAAGGCTCTCCAATTTTTGATCTGTCAGTTTACACAATTAAGAAATTACTATTTTTATTTTTTATTCTTTTAGAGATAAAGTCTCACTCTGTTGCCCAGGCTGGAGTGCAGTGGCATGATCGTGACTCACTGCTGCCTCAGCCTTCCAGGCTCAAGTGATCCTCCTGCCTCAGTCTCCTGAGTAGCTGGGACTACATGTGTGCACCACTACACCTGATTACATTTTTTTTTTTTTTTTTTTTTTGGTAGAAATGGGTTATGGGGTATTGCTATGTTGCCTGGACTGGTCTCAAACTTCTGGGCTCAAGCAATCCTCCTGACTCAGCCTCCCAAAGCGCTGGGACTACAGGTGTGAACCACCATGCACAGCCAAGAAACTACAATTTTCTTGATAATTACTATTATCATTTATTACAAAACCAGGAAAACCATATATAGTCCTCTATTTGACCACTGCTTTCTTGTTGGACATAAGGTTGCTTCCAAAGCTATGCCTTGGAAAATATTTTTGTGCATATTACCTCGTTTCCTTCCCATATTTGGGTTATTTCCTTGGGATTAAGAGTCACAGAAGGCCAGACATGGTGGCTCACACCTGTAATCCCAGTACTTTGGGAGGCCGAGGCAGTAGGATTGCTTTAGCCCAGGAGTTCAAGACCAGTCTGGGCAACATAGTGAGACCCCATCTCTATAAAAAATTTAAAAATTAACCAAGCATGGTGGCACAAACTTGAAGTCCTATCTACTCAAGAGGCTGAGGCATGAGGACCACTTGAGCCCAGGAGTTTGAGGCTGTAGTGAGCTATGACTGTGCCACTGCACTCAGGCTGGGCAACAGAGTGAGTCCCTGTCTCCATTAAAAAAAAAAAAAAAAAAAAAGATTTAAAATAGTGGACAAAGGTAAAGAGAAACTAAATGCCAGCCCAAGGTTATGGGCTGAAGGACTTAGGCAGAGTGTTGAGCCTGGCTTAGAGACAGGGAAGTTGGGAAGTGAGGAAGGCAGGTGTCAGACATTCTTAGTCTCACGATCTTTGGACCCTTTGGAGGTCTCTGGGTGGACTTAGGTGGAAACTGCATGAAATTATTAACATATTACTCCAGCATCCCAATAAGATGCCAGAGAGGAGCCCAGCAAAGTGGACGAGAATACACGCTGTGGAAGCAACTGAGCCCATCAAACCCCAGCTCCACCTTTCTCTAGCTGACTGGTGGGCAAGTTAACTTCCATGTGTGCAAGGCTCCTCATCTGTAAAACTGGGAGAAGAACACTCATCTCATAGGGTGGGAGGTTTTAGTGTGACAGCACAGTGTCTGGCACCTAGCAAGTGCCCTTCCACGGCAGTTAGTGTGCAACTTTCCTTTTTCTTTTCTTTTTTTTTTTTTGAGACGGAGTCTCACTCTGTCGCTAGGCTGGAGTGCAGTGGCGCGATCTCGGCTCACTGCAACCTCTGCCTCCCGGGTTCAAGCGATTCTCCTGCCTCAGCCTCCCGAGTAGCTGGGACTATAGGTGCATGCCACCATGCCCAGCTAATTTTTGTATTTTTAGTAGAGATGGGGTTTCACCATGTTGGCCAGGATGGTCTTGATCTCTTGATCTTGTGATCTGCCCGCCTTGGCCTCCCGGCTAATATTTGTATTTTTAGTAGAGATGGGGTTTTAGTAGAGATAAAGTCTCACTCTGTTGCCCAGGCTGGAGTGCAGTGGCATGATCATGGCTCACTGCTGCCTCAGCCTTCCATATTGGCCAGGCTGGTCTCGAACTCCTGACCTCGTGATCCACCCGCCTAGGCCTCCCAAAGTGCTGCGATTACAGGCGTGAGCCACTGAGCCTGGCTGCAACTTTCCTTTTCTTAGTACTCACTCAAAGCAAACTCTGCTCATCATTTATCCTTTAAAATATCAGCAGATGCCTCCAGCTTCCCTAACTTCTGGGCTCTGGATCTTAATCAGCCCAGTCCTTCAAAAGCTGCTTTCAGCTTCACCCAATTTCCTGACCTTGGGTCCCTCCCAGAACCTTCTAACCAGACCTGAGATTTCCTTTGTGAGATGCTTTGAGTCACAGCCATTACAACAGAATTCAGTCAACAACTACTAAATAAACAACTGCAGAGATTATTTTTTATTTATAATTCAAAATTACTGATACTTTATTAGACATTTGAAAATGGTGTTGGGTGACAACACAAATACTACTGTATGTAGCAAAACTTTGTAAAAATAACTTTTGAAATATGTTTATATGATAATATTCTGATATAGCTAAGCTTTTAAGCCTCCAGTTATAAAAACAAAATAATAGAAAAAAAACCCATAAATCTCGTTATATTTAATCAATTTTATATAATCTTAAAAAAAAAAAAAAAAAGAAAGGAAAAAAGCCACATCAGCGAAGACTGCACTCTCATACTCTGACCTGGGAGTCCAATAAGGCTACAGTGCAGCAGCCACCTTTGAGTTGCAACTCTGGGTTATAGAAGCTTTCTTTGCGCTATACCCCAACCAACCAGATTCATGGAATGCATTTGCCCCACTCAAGTAGATGGTTCCTGAGACATTTTGCTGGGAGCCAAAGACCATGTTCCCACAGCATTCCTCAAGTTCAAAAACAGTGGCTCCCAGCACTGATTCGGCTGAGAATCCAGTCAAATAAACTCTTCCGGCTCCCAACACTTCAGGCAGCTTAACTCTGTCCTGGGCTTTCAGTGAGCAAAGGGTTTCCTGGAATAAGACACTGAATTTTATTTTTATTTATTTTTTGAGACAGGGTCTCACTCTGTTGCCCAAGCTAGAGTGTAGTGCCGTGATCACAGCTCACTACAGCCTTGATCTCCTGGGCTCAAGTAATCCTCCCACCTCAGCCACTGAGTAGCTGAGACTACAGACACATGCCACCATGCCTGGCTAATTTTTTTTATTATTTGTAGAAATGAGGCCTCACTATGTTGCCCAGGCTGGTCTTGAACTCCTGGGCTCAAGCAGTTCTCCTACCTCGGCCTCCCAAAGTGTTAGGATTACAGGTGTGAGCCATTGTACCAGCCAAGATACTGAATTTTAGAAATTCTAAGCCAAGGGCACCAGACCCTTTCTTGCAGGGTGGTAAAAGCTCACATTCAACCATCCCCTGCTGGACATCTGTTGCACCTTCTTCCATCTACTCCCAACCACCCCCAAACTCAAAGGTCAGCCAGCCCCCAGGGGACTCCTAAGCCAGCCTGGAGCGCTACAGGAATTCTGGGCCAAGGAAGAAGCCCAGTGCTTGGGTTTCTTGGCATCAATATGGTAGCTCCCACTCTTGGCTTTGGCTTAAAGCAACACCTTTACAAAGGTCTTCTTAAAAATAAAAAAAGACAGGCTAGGCCAATGGCGACAAGATCACAGTCTGATTTGGGAAGCGAGGTGCCCTCTGTGCCTAAGTATGCAGCTTGGGGACTTCTTACTGACCCAAGAGGCAAGGCATCTACCCAAGGGCCTTTTGTCCACCCACTCTCCTCCAGAACTCTGGGAAGCCAGCCATCCCAGAAGATCAAGAAACCTAAACAGGGCAATGGGAAGAAACAAATCTTTTTGGCATTTCAGTTCCCCAAGGGCAAGGACTGTACTTTTTGTGTGTTCTGTACATGAATACATCATGTCATGGCTGAGCAATGCTAAATGGTAATAATATTCCCACTGCCACCCAAAGAGATAATCAAGCCGAGACATTCAACAAGATAAGATGGTATTAAAAAGCAATGTGCCTCCCTCTTAGTCACTATCAAAGTAGATTCAAATATCTTCATGGCTTTGAATGTCATGATGTACTATAAATATACATATATATATATATATCTTAATGGTATTTCCTTTGAGCCACTTTTGCTACTATTTCCTTTTTGGGGAAATAAAACCGTCACTCAACTCAGTTCTCCTGTCTTCATACTAAAGCTGAGGTCCCACACTGGAATGCTTCCTAAAACCCCACTCCAGCCTCCATCATATCATCCTTTTTCTTTCCTCATCAGTCAACAAATAATTTATTGAATGTCGGCCGGGCGCGGTGGCTCACGCCTGTAATCCCAGCACTCTGGGAGGCCAAGGTGGGCGGATCACAAGGTCAGGAGATCGAGACCATCCTGGCTAACACGGTGAAACCCTGTCTCTACTAAAAATACAAAAAGTTAGCCAGGCGTGGTGGTGGGTGCCTGTGGTCCCAGCTACTTGGGAGGCTGAGGCAGGAGAATGGCATGACACCAGAAGGCGGAGCTTGCAGTGAGCTGAGATCGCACCACTGCCACTGCACTCCAGCCTGGGCGACAGAGCGAGACTCCATCTCAAAAAAAAAAAAAAAAAAAAACAATAATAATAATTATAATTTATTGAATGTCACATTCTTTACATTGTCTTCAAACTCTGCAACCTCATCTTGTTCCACTGTTCTCTCTTACCAAGCCTCAGATGCACTGGCCTTCTTTCTTTTCCTTAAACACTTCGAGGTCCGTGCTGCCCTCAGGGCCTTTATACTAGCTGTTTCACTGCCTAGGACCTTCATCAGGACTCCCAGCATTGTACAACTCCAGGGGGCAGCAATTGCACAGAATAATGTGAACGGTGGCCCTAGAGTTGTACAATGTGACAGCCCTGGCTGCCACCGGTCTTTGAGGTCTCAGTTCAAATCTTCAAGGAAGCCATCACTGATTACTGCTAACAGCATCCTCCCCACCCACCTCAACCACTACTTCTACCCATGTAAGCTCCAGAGTACCATCCCTGCTTTTTTAATTTTATTTATTTTTTTAAGACAGGGTCTCACTCTGTCACCTAGGCTGGAGTGCAGTGGCACGATCTTGGCTCACTGCAGCCTCTGCCTCCTGGGCTCAAGCGATCCTCCCACCTCAGCCTCCCAAGTAGCTGGGACTACAGGCACGCACCACCATGCCTGACTAATTTTTGTATTTTTTGTAGAGATGGGGTTTCACCACATTGCCCAGGCTGCTCTCGAACTCCTGGCTCAAGTGATCCACCCCCCCGTGGCCTCCCAAAGTGCTGGGATTAGAGGCATGAGTCACCACACTTGGCGCCCTGCTTTACTTTCATTTTTTTAAGAGACAGGGTCTCCCCATGTTGCCCAGGCTGGCGTGCAGTGGCTATTCACAGGCACAATCCCACTACTGATCAGCACAGGAGTTTTGACCTACTGGGCCAGGTCACCCCTCCTTAGGCAACCTGGTGGTCCCATGCTCCTGGGAGGTCACCATATTGATGCTGAACTTAGTGTGGACACCTGACTGGCATAGTGCATAATAGCCCAGAACTCCTGAGCTCAAGTGATCCTCCCACCTCAGCCTCCTGAGTAGCTGGGGCCCTGCTTTATTTTCAACACAGCACTTGTACTATCTAAAACTATATAAAATTTTTCATGTTTCTCCAATAAGAATATAAGATTCATGAGAGCAGAAACCTTGCCTGCTTTGCTTTCCATGGTATCCTCAGCACTAAGAAAGCACTGGATATTTAGGTAATGTGCTCTAAAAATTTATGAAAATAGGCCAGGTGCAGTGGCTCATGCATGTAATCCTAGCACTTTGGGACACCGAGGCAGGTGGATCACCTGAGGTCAGGAGTTCAAGACCAGCCTGGCCAACATGGCAAAACCCCATCTTTACTAAAAATACAAGAAACTAGTTGGGCATGGTACTGCGTGCCTGTAATCCCAGCTACTCAGGAGACTGAGGCAGGAGAATCGCTGGAACCTAGGAGGCAGAGGTTGCAGTGAACTGAGATCGCAAGATCGCACCACTACACTCCAGCCTGGGCGACAGAGCAAGGGTCCATCTCAAACCAAACAAAAAAAGAAAATAAATTAAGTGCTTGACACATACTAAGCACTGTGCCAGTTGCTGGGATGGAGGTACTCCCTCACCTCATAAAGCAAGGTTCAGGCCAGATACGGTGGCTCATGCTTATAATCTCAGCACTTTGGGAGGCTGATGTGGGCAGATCACTTAAGGCCGGGAGTTTGAGGCCAGCCTGGCCAACATGGCAAAACCCCATCTCTACTAAAAATACAAAAATTAGCCAGGCGTGGTAGCGTGCCCTGTAATCCCAGCTACTTGGGAGGCTGAGGCAGGAGGATCACTTGAACCCAGGAGGTGGAGGTTGCAGTGAGCCGAGATTACACTACCGCACTCCAGCCTGGGCGACAGAGAGAGACTCCGTCTCAAAAATAAAAAATAAAATAAAATAAAATAAAATAAAGCAAGGTTCAGACAATTTTTCCAAAATCACATACCTCCTCCCACAGAAGGGTTCTGACTCCTATGAAAATGCCCTTGGAATGTCTCCTCTCCTATGGGAATAAGGGTCCAAACTGAAGAAGTGCTCTTGAATGAGCTAAAAGCTCGGGCTTGGTGCTGGGCCAGGAGAATTCTCCGTCTCCAGTGGTGAGAATATTTTTCCAACAGTCGGAAAAACCCCAAAGCAAGAGCTTCCTCCATTTTATTCATTTGTTCAACAAATATTTACTGATGTACTGGAGAAACATTAATGGATAAAGCACATTTCCATCCTTATCTTCAGGGAGCTTATGTTCTAGTGGGAAGGAGGGGGGACAGACAATAAACAAGACAAATAAGTAAGTAAGTAAAATAAGCTAGATGGTAATTTAAAAAAAAATTTCTTAAAGCATAATAGACATCGCAGAAGTGATAAGTGTTTTAAAGAAGAAATAGGCTGGGCACGGTGGCTCACGCCTGTAATCCCAGAACTTTGGGAGGCTGAGGCAGGCAGATCACTTGAGGAGTTTGAGACCAGCCTGGCCAACATGGTGAAACCCCGTCTCTACAAAAAATATAAAAATTAGCCAGGTGTGGTGGCACGTGCCTGTAGTCCCAGCTACTTGGGAGGGTGAGGCAGGAGAATCGCTTGATCCCAGGAGGCGGAGGTTACAGTGAGCCGAGATTGCACCACTGCACTCCAGCCTGGGCAACAGAGCTAGACTTCATCTCAAAAAAAAAAAAAAGAAAAGAAAAGAAAAAGAAAAATTAGGCTGGGTGCGGTGGCTCATGTCTGTAATCTCAGCACTTTAGGAGGCAAGACAGAAGGATCGCTTGAGTCCAGGAGTCCGAGACCAGCCTGGGTAACATAGTGAGACCCTGACTATACAAATATATATAACTTTTTAAAAAGAAGAATTAGGCAGGAAAGGGGGATACTGCTTTGTGGGAGGAGGGTGCAGGATTTCCTTTTTAAATAAGGAGGTCAGGGAAGGCCTAACTGAGAGAAGTTATTTGCGAAAGGGTCTAAGGAAGTGAGGTAAGGTATGAAGCTATCTGCAGGCAGAACTTTGCAGGCATAGGGAGAGTAAGTGCAAAGGCCCTGAGGTAGAAGAATGCCTGGCACTTCAGAGGAAAAGCAAGGGGGGCAGAATAGGAAGAGCAGAGCAGTCAGAGAGAAGGCCGATTGAAGTAGAGTACAAAGGACCTTAAAGGTGATGGCCTTTGGCCTTTACTCAAGTGAGACATGAAGCCACTGGATGGTTCTGAGCATGATTCATGAGATGAGTGTCCACTGGCCCTGGCTAAAGAAGGTCTAACTCCGAAGGCTCCCTGCTCAGCGACCATCTTCCTTCTGGGCCTTTTATCTACACAAAACCACTGGTTACAGGAATGAGAAATTGGCAGCTTGGCTCCAGGAGGGTGGGAATTCAGCATGTCTGCAACCTGATATATGGGAAAAGCTAGAACAGGAAGACGAGAGGGTTAGGGCAAGCCATGGTGTTGCCTGTAGGTTTTCACTACATTTTTCCTCTAACCAACCAAGCTTTGTCAGAAGCCTTGAAGAGTCAAATCCATCACAGGCCAAAAGCACAGCCAGCCAGCTCGACCCCCCTGGGACTGGTAGCCTGGGCCAAGTCCCATTCTCTAGCAGTTACTCTTCCCTACAGCCATGGCCGTGGGCAGCCTGACATCATGTTGAAAGGCCTGAGGTCAGAGTAAGAGAAACTGGTGGTCGGAGGCAGGGCTCCAAGAGGCCCCAGGTATCACATGAGGGTTAGTACTAGAAAAACAAGACATCTCTTTGATTGGCCTTCCTGTGGCTAAGCTGATTCTATGACCAGGGACTCCAAGAGACTGAGTAACATAGGAGTAGGAAGGAAAGGGATCTGTGAGGGCCACTATCTTTTACTAACATGCTAGGGGCCTGGAGTCCAGTGAACCATACCTCTCTGAGAAGCTGCTGTGAAGCTATGATCTCGCTGACAAATGGACAACTGTCTCAGCCTCAAACTCAGGCCTGGTCACATCATTTCTGAGCCTCAGGACTCCTGCTTGCCAAGAGCCCTCCACTAGGCCTCAAGCCATGGACTGCTGAAGAGGAGACAAAGAGGCACCAGGTGATAACCTAAGGCTGTGAAACTGTATCAGGCCCACCTCCCCACAATGTCTTCTAGCTCAAGGACCCTTCAGCCCAATGAGGACCAGGACCAGGTTTATGTTGCTTGTTACTACAAGCCTCATGCCCAGAACTGTGTCCCAACGATGACAATCTACGGAGCAGATTAACGTCTGGCCTTCCAAAGAAGAGAGGACAGCGATCAACGCTGGATGGGAACTAAGTGTGTCTGCTTACCCACAACCCAGTGCTAGGAAAGGACAGTGGGCCACTCCTTCTCTAGATCTCTAGATCTAGTCCTGCTGCAAACATACAGTAGTATTAAGTTATCTGACTTCCTGTGTGACAGAAGCCCTAAATGGTAGCCCATTTGTTTCAGGCAATTACCTGAAAAGGAGCTCTAGGCATTTGTGCTTATGCCTGTGAACCTTCTGTGTCCCTCGAGTACAAGGACCCTGGGGCACTCTGTAAGCCAATCTCAGTCTTCTGTACCACGCACCCAAGAAAGAGAGAAAGGAGGAGGCGTGTGGTATTTATTCCAGGTGACACTGATCACCAAATCTTGACTGTTCTAAGGGGAAAATAACAATAAAAGCAACAACTGGAAGAACACAACCCCTCAGGACAGCTACCACCATTTGTGATAGTAAAGCTGTGATCTGAGAAGTAGGCAAACAGCACAGTTCATACATATACTACCTAAACCACTCTTCACTGCTGTGAGACGTCAAGGAGGAAAAATGGGAATATCGTTAATGTAACATGGCAGTGGGTAAGAGCTATCTTCCCAAGCAAATGTGCTGTTTTCAGAATCTAGAAACCCTAGCAACAGTGGGCAAGCTGAATTCAGACAACAGCGTTAAGCAGGTAGCAGGGAAGCCTCAGAAGATGTTAAGTCCTCACTAAGAAGATGAGATGCACGCAAAGCAAAAGCCCTGTGCACAACTGGGACAGCGTCACTCCCAGTTATTTATAGAATCATTTACAGAAATCATCATAAGAACAGACATAGAATTGTAAACAAAAGGTGATAGGATTATCAGTAATTGTTTTCTCCCATTTCTAATTCCCAACATTTTTAGTAAAATGGTTCAACTGTTTTTATAAGTGAAAAAAAGCAAAATTACAACTAAGACATTGGATAACAATAACGAATTTAACAGCAAAAGGCCAGGCCAGGAAAGTTTTAGACTTTGTCTTCTTGATGCTGGTTCAACTATGAGAGTTTGAGATCTGGTTGGGGCTTCAAAGGAGCATGGTATATGCATTTCTCATCAAAGGCAAGGTTAAGCCCAATAGGGTATGGAATGGACAAATCTGCATACCAGTCTCTCTACAGTCTGTACTGGAGGGCAGAATCAATCTCAAACCTTAGGATTGAGGTTGCAAATCTCAGTAGCAGCTACACTTTATGGAAGACACCATCATTGGAGAATATAAGGTGGAGAACTCATGAGCCAGCCCCAGTTAAAACCAACAGCAACTTAGGAATTCAGAGGTAGGCCCAGCACCTACTCAGCGGATCTAACTCATTTAACGGCTTGAGAAGTGACCAAAAGAAAAATATGCCAGAAAGCATAATTAGCCCCATGGTCTGAACCCATGATGTGAGAAAAAGGTATGTATGGGCAGAGGTAGAATGGGGAGTGGCTGGAGGTTAGGAAGAAAAACAAAGATATGTCACCAAAGAAGATATACAGATGACAGACAAGCATATGAAAAGACGCTCAACAGCATATGTCATGAGAGAACTGCAAATTAAAACAATTAGATACCACTCCACACCTATTGGAATGGCTAAAATCCAAAAAACAGACAATACCAAATGCTGGTGAGGACATGAAACAATAGGAACTCTCATTCATTGCTAGTGGGAATGAAAAATGGTATAGCCACTATGGAAAATGGTTTGGCAGCTTCTCATAAAGCTAAACATAGTCTTAACATACGATCTAGCATTACATTCCTAGGGATTTACCCAGATGAGTTGAAAACGTATGTCCACACAAAAACCTGTATACAAATGTTTATAGAAGCTTAATTAAAAATCGCCAAAAAATACTGGAAGCAATCAAGATATTTTTCAAAAGGTGAAAGAATAAACTGTGGTACATAACAAACAATGGAATAGTATCAAGTGATAAAAAGAAAGGAGCTATCAAGTCACCAAAAGGCACGGCGGAATCTTAACTGTATATTACTCAGTGAAAGAAGCTAGTCTGCAAAAGTTACATACTATTTGATTCCAACTCTATGACCTTTTGGAAAAGGCAAAAACTACAGAGATAGTAAAAAAAACCAAACAGTTGTTGCCAGGGGTTTCGGGGGAGGGAGGAATGAACAGGTGGAGCACAAGGAATTTTTAGAGCAGTGAAACTAGTTTGTATGGTGCTGTGATGGTATATACATGACATGCATTTGTCAAAACCCAAGAACTGGCCAGGCACGGTGGCTCACGCCTGTAATCCCAGCACTTTGGGAGGCCGAGGTGGTTGGATCACCTGAGGTCAGGAGTTCGAGACCAGCCTGGCCAACATGGTAGAACCCCATCTCTACTAAACATACAAAAAAATTAGCCGGGCGTGGTGGCGGGTGCCTGTAGTCCCAGCTACTCAGGAGGCTGAGGCAGGAGAATCACTTGAACCCAGGAGGCGGAGGCTGCAGTGAGCTGAGATCGCACCATTGTGCTCCAGCCTGGGCAACAAGAGTGAAACTCTGCCTCAAAAAAAAAAAAAAAAAAAAAAGAAAGAAAAAAGAACTGTACAACACAAAGAGTGAAGCCTAAGGTAAACTATGGACTTAAGGTAGTAATAAGTATCAATATTGGTTCCCCAATGATAACAAATAAACCACAATAATGCAAGGTGTTAATAATAGGGGAAACTGGCCAGGCGCGGTGGCTCACACCTGTAATCCCAGCACTTTGGGAGGCCGAGGTGGGCAGATCACCTGAGGTCAGGAGTTCAAGACCAGCCTGGCCAACATGGCGAAACCCCCTCTCTACTAAAAATACAAAAATTAGCTGGGCGTGGTGGTGGGCATCTGTAATCCCAGCTACTCGGGAGGCTGAGGCAGGAGAATTGCTTGAACCCAGGAAACGGAGGTTGCAGTGAGCTGAGATCATGCCACCGCATTCCAGCCTGAGCGACAGAGCGAGACTCCATCTCAAAAAAACCCCACAAAAATATAAAGTCTATTGATTAAAAATAAATCATTAAAGGAATTTAAAAAATTTTAAATGACTATCTGCATTGATATAAGGATCACTGAGATGCTGGGCACATCCCTGACCACAGAAGCAGCAGCATGACCATGGGAACTTGCCATCTAAGCCAGAAATTTTTATGTTTTTAAAAGTTGCAGACTTTCCTGGCAACTTACTGTAAATGACTACGATAAGGTTGCAGAAGACTTTTTTTTTTTTTTTTTGAGACAGAGTTTCTCTCTTGTTGCCAAAGCTGGAGTGCAATGGCATGATCTCAGCTCACTGCAACCTCTGCCTCGTGGGTTCAAGCCATTCTCCTGCCTCAGCCTCCTGAAGAGCTGAGATTACAGGTGCCCGCCAACAGGCCCGGCTAATTTTCGTGGTTTTTTTTAGTAGAGACGGTTTCACCATGTTGGCCAGGTCGGTCTCGAACTCCCGACCTCAGGTGATCCACCTGCCTCAGCCTCCCAAAGTGCTGGGATTACACGAGTGAGCCACCATGCCCAGCCTGGTTGGTGAAGTCTTGACTTGAGAGATGACACCTGTCACCTGCTGTCCCATTTTACCCTCCTGCCATTGCCCTGAAGGACTCTTTCTTTTTTTTTTTTTTTTTTGAGACAGAGTCTCGCTGTCTCCCAGGCTGGAGTGCAGTGGCGCATCTCCACTCACTGCAAGCTCCGCCCCCCGGGTTCATGCCATTCTCCTGCCTCAGCCTCCCGCCTAGCTGGGACTACAGGCGCCTGCCACCACGCCTGGCTAATTTTTTCTATTTTTTTAGTAGAGACGGGGTTTCAGGGTGTTAGCCAGGATGGTCTCGATCTCCTGACCTCATGATCCGCCTGCCTCGGCCTCCCAAAGTGCTGGGATTACAAGTGTGAGCCACCGCACCCGGCCAGACCCTTTCTTTAAAAGCTGCTTCCAGGCCGGGTGCGGTGACTCACGTCTATAATCCCAGCACTTTGGGATGGCTTGAGCTCATGAGTTTGAGACCAGCCTGGGCAACATGGCAAAACCCAATCTCTACAAAAAGTATAAAAATTAGCCAGGCATGATGGTGCATGCCTGCAGTACCAGCTACTCAGGAGGTTGAGGTAGGAGGATGACTTAAGCCTGGGAAGCAGAGGTTGCAGTGAGCCAAGATGGAGCCAGTGCACTCCAGCCTGGGCGAGAGGGCCAGGCCCTGTGTCAAAAATAAATAAATAAATAGATAGATAGATAGATAGATAGATAGACAGACAGACAGACAGTTAGATAGATAGCTTCTACATCCAGCTCAACATTTCCCCCCACAAAGCACTTTCTGGTTAACTCTACTCAGTCTTGATCATTTCATTCCATTAATCCAAGATAACTTTGAATTTAGCAGCATAATTCTGAATAGAATTCTCCAGCTCTCTGCAGGAGGTAGAAAAAGGAGGTGGTGACTACTGGATCCAGACTGCCTGGGTTTATATCCCAGTTCCAGCATTCACTGGCTGGGTGGATGAGTTCCTTAACATTTCTGCATCTCAGTTTCCTTATGTGTAAAATAAGGATAATAAGTCCTACACCATAGAGTTGTTCTGAGGATTAAATGAGTTTATATAAAGCACTTAGAAAAGTGCCTTATACAAAGTAAGGGCTATAATTGTTTGTAATAATAATTATATGTTTAAAGTTTCTTGGAACACTGAAGATCACAGGATGAGGGGAGAGAGCCTCAAAGTCACAGGGAGACAGGAAGCTGCTCCCAGTCCCAATCCTCACTGTCATCTTCTTTCTCAAGGACCTCACCATCTCCTACCAAGCACATGCTGCATTTTTAAGGGCAGGCGCTCGGTCAGATTCTTCATTGTCTCCACACTCAAACACATCATCTTGTCCAATGTTCTGCCTGTACAGGGGACTCAAGATAGCTCTGCTGGTGAGTGTGCTGCACAGCCTGGTTCTCAAGAGCTTGGTAGGCAGGACAGCAAGCTGCAAAGTTAGTTGGACGGGTGAGGATACCATTCCTCAGGGCTGAGGTCATAGAGGATAAGATCCCACCAGACACATCTCAGGAACAACATCAGAACTGAAACAAGAAATGAAGCTGCACTGAATACCTCAGAGGCAAGATACATGAATGAATTCAGGAGTCAAGGGCCAAAGGCCAGAGTTGGGACCCCTGAATCAGAAAGGTGGATAAGGGAGAGGCTAGCAAACTCAGACCCAGGACATGAGAGGTATGGGGAATAGCATTCAAAATAGATAACAGCACAGCTTGGAAGAGGAGAGCCCAAAAGGGTGGGCTGAACAGGGAAAAATCCCGGGACTGAGAGATCAGATTGCATCAAACCCATAAAGGCTTCCAAGTCTCTTGAGGAAGAGAAGGAACTTTCCCAGCGCTGACCTACCTGGCACCACTCTGGCCTGGTAGTCACTTACAATACCACACCACTCAGTTGTTCTTTTTGTTTGTTTGTTTTGCTTTGTTTTGTTTTTTTGGACAGAGTCTCACTCCTTAACCCAGACTGGAGTGCAGTGGCGAGATCTCGGCTCAGTGTAATCTCTGGCCCCCGAGTCCAAGCGATTCTCCTGCCTCAGCCTCCCAAGTAGCTTGGTTTACAGGTGTGTGCCACCATGCCCAGCTAATTTTTTTTTTTTTTTGAGATGGAGTTTCACTCTTATTGCCCAGGCTAGAGTGCAATGATGCAGTCTCGGCTCACTGCAACCTCCACCTCCTGGATTCAAGCGATTCTCCTGTCTCAGCCTCCCCAGTAGCTGGGATTACAGGTGCCCACCACCACACCCGGCTAATTTTTGTATTTTTAGTAGAGACAGGTTTCACCATGTTGGCCAGGCTGGTCTCGAACTCCTGACCTCAGGTGATCCGCCCACCTCAGCCTCCCAAAATGCTGGGATTACAGATGTGAGCCACCATGCCCAGCTACAGGCTTTTTAGAAGTGAGTTTAGGCCAGTACAGAGGCTTACACCTGTAATCCCAGCACAAGGTCAAGAGATCGAGACCATCCTGGCCAACATGGTGAAACCTCATCTCTACTAAAAATACAAAAATTAGCTGGGCGTGTTGGCGGGCACCTGTAATCCCAGCTACTTGGGAGGCTGAAGCAGGACAATCGCTTGAACCCGGGAGGTGGAGGTTGCAGTGAGCCGAGATCGTGCCACTGCACTCCAGCCTGGCAACAGAGCGAGACTCTGTCTCAAAAAAAAGAAAATTGAGTTTAACTGGGCCAGCTGGACAAGTTTTTTCCCAACTGTTGAGGGACTCTCTGAATTGGAGAATTTGTAACCCTTACCCCATGAAGGAAGAAACAATCCATGCTGCAAATGAAATGCTTTATAAAGGATGAAGCCATGCACCCACAGACATCTGCTGGGAACCCCCACAATACAGGTCTTCCTGTAGCTACAAAAGAAAAGAAATCCCAGCACTTTGGGAGGCTGAGACGGGTAGATCACTTGAGGTCAGGAGTCTGAGACCAGCCTGGCCAACATAGTAAAACCCCATCTCTAATAAAAATAAAAAATTAGCCGGGCATGGTGGCGCACACCTATAAATAATCTCAGCAGAGTCGAGGTCGTGTCACTGCACTCCAGCCTCGGCAACAAAGGAAGACTCTATCTCAAAAAAAAAAAAAAAAAAGAAAAGAAAGAAAGAAAAAGAAAAGAAATTCTCCTCAACATTTAAAAATTCACAAATTCAGAGATTTGGGGCCTGAACTCCAACCCTAAGTGAAAGCTTTGGCCTCAGGAAGGGCTCTGGAGAGTCCCTGTTGGGCCCTGCCCCACACTGGGCCGTGACAAAGGACGCCTCACGCTTGCTTGGTGGTCCAGATCACCTGTTCTTAGCAGGGAACTCCACCATCTCATGCAAATAGTCATCCTGACACTGAACATCCCTGAGAGGAAAGGCAGAGGGACCAGGCTTCAGGGAGGTGTGCCCCCCAATGAGCCTGCAGAACACTTCTTTTAGCCTGCTAAACTTAGCCAGGGGTGGGTCCAGTGGCTTAGGGAGGCATTCTGGTTGCCAGCCTCATGAGAGCTCTAGGAGGAGGGCAAAGGTCCAACCAGAGGAGGGACCAAGCTCCCAGTACAGATGTGTATGGCGAAGAAAGGATCTCTCTTGGAAACGACATGTTAAAAAGTTCCTGCAGGCCAGGCGGGATGGCTCACACCTGTAATCCCAGCACTTTGGGAGGCTGAGGTGGGTGGATCACCTGAGGTCAGGAGTTCGAGACCAGCCCGGCCAACATGGTGAAACCCCGTCTCTACTAAAAATACAAGAATTAGCCAGGCATGGTGGCATGCGCCTGTAGTCCCAGCTACTTGGGAGGCTGAGGCAGGTGAATCACTTGAACCAGGGAGGTGGAGGTTGCAGTGAGTGAGATCACACCATTGCACTCCAGCCTGGGTGACAGAGCAAGACTCCGTCTCAAAAAAAAAAAAAAAAAAAGTTCCGGCAAACTAAGCTTTGAGGAGGAAAAATTAGCATTTCTCAACTGCAGGAGACGGAGGCCACACTAAACAACAAGTGGAAAAGTTAATCTGTATCCAGTGTTTTAATAAATAACTCATGCGGGTGCAGAGCCCAGCTAAGAAGAACACAAGGGAAAGGGAGGCTCTCCACCAACCGGGTGGAGGCAGCCCCAGAAAGCCGGTCAGCGGCAGTTCCAGACCCCACGGGGGGTGCAGAACTGCTCCAAACTCCACTGGACATGTGCGCCAAGAAGTCACATTTGTGAGACAGAGCCTAGATCACCCATGGTGGTGAGGCATGGGCATGACCCATGCTTTTGGGCCAACTCCACACAAAGGCTGTCTTTGGAACCAGCCCGACTTGTACAGCAGATGACCTGCCCTGGGAAAATCCCACCAGGGAAGTCTGCCTGAGTTCTCAAATGCACTCTCCAACTACCCAGCCTTCCAGCCTCGGTTAGGGCCCCATAGGCTCTGTCTAGCCAGAGCTGTTGGTGGTACCAGGGACAGCCAGAAATCCTCACAGAGTGATGCTGAAACCACTTCTACAGCCGCATAGATCCCCACATTCCAGTCCACAGCTAGCTGGCCATGAAGGGGAAGGCCAGAGCTGCAAGCTCCGACAGCACTTGGCAGCTGAGGCTCAGCTGTCTGACACCTCCCAAGTCCCAGGGAAGAGTCCCACAGGACAATTTCTCCACTCAGGTCAGTTGGGAGCAGCCTTGGGGTTCCTAGAAAAGCACTCTGTTCTCTCCTGTGGCTGCCCAGACCTGGAACTTGTTCCATCTCTCCAACTTCAGAAATGGCTTCTTAAGAATCTTGATCAAAACAAGTGCTCTCTTGCCTGGTTTCCTTTAGTGAATGTGAATAAGGAAAGAACTTGAATGAAAATGGCCATCCCAAGGCTTATCAAATCATCATACTCTTCATCCCTTTTAGGGTTACCAGGGTGGGCATCCCCTCCTGACCCTGAAGCATGCCTGCCAGGAGCAAGAAGAAATGCAGAGGACCCCTCGCTTCTGCCTGTCCCTACCCTCAACAGGCTGTGAGGAGAAGGAAAGATCATAATAGGAGGAGGTACACAGCAGGCATTTAATAAATGCCGTTGCCAGGAGCACTGGCTCTTGCCTGCAATTCCAGCACTTTGAGAGGCCAAGGCAGGAGGATTGCTTGAGTCCAGTAGTTCGAGACCAGCCTGGGCAACATAGCAAGACCTCGTGTCAACAATAAAAAAAAAAAAATTTGCCGGGTGTGGTGGTGCATGCCTGTGGTCCCAGCTACTTGGGAGGCTGAGGTAGGAGGATCGTTTGAGCCAGAGTGGTTGAGGCTGCAGTGAGCCGTGACCTCGCCACTGCCCTCCAGCCTAGGCAACAGAGCGAGACCATCTCAAAAATAAAAATAAAAATAAATTCATATCAGTTTAAAAAAGGAGAGGATAACTTAAAAGGAACATGAAGTAAATAATACTACAAGTGGCAACAATTATGAAAGTGGCACTAGAAGTTTTTGAAATACTGAGCTAGAAGGTTTTTCAAGTCCCTCTCACTCCTAAAAGCGTTGTTGGTACCGCGTCAGGCTGCAGATGGCATCCCAGGCCCCTTCCTACAGGGTTCCTCTCAAACGCTACCTCCTCACTGCAGCCTCTAGCAATTCAGCAGCCTCACTAGAAGTTACTCCCTCTGCTCTGCTCCCAGACCGTGTTTTACACCCATGGACTGTAGCATTTATTACTCAATATTATAACCATCTTTACATGTTTATCTCCCCTCTAGAACATGAGCTCCTTCAGACAAGAATTATGTCTTGCTATTTTATCCCCCAAGACATCTATTACGATGTTCTGTGTCTGATACAAAGTAGGTGCTTGATGAATGTGTGCTGAAAAAATGAATCAATGCTTCTGCTCCTTTTTTGCTGAAGAGAAGACACAGACAGTGGAAGAATTGTTGCCAGAGATCCATTTGCCATCATTCCAACCCAGCGCCCCTTAGCACTTAAGCTGGATGGCAGAACACTTGCCTTTCTGGCCTAGCTTTGAGTACTAATTTAAATGAGGATTCATTAAGTCATTTTAAAGAGGCCCCACCATTACGAAATGTGTGGAAAATCACATTTTTCTTCAAGAAACTTAACAGGATCAAAAAGAAACCAGTCATCCCAGTACAAAGCCAATTATAAAGGTACCTATTCGTGTTTTATTATTTTTCTTTCTTTATTTATTTTTTGAGATAGGGTCTCGCTCTGTTACCCAAACTGGAGCGCAGTAGTGCAATTATGGCTTACTGCAGCTTCAAACTCCCAGGCTCCAGTGATCCTCCCACCTCAGCCCCCCAAGCAGCTAGGGCTACGATGCACACCACCATGTCTGGCTAATTTCTGTATTTTCTGTAGAGATGGGGGAGGGTCTCACTATGTTCCCCAGGCTGGTGTCAAACTCCTGGGCTCAAGCGATCCTCCTGCCTTGACCTCCAAAGTGCTAGGACTATAGGCATGAGGCACCATGCGCAGCCTATAGAAGTACTTTTGACTTCTGCAACATAGACCAGAACTGGGTAAATATCTGAGAACATTCCTTCCACATTCTTCTAGTGCCAGGATGTAATACTGGAAAATACTAGGCTTGATTGGTGACATGAAAACCCAAATAGAGGTTTCACTCTTGTCATAAATGACATATGAATACAAAGTGCTGTACCATGTAGAAATGAAACACATGTAAGAGGATAGTATTAAACCAGAAAAAAACAATAAGAAAGGTCCTATTTCAAATTAAGAGGTTGCCCCTTCTGAAATATGAGGCTTGCTCAATCACATTCTTCATGTTATTTTGGGCCTTGGGCCTATACCTAGCAGGTAGACTGGAAGAATCCTTAAGCCACATAGGAAATGATATTCTTTTAACCAGAATAAATCTGTCAACAAAAAGGTACAGGCTAGCTGCACTAAATACTCTCTGCAGGTTCTTATTAAAAATATAAATTAAGGTCCAGCATAGTCTCTTTACTCCCCACATCTGTTTGCTATTCTATCTCCATTATTAATACTGTAATGCTGGGTCCCCATTCAGGCAAGATTAATTCCCTCTTCCCAAATCCTTCTGCTGACACTGCAATGAATCCATTTGGAAGGCTGTAAAGGCAGCTGCAGACATTGCTCCCAACACGTGACCAGCGAAGAGATGAAACCTGGGCCTCTGAGCTTAACAAGAGAGAAGAGGAAGTTGGGTTAGGCCTGTGTTCAGAGAGGTGGAATAGCCCAGTGGTTAAAAGCTCAAACTCTGAGGCTGAATACAGTGGTTCACGCCTGTAATCCCAACACTCTGGGAGGCCAAGGCAGGAAGATCGCTTCAGCCCAGGCATCTGAGACCAGCCTGGGCAACATAGTGAGACCTCAACTCTACAGAAAATTTGAAAAATTAGCCAGGTGTGGTGGTGCATGCCTGTAGTCCCAGCTCCTTGGCAGGTTAAGGTGGGATAATTGCTTGAGCCCAGGAGGTTGAGGCTGCAGTGAGCCATGACTGAGCCACTACACTCCTGCCTGGGTGACAGAGCGTGACCCTGTCTCAAAAAACAAAACAAAAAAGCTCAAACTTTGGACTCAAACAGCCCAATTCAATCCCAGCTCTTTTACCCCTAGATCTGTAACTTTAGCAATTCATTTAACCCCTCAAGAGACTCATTTTTCTTATCTATAAAATAGGAATAACGAGACCCTGATAAGATTGTAAAGCATTTAACACAATGACACGGAAGACAGTAAGTACTAAACAAAGGGAAAAAAGGCTATCATCATCTTCTTTATGATACCATCATCATCTCCAGAATTGGTCGCTATGCAAAGGCAGGACAGGACGAGTCCTGCTACTCTTTCAACCTGCCCAGGTTAAGCAGCCACCACCAAGATAGAAAAGACATGGTATAAGGGGCAAAAAAGTACAAAAGGCAAAAACCAGAAGAGGATATGACAATACAAATAAAATCAGCTCTTGATTAACCATGCTAATGAGGTTGAGGGAAGACTATTTATTTTATTTTTAATTGACAGAATACAAACATAGAAAGATTACATTTAAATTGAAGAAAAGAAACTCTCCATCAAAAGAATATAAATAAAAAAAACTTTGTTTATTTTCATTATTATTATTATTATTATTACTTTTTTTTTTTTTTTTGAGATGGAGTTTCACTCTTGTTGCCCAGGCTGGAGTACAATGGCACAATCTTGGCTCACTGCAACCTACTCCTCCCAGGTTCAAGCAATTATCCTGCCTCAGCCTCCCTAGTAGCTGGGATTACAGGCATGTGCCACCACGCCCGGCTAATTTTATTATTTTTAGTAGAGACAGGGTTTCTCCATGTTGGTCAGGCTTGTCTCAAACTCCCAACCTCAGGTGATCCGCCTGCCTCGACCTCCCAAAGTGCTGGGATTATAGGCGTGAGCCACCACACCCAGCCTAATTATTATTTTTTTAAGACACAGTTTCACTCTGTTGCCCAGGCTGGAGCACAGTGGCACGATCTCAGCTCACTGCAACCTCTGCCTCCCAGGTTCAAGTGATTCTCGTGCCTCAGCCTCCGGGGTAGTTGGGAGTACAGGCACATGCTACCATGCCTGGCTAATTTTTTGTATTTTTAGTAGAGACAAGGTTTCACCATGTTGGCCGGGCTGGTCTCGAACTCCTGACCTCAAGTGAGCCACCTGCCTCAGCCCCACAAAGTGCTGGGATTACAGGCATGAGCCACTGTGCCCAGCCAAAAAAAATCTTTTTAAAATATAGATGGTAGCAGGCCGGGCACAGTCGTCACGCCTGTAATCCCAGCACTTTGGGAGGCCGAGGCAGGCAGATCACGAGGTCAGGAGATCAAGACCATCCTGGCTAACATGGTGAAACCCCGTCTCTACTAAAAATACAAAAATTAGCTGGGCGTGGTGGTGGGTGCCTATAGTCCCAGGTACTCAGGAGGCTGAGACAGGAGAATGGCGTGAACCCGGCAGGTGGAGCTTGCAGTGAGCCAAGATCACCCCACTGCACTCCAGCCTGGGCAACAAAGCGAGACTCTGTTTCTAAAAAAAATAGTTGGTAGCTTATTGGAGTACATGATATAATTGCTCAAAAGGCAAGAGAATACAGTCATTAACAGTATGAACTCTGAGTTGGGCACAGTGGCTCACACCCATAATCCCGACACTTTGGGAAGCTGAGGTGGAAGAACTGCTTAAGCCCAGGAGTTTGAGACCAGCCTGGGCAACATGGTGAAACCCTGTCTCTACAAAAAAATTACAAAAATTAGCTGGGCATGGTGGTGCTTGCCTGTCGTCCCAGCTACTCGGGAGGCTGAGGTTGGAGGATCACCTGAGCCTAGGGAGGTCGAGGCTGCAGTGAACCATGATCATACCACTGCACTCTAGCCTGGATGACAGAGTGAGACCCTATCTCCAAAAAAAAGCATATAGGGCAACAAACGGAAGCAGACTAAGATAAAAAAATAAATAAATACAGGTTAAAAGGAAGTAGGTAAGATAGATAAAGGATAAGAGATGAACAGATTTGTGATAAAGCAAGTATAAAGTTAACAGTAGAATCTGGGTTGTGGGTATATGAGTGTTCACTATAAAATCCTTCCAACTTTGCTTTATGTTTAAAATGTTTCATAATAAGCTAGGGGAATAAAAGGAAGTAGACACAGAGGCATCAGCCCAAGTTCTGAGTCATAACCATGCTACCTTCCTGTCCTATGAGCCCAAACTCCAGGGCAAGCTTAGAAAAACCTGATTTGGGAATCCTGCTCATCAAGACTTTCCTGCACTAGATAAGCAGGAATCAGGTGTTAACGAGGACCACCTTGGCATGAGTAGATATAGTCAGAGGGCAGAAATGCAGAGGTTCCACGGAGAAGTACCATGCTCACAGCACTATGACATTGTCACCCCTGCTCAGGAAGACCTCAGGAATAAGGCTCTGGATAAAGAACAGGTGGCATATACTCACTCATGGACTCTGTTGTCACCATAGAGATCACTCAGGCCGAAGCTGATGTAGTGCCAGTGCTCGGGGATGTTAGCAGAAGGGCTCCCCACATTCCTGTACATGCTAACATAGTCCAAGGGGTCTGGGCCACCCAACCTGCAAAAAACAAAACACAGGGGTGTTAGTGTAAGCCTGGAAATCAGACAATGTCAAGCTAAGGCGCTCTACTTTGTAAACCTAAAGGACCCATCCTGGAGGAACCTGGGTGAAAGGTAACTAAACAGAGGCCACATCTCTCCAGAATGAGACTAAGGGATGGACAGCTAAGGCTGCCCAACTCTGCAAGCCCAAGAGGCTCCCTTCTCCTACCCCTGAAAGACTGGGCCTCTTTTAGAAATAAAACAGACTGGATGGTTACCCATTTTGCTTTCTCCTGTTTCAAATTACCGATCCCAAATGAGATTGGCAGGGATTGTCTCTCTTCTGTGGTGCCTGTATACATGCCAAGCTTCAAGGCAAGAGGTACATCAGTCAATCAATTGGCCTCTGTTGAAAGACCATCCCAAGCATCCCCAATGGGCATTGTTCCTGGAAGCAGAGGCTCTGCTCCACTCCAGCCTCTTAGACAGCTAATTCCTGAAAGACTATATTGTGCCCTATGTTAATTACAGTTTGTTCTAAACAAACCCAAAGCCTCTAGTCTGTGCTGACACCAGCCTGCACCCCATAGACCAAAGCTGGTCTCTTATCATTGCAAGTGACAAAGGCCAAACTTAGGCTTAACTTAGTTCTGCACAGAGAACTGCAGAAGGAGTCAAACTGCGCCCTGTGAGCATCTGCACCCAGAAAATGATCCCAGGAGAGACTGCCACATCAAAGGTAGAGCTGGGATGGTAAATGATTTGGGGCCTCTCAGGACCACATTAAATTTCCCCCACCATTCAACTGAGAAGGAGTTGCGGAAGAGATTCAGTTATTATCTCACTCTGAGGATTTAATACAATAAGAGTTCCCTTTAGTAATCAGTGCTTTTTAAAAAAAATCCTGTTTTGGCCGGGCACGGTGGCTCACACCTGTAATCTCTGCACTTTGGGAGGCCGAAGTGGGTGGATTACTTGAGGTCAGGAGTTTGAGACCAGCCTGGCCAACATGGTGAAACCCCATCTCTACTAAAGATACAAAAAATTAGCCAGGTGTGGTGGCAGGTGCCTGTAATCCCAGCTATTTGCTATTTGAGAGGCTGAGGCAGGAGAATCGCCTGGACAACAGAGGCAGAGGTTGCAGGGAGCCAAGATTGCGCCACTGCACTCCAGCCTGGGTGACAGAGTGAGACTTTGTCTAAAAAAAAAAAAAAAAAAAAAAATGGATAAGAAATTTTGGTAGCTAGAGAAATAGACCAAATAGAAACCATCAGTGGAAGGAAGTCTGCATTTAGCCCACAAACACGGCATTTGAGCTGCCTCAAACATCTGACCATTCCACAGACTGCAAAAGCTTCACCTGCCCCTGGGACATCGATGGAGTACACTTTGCAACTGGGATAGCATGCTGGTGGAAAGCTAACAACCAAATAAAAGACATGTTACAAGTGATCCCAGTCAATGGTGCCAGCACCAGGCAATTTAAACACTATTTAAAACCAGTTGGTCTTGTTTCGTCCTCTTTCACCAGGATATTATTTGCCTTTGTGGATAGAAATCCCTATTCTCTGTTAGGAAATGCTAAGTTATTTATAGAACTTTTAAGAAAGTTGCTACAAATAGCTTAGCATCTCAACAGAGGAAGAGGGACAACTCTCCATGTCTGCCTTAACTGATTTCAACAAATCACTTGACTAATTCTACAACAGGTTGGATTTAGAAAAGTTTGTGGGGCAAGGGAAGAAAGAAAAGAGTAGAGATCCCTGGAAAGACCCCATTAGAGCTACAGAACTCCAGAGCAGATGAGAGCCACTACAGGCCCCATACCTGCTCCAGTTTCCTGCTGCAAATTTCCAAACCTGCCCCGCTACAGCCTAGGTCCATCCTGCACCAAGCTGCAAAACTGTGTTTACCATTCTCTGCTCCATCTGCAGCATCCCTGCAGCCCTCTTTCTCACCAAGTCTCCCACAAGGTGTCACATCAAGGAGAGAAGCTTAACCTTCAAACTCCAACTGCAAGGAACTACCAAGAGTCAGATAAAATTAACCCTGTCCCCAAGCACAGAGTATTCTGTTTACTTACTACTCAGAGGCCAGATGAGTATGTGGAAAAAAATCGCATTTTACACTTAGCAAATGATGTTATCCAAGGTCCCAGGGCATCCCTCAACTTAATTCCTTGAACACCCAACTTCTCTCTGCAGGGCAGTTGCAGGACTGAAGTGGGCCATGAGTACAGGTTCTGCCTCTCTGCTTTGATCCTTGCTCACCAAAGTCTCAGCTTTCAGTTAGAATGTCCCCACTACTCAGGGATCACCAGTCACAGAGCCACACTGCTATTGCAAAATGAATCCCAAGCTACCCTGGGCCACAGACAGACCCAGACAGCCTGGGTCAGTCATCCTGCTAGAAACCTCGTGGGATCCCAAATGTGAGGAATATAAATGAATTTCAGGATCTTATTTTTGCAAACCCCTCCACATCTTAGAAAGTACCAGTCACTGATGGCTGGTCGCACTGGCTCACGCCTGTAATCCTAGCACTTTGGGAGGCCGAGGTGGGTTGATCACTTGAGGTCAGGAGTTCGAGACCAGCCTGGCCAACATGGTGAAACTCTGCCTCTACTAAAAATACAAAAATTAGCTGGGCAAGGTGGCGTGTGCCTGTAATATCAGCTACTTGGGAGGCTGAGGCACGAGAATCGCTTGAAACCGGGAGACAGAGGTTGCAGTAAGCCAAGATCGTGCCACTGCACTCCAGCCTGGGTGACAGAGCAAAACTCTGTCTCAAAAAAAAAAGAAAGTACCAGTCACTGTGCTGTTTCTCTTTATACTTTTCTGCATCTAGGAAGGGCTTTCACAAAGTGCTGTATAATCCCTTTTCTTCATTATCACATGTTGGCCCATCTCTGAAGATATGGCTGTTAACAAGCTTGCAGCAGGAAGGAAAAAAAAATTGCCCTTAGTCCTTTGCACATGCTTTCATACCTTTTACATACAATTCTATCCTTTATGGCTACTTGGGTGACATAAAAATAGTTGCCTGAATCTGTGTAGGGATTTCTCCTCACACTCAAATGAGGCCTGAACAAACAGCGTGGCAGAGCCAGGCCCACTTCTTTTTTTTTTTTTTTTTTTTTTTTTTTCAAATAACAGAGTTAGGGTCTGGCTACGCTCCCCACACTGGTCTCGAACTCCTGGCCTCAAGGGATCCTCAAGGCCTCCCAAAGTGGTGGGAATACATGCATGAGCCACTGTGCCCAGCCCAGGCCCACTTTTCTCCTGACACATGACAACAAGTTCATCACAACACATAGTTAAATATAAAGGCACAATGAGAATGGGTCATTAAGCTAGCAAGAGCTGCTTTCCACTCAGAAGCGCTCTTCAACAACTCCTCTCAACCAGAGAACAGTTCGCCAGTGAGAGAGGACTGCGACACCAGTTCCACCTCCTCCCGTCTACTCTGACAGAGGAGGCTGTTCCCTACAATCCTCCCTAGACAGCAGGTGGCTGGTCCCCAGGCTCTCCACGCTGTTGGCCTCTTGGCATCCTCCCATTGATGCGGGCAGCTGGCCTCAGCCCTGCACAGCCTACTGACACCGATGTCCAGGGGAAGCAACAGGTTTTCACCAGGAGGAAGACTCAGTCCTAAAAGGAGAGGTAACCAGCAAAGATGTCCACTTGCCCCTTCAGGTCTACCCTTTGGCTACACCCCCAAGCAGCTGCAGAACAGTCTTTCAAGACTCATTGAAGATCATCTTACACAATGCCTGCATGAATGTGGTCCTGGACAGTTTCAACCAATATCTCAGTTTTTGGTCCAGCAAGACTTTGAGGACAGGTTCTTTTCCAGAGTCCCCAGAACATCTGTTCTGCCCAAATGCTGAAGGAAGAAACAGGCTGCAAACAGGAATGGGAAATTAGAAAAGACCATTCCTACCCTAAAGCTACTTGAGGGTTACTCTCAGCTCCCCGGAGAAACTGCAGGCCATGGCCGAGAAGCTCCTCTTAATGTCCCACTGCACAATTCCTCCCTGCTGGGGTCCCAGAGTCTCCACCATTTATTTCCAACTGGAGGTGGGAAGCTGTCGGCCCCTTCAATCCTAAGCCAAACCATGGTTCTCTCTACCTAATGCCCTAAAGCGAAGCAACTGCAGAGCTAGGAGGAAGCTCTGCACGGAGAAAGAGAACAGTGCAGAGTAAGCAAAAAGTTTATCAGGAAGAGCTGCTCCGTCAAACTTCAAAAGCAAAAGCTTTGCCCTGATACGACGTCTGAGCTAATCGGGAAGGTATCAAAAGGAGACCTCCTCCTCTCTCCACAAGCACCAGGCCCTCATCTTTGGCCCTCCTACCCACCACAGGAGAGCCCTGGGCCCCCCGAACCCCCCATTCTATGCAGTCTCGTGCCCTCTGAGCTTCTTCGGCTTCGCTCCTCCAAAGCCCTCTCAAATGCTCCCCAGGCCCCGCCTCGCCTCTCCCATCCCACTTCGGCCGCCCCCGCTTGGCTTCCCCTCGCCCACTAATGACCCCCTACAGGCGCCCCCTCTTTTCACCACGTTTACAGTTCCCTCGCTCCTGCCGTTCCCCCCTCTGCTCCTACACACACCCCCAGTCCTCACTCTATTCTCCTAATCCCGGTTAACCCCTCAGTACCCACGGGCTCCGTTAACCCCTTTGTCCCCATTCCCAACTTGAGCCTTAACTCCTTCCCTCGCAGCAAGAAGCCCTCCTTCTGAGTGCTTTAACCATTCTCTACCCCTCCTCCCACCTCCCACAAATTACTTCGCCCTCGGCGCTTTAACCCTTTCCAGCCCGCGCCTGTCCGTCTCCCCGCGGCCCAGAGCATACCAGTACTTGACGATAGCGGTAACCTGGAGCGGGTTCGGCTGGTCAGGGTAAAGGCGGCGGCACTCTCCGTAGATGGCGTGCAGTCCCGGGGGAAAGAGCGAAGCGAAGGCCGGGGGGGCAGTCGGGCCAGGGGCCGGGGGCGCGGTGGGGCCGGGGGCGCCGCTAGGCCGCAGCTCCGCCATCGGGGTGCGTAGGGCAGGCACTGGGGGAACTGGAGAGGGCAAACGACGGGGAGAGCACTGACGGGCCAGCGGGCGGACTCGGTGGGTGAGACTCCCCGAGGCGATGGGGGCTGCAGCGAGGTCTAGCTCCGCGCCTGCGCACGGCGCACTGTCCGCCCAGGCTGTCGCCGCCGCCGAGTCTGCCAGAGGGTGCCTCGGGGCGGCGGGGCGCTAAGGGGGGCGGGGCGCCGGCGCACCCTATCCAAGCACCCATTGGCTAATGTCTGTGCCAGTCACAGGCAGGGAAGGTGTGACTTGACAATAGGCCCCGCCTCCCCTCCCTGTGTTGGGAGTGTCCCAAGGCTCTTGGTCTCCCCCTAGTGTTAGGAGGAACCCAAGTTTAGAGATGCTGAGCACCCTCTGAGGTGCTAAGGTCCCACGAAAGCAGCGAGAAGTGCGCCAACAAAGGATTTGTTACTGTTTTGCTGACGCGCTGCTAACTAGGATTTAAACATAAATCTGACAATGGATTGATTCATTCATCCATGGGGCGTTAGTATTAATAGATGATAATAAATCTAATGTTTTCTAGGGCTATTGACAAAAAGGTCCCTGAAATTTCAAGGGGGCTGGGGGAGAACATAATCCAGAGAAAAAAATGCACTGGGCTCATTTGAAAGCAGTGACACATAACCTCTCTTCACCTCCATTTTCTCAACCATCAGTGTCAATTCTAGCTCGTTATGAAAATTAAAGAGATACTCGAGCAGTTTCTGAAACCCTTAGATGATGTTTTAATGACCAAAAGATTACCTATACCAGTAGTTCCAATTGCCAATCTTCGGATCAATGTTAGCCTGTTATGCAGAAAAAAAGAAAATGCAAAAGGCAACGACAATGTACAGGTTTTTAAACTTAAAGCTAATTTTATGCAATTTAAATTGTTTTCCTTTGTTGTAGGAATATGTCCTCTCGCGTACGTGTGTTAACATTTCCTTTTTGTTAGAGTGTGAGGTGCTAGGAGATGTTTATTAAAGTCTTACAGACCCAAATAAAAACATGAGAACCTTATATTGTCTAAGGGAACGTCGGGGGGAGTGGCAGGGCTGATCTGCAAAATCCAAACATCCATGAATTACGACCAATCCAAACCGAACTACAGACAAGTACTCGAGAAGACTACATACCTCAGCATGCACTGCGAACTCCTTCAAAGGGACTACAGATCCAGGCATGCAACATGACCATCAACCTGTGTCTCTGGCTGTTTAATCTAGGGAGACCACAAATCCCAGGGTACTGCGCATTGGAAATGCGACTCCCAATCTTAAACTAGGCGGGCAACAAAGCAAGCTAGATCGCTAACCCAGGCGCAAAGCTTGCTGGGGATTGTAGTTCTTCAGAGGCGAGGTCGGGCCGCTCCCTCGCCGCCCTGAACCGGCGGCTAGACTGCGCATGCGTGTCAGTGGCGCTAGCGGCGGACCCGGCTGGGCAGTTCCTTCCCCAGAAGGAGAGATTCCTCTGCCATGGAGTCCTACGATGTGATCGCCAACCAGCCTGTCGTGATCGACAACGTGAGTTGCGTCTTTCCTATCTATAAGGGGACTTGGGCTCTCCTCCTCGAAAGGATCGCTTCCCGGGGTTCAGCCTGAGCCGCCGGCTCTTTGTCACTGGCCCGGCCTGTCAGGCGCGTTCAGCCACCGCCGCCTCCTTCCTCCCCTTATCACATAGTCCGCAGGCAAGGCGGCCAGCCAGCAAAAGTGGGATGGAGAACTCTGGAGTGGATAAAGGAAAGAGTTATAGTCCAAGCCAGTCCTTGGGCCCTTGGCTCTAGGGGCCTTAACCGCTGTGTGAGATTCCCGTCGCCCGCCCTCTCCCCCATTTCCGATCGCTCTATTGGTTGCTCTGGCTGTCCATCTTAGCCAATGATACCGCCTCTTAGCCTTGCCGGATGAGGCTAGGCCTCTGCGGTGATTGGCTCACGCCCCTGCCATTCTTCCTTGCCGCCATATTGTTTTCCCTCTTGAAGGGGCGGGGCAGTGCTCCAGGGCTGTGGGGATTGGCTTCCGGGACTCTGGGTGGTGGGGCCTAGAGGCGAGTGCCCGCCCGCGGGTGGAGAACGGCTAAGTTTTCCTTCGGTCTCAGCCGGCGCTGCGGCTTGGTGGTGTGGATCTGGGTGGGGCCCGAGAATCTGGTGCCAGAAACCGCTGTAGGATGTCAGCTATTACTGTGATTATAAATTACAAAGTTGGTAAAGGTCGAGAAGAAAGGAGAGTGACAAAGGAAGCAGAGAGGTTGTCCTCCTCTTTGGAACGCCTAGTTCTTACGGGGAAAAAATTACCAAACTTAATATTTGCCTGGCGCTCTAGCGCTTCCAGGGCGTTTTCACATACATTCGAGTTGGATCCTCACAAAAACTGGACGCATAGTTTAAAAGGAACTTTGATCTTCGTGTTACCGATGAGAAAACTGAAGCGCGAAGACGTAACGTGAGCCCAAGGTCACATAGCAGAGGTGCCCTAAATCCAGTACTTTATCCGTCATCCCTTTTGCCAGCACCACCATGCAGAAGCATCAATATTGACCAATAGAAAGAATCTAAATACTGCTCTTATTTTGGGGGGAAAGGAGAAAATTGTAAAACGACTGCATTTCTGCCTTCGATTCAAAGCTTTGGTCCCACAGAGATTGATCCCTGTCTGTGTCCCTTGTAGGTCCCTCCATTGAGGCAAAACTACCAGTTCCCTCTGTTGTAAGCTGACTCTGTCAGATTCCCTTTGTTGATTCAGCTCTTGGGACCTTAGGCATATTACAATGTTCTCGTTTAAGCTTCAGCTCTGTTAGGTAGATAGGAATTACTATCCCCAGTGTATGCAGGGATGTTAAATAACAGATTTCAAACCATCCAGTTTAGGAATTGAGGAGCCAGTCATCAGACTAAGATCCAGTTCCAAGTTGCTTGCTTTTTCCAATATATTTTTGTTGTTGTTTTCATTAAATTTTCCTTCTCTCCATGGGTATTTTGTTTTTATTATTCCCCCTTAGAAAGGGGCAGGATTGAGCTCAATGAGACAGCTCATTTTTTTTTTCTTTTTTTTTTTTGGAGACAGGGTCTCGCTCTGTTGCTGAGTCTGAAATGCAGTGGCGCGATCACAGCTCACTGCAGCCTCAACCTCCTGGGCTCAAGTGATCCTCCCGCTTAAGCCTCCCGAGTAGCTGGGGCTGCAGGCACGCGCCACCACCCCTGGCTAATTTTTGTATTTTTTGTAGGAAGGGTTTCACCATGTTGTCCAGGCTGGTCTCAAACTCCTGGGCTGTTGCGATTCTCCTACCTTGGCCTCCCAAAGTGCTGGGATTATAGGCCTGAGCCACCGTGCCTGGCAGAGACGCCTCTTTTTTTGGTGTGGGGGGGTGGAGGGAACAGGATCTCGCTTTGTCACCCAGGCTGGAGTGCAATTGTGCGATCTCAGCTCACTGCAGCCTCCGCCTCCAGGTTCAAGAGATTCTCCAGCCTAGACTCCCAAGTAGCTGGGATTACAGATGTGCACCACCACGCCTGGCTAATTTTTGTTTGTTTGTTTGTTTGTTTGTTTGTTTGTTTGTTTTTGAGACGGAGTCTCACTGTCGCCCAGGCTGGAGTGCAGTGGCGCGATCTCGGCTCACTGCAAGCTCCGCCTCCCGGGTTCACGCCATTCTCCTGCCTCAGCCTCCCGAGTAGCTGGGACTACAGGCGCCCGTCACCTCGCCCGGCTAATTTTTTGTATTTTTAGTAGAGATGGGGTTTCACCGTGTTAGCCAGGATGGTCTCGATCTCCTGACCTCGTGATCCGCCCACCTCGGCCTCCCAAAGTGCTGGTATTACAGGCGTCAGCCACCGCGCCCGGCCTAATTTTTGTATTTTTAGTAGAGATGGGGTTTCACCATATTGGCCAGACTTGTCCTGAACTCCTGACCTCAAATGATCCACCCGCCTTGGCCTCCCAAAGTGCTGGGATTACAAGCATGAGCCACCACACCCAGCCCAGATACTTCATTTTTGAGAGGATCTTTTTGTCTCCCTCACTAGACTATTAAATCCTTGTGGAAAAAGATGATATTCTCCCACAGGTTTAGTGGTGTTGGGAAAAAAAATTTAAGAAAGATGATATTCCTTTAGTCTCACTTCACCCACTTCTCTCCACACACACACAGTATACCTAGGGTCTGGCACCTCTGTGTGCTCAATAAATGTTTTTTCATTGGATTGATGGGTGATTGGATGAATGACTGAATATCTCTATCAAAGTAACAAAGATATTCCTAAATAAAGAAAAGATGGGGAGTTTTCTCTAGTTAGTTACTGCAGATAATTGAGTAGGACTTTTTGTTCTTGATGTTGATTTTCAGAGAGCACTACGATTTCTGTCTTTAGCCAGGCTCTTTGTGCTTCTTCTGCCTTTTTCTTAGTTGTAAAAAGGAAAAATATATAGAAATTCAATTTCCTGTTTTCATCAGCAATGCAGAAGGAACAACCTGTCTATCCCACCAGCTCCTTTGCTTCTTGAATTGCTAGGCAGGAGTTCCATCTCCGGCCATTTTCTTTAATATCACTTACACTAATGCGTCTTAATTTTTTTCTTTCTCTTTCCTGGTAGTATGTTTCGAAATGCATTACAGCAGTGATGCATTTTTAGTTTCAAGATTTAAAGAATTGACTTGTCTTTTTTTTCCCCCTCTGGGAAAACATGTCCTTTATTATGCCAGTATTTCTGCCAAAAGGTGAAGTAGGAGAAACTTAAGTCATTTTCCTATTAGTATTTGCTGAAAATCTGCCACATTTTTACATGTGCGGTCTCAGGTAGTCCTTGTTGTTTAACATTTGGGGGGTCATTTTGTTTTTATTATTTTCAAGATGGTAGATGTATAGGAAACATTATTTGAAATACCTGAGACAACTTATTACATATAATGAGAATAATGTATCACTAGCTATGTTAACTCCATAGCTTAACATGTTGCTACACTTTATTTATGGGCAGAAGAGTATAATCAAAAGAATGCAGGAGAAAGAAAGCAGGGAAAGAGCCCCATTAAGTTCACAGCCTTTCCCAATCATAAGACAATTGTGACCACGTCTTTCATCTTACTCTGGCATCAAGTCATTTCATCAGAATTTAATGAGGAAAATGGAGGGGCAGGTAGGTGTGTGCTTTAATGACAACAATAAAGTGATAGGTATTTTTTTAATCACCCAAGAAGCTTTATGATGATAGATATTTTTTAAAACCAAATATAAGTCATTTCTTCCCAAAGACATAGAGAATAGTGTAAGATAGGAGCAGCTCCTAGGCCACATTTTGAGGACTACACTTTGATCAGAATACTATGTTTATTCTGAAACTCAAATTTTTCCTAAGATCCAGGCCAAATGTGGTGGCTTACTCCTGTAATTCCAGCATTTTGGAAAGCCAAGGCTGGAAGATCGTTTGAGCCCAGGAATTGGAGACCAGCCTGGGCAACATAGTGAGACTTCATCTCTACTTTAAAAAAAAAAAAAAATTAGCCAGGCTTGCTTGGTGGCATGCACCTGTAGGAGGCTGAGATGGGAGAATCACTTGAGCCCAGGAGTTTGAGGCTGCAGTGAGATCGTGCACCTCACTCCAGCCTATTTAAAAACAAAAACAAAAAAACTCTAAGTTTACAGTTTTGCCTGAACCTAAAATGGATCAACATTCCTGTCAAACTTAAAACTGTCTTTGTGACTATATGGACCTAAATGCAGGCTCTTCAGAAGTTCAACAATAAGCTAAGCATTTGTTTGTTTTGCTTTGGATGTTGTGCTGCTTCAGCCCCCTTTAAAAAAAAAAAAAGAGAGAGAGAGATACTTTAAACACACAGAAAAATTCGGTGTGGTATATAACAAGCACCCAGGTAGCATGTGTCTACTACCCAGATTTAGTAAATATTGATGTTGCCATATTTGCTTCAGTATTTTTTTTGCTTTAGTGTTCCCATCCACCTTCATGTTTTAAGGAAATAAAACATTACAGATATAATTGAAGACTCTTTGTACCCCTCCACAACCCTATCTTTTTTTTTTTTTTGAGACAAGGTCTCACTCTGTTGCCCAGGTTGGGGCTCATTGGCACAATCAAAGCTCACTGCAGCCTCAGCTTGCCAAGCTTAAGCAATCCTCCCACCTCAGCCTCCCAAGTAGCTGGGACTACAGCCGTGTACCACCTGCTCAGCCTTTTTTTTTTTTTTTGTAGAAATGGGGTCTCCCTGTGTTCCCCAGGCTGATCTAGAACTCCTGGGCTGAAGCAGTCCTCCCACCTCAGCTTCCCAAAGTGCTGGTATTACAGGCATGAGCCACTGTGCCTGGCAACCCTATCCTTTCTCTCTGTTTTACAAATAATCCGCAAAACAACCATCATCATAAAATTGTCCTCCTTTTATACTCTGGAAGATAAGTCAGGAGAATTGTGTTGTTCAAGGCCAGCCTGGGCAATACAGCAAGACCCCCATCTCTTTAAAAAAAAAAATTGTGCTCCTTTCCACCTATGATTTTTTTTAATTTTTAATTATTATTTGTTTTTAAATTTTTTTTAGAGATGAGGTCTCACTCTATCACCCAGATTAGAGTGCAGTGCTGCAGTCGTAGCTCACTGCAGCCTCAAACTCCTGAGCTCGAGCAAACCTCCTGCCTCAGCCTCCCAAGTAGCTGGGAGTATAGGAGGAGCAAGCCACCATGCCTAGATCCATCCATGATTTTATGTGCATATGCATTTTAAGTTTGGCAGGGGAGTGTGCTGTTTGTGTTTTGAAAGTTTACTTAAGTGCTATCATCCTACTGTTATCTCTTTTTATTATAGCAATTTCAAACATACAAAGGAGAAGGAATAGTGTAAGGAACATCCATACGTTCACCTAGCTGTAACAGTTATCAAACTCTTGGCCAATCTTTTCAACTACATTCCTGCCCATTTCCCTCTCCCACATTCTTTTTTTTTTTTTTTTTTTTTTCCTGAGATGGAGTCTGCTGTGTGGCCCAGGCTGGAGTGCAGTGATGCTCACTGCAACCTCCACCTCCGTGGCTCAAGCGATTCTCCTGCTTCAGCCTCCCGAGTAGTTGGGACTACAGGCATGCACCACCATGCCCAGCTAATTTTTGTATTTTTAGTAGAGACGGGGTTTTGCCATGTTGGCCAGGCTGGTCTCGAACTTCTGGCCTCAAAGGATCCACCCGCCTCAGCCTCCCAATGTGCTAGGATTATAGGCGTGAGCCACCACGCCCAGCCCCACACTCATTTAAAAACATAATCAATATACTATTATCATGCCTAATCAAATCAACAAGAACCCCTTAATCTTATCAGTTATCTAGTCAATGTTCAGATTTCACTAATTGTCTAAAAAAATTTTTCTTTTACAATTTGTTATCAGCTTTTCTGATCCTACTAATGCTGATTCACTTAAGTTTTTAGGGACACTAGAATTAGCTGAGGAAATGAAGTCAATGTATTTATCTAACACTGTCACTTGCAGTGTGATATTCAGGCTGTTGGTTGTACAGCTTCAGCAAGAATCCATCCCTAGCTTGACAGAAAAGGTGAAGAAGAGGTGACTTATAAAGATATTTTCACTGTTCAATTATGTATATTTTGCAAGCCAAGGATGTGCTTCACACTGAGCTAAGTCCTCTGAGGGTAAAAAAGAAATCAGATACCATGTGGAAGAAGAAACGTCACCAATTAGTGGCTGCAAATGCCTAGAATAGGGATTTCAAATTCAATGCCTGCAGAGGCCAAGCAGGAATGGAAATATACTCAAAAGAGAAGAGAGAGAATAGCCTGAAAGGCACCTCTTCCAGGCTGGGAAATCTGAAAGGTGCATTGAATTGAGCATGCCTGACCAAAATGTTAACTGATTCTCCTTTCTATCCAATTGTCCCCATGCAGGAATACCGGCCTAGTGTTGCCAGATATTCTGATTTTTAAAAATTTGTGTATTTATCGAGGTCAGGAGATCGAGACCATCCTGGCTAACATGGTGAAACCCCGTCTTTATTAAAAATACAAAAAATTAGCCAGGCGTGGTGGCGGGCACCTGTAGTCCCAGCTATGCAGGAGGCTGAGGCAGGAGAATGGCATGAACCCGGGAGGCGGAACTTGCAGTGAGCCGAGATCTCGCCACTGGACTCCAGCCTGGGCAACAGAGCGAGACTGCGTCTCAAACAAAAACAAAATAAAATAAAAATACAAAAAAATTAGCCAGGTGTGGTGGCAGGCGCCTGTGGTCCCAGCTACTCGGGAGGCTGAGGCAGGAGAATGGCTTTGGACCCGGGAGGCGGAGCTTGCAGTGAGCCGAGATCACGCCACTGCACTCCAGCCTGGGCGACAGAGCAAGAGTCCGTATCAAAAAAAAAAAAAAAAAAAAAAATTGTGTATTTATTTATTTATTTATTTTGAGACGGAGGCTGTCTCTGTCGCCCAGGCTAAATTGCAGTGGCGCAATCTCGGCTCACTGCAACCTCCCCCTTGTGGGTTCAAGAGATTCTCCTGCCTCAGCCTCCCGAGTACTGGGACTATAGGCACGTGCCACCACACCCGGCTAATTTTTTTTTTTTTAGATGGAGTCTCGCACTGTCGTCCAGGCTGGAGTGCAGTCGCGCAATGTCTGCTCACTACAAGCTCCGCCTCCTGGGTTCACGCCATTCTCCTGCCTCAGCCTCCAGAGTAGCTGGGACTACAGGCGCCCACCACTTCACCCGGCTAATTTTTTGTACTTTTAGTGAAGACGGGGTTTCACCGTGTTAGCCAGGATGGTCTCAATCTCCTGACCTCGTGATCTGCCCGCCTTGGCCTCGCAAAATGCTGGGATTACAGGTGTGAGCTACTGCGCCTGGCCTTATTTTGAATTTTTTGTATATATTTTTTGAGGCAGAGGCTCACTCTATCGCCCAGTCTGGAGTGCAGTGGCAAGATCACAGCTCACTGCAGCCCTGACCTCTTGGGCTCAGCCTCCCAAGTAGCAAGGACTATGGACCCGCACCACCACACCCGAGTAATTTTTAAATATTTTGTAGGCCTGGTGTGGTGGCACATGCCTGTAATCCTAGCACTTTGGGAGGCCAAGGCGGGTGGATCACTTGAGATCAGGAGTTCGAGACCAGCCTGGCCAACATGGTGAAACCCCCTCTACACTAAAAATACAAAAATTAGCCGGGCGTGGTGGCGCACACCTGTAACAACAACTACTCAGGAGTCTGAGACAGGACTATCGCTTAAATCCAGGAGGCGGAGGTTACAGTGAGCCGAGATTGTGCCACCGCACTCTAGGTGGGTGACAGAGCCAGACTCCATCTCAAAAAAATTAAAATTAAAATTAAAATTAATATTTTGTAGAGACAGCGTTTTGCCATGTTGCCCAGGCTGGTCTCTCGAACTCTTGGCCTCAAGCAATCCTCCCTCATCTGCCTTCCAAAGTGATGGGGTGACAGGCGTGGGCCACCGCACCCAGCCATACTTTTTGTTTGTTTGGTTGGTTGGTTGGTTGGTTTTGAGACAGGGTCTTATCTTACTCTGTCATCCAGCCTGGAGTGCAGCAGTGCAATTACAGCTTGCTGCAGCCTTGACCTCCCAGACTCAAGTGATCCTCCAACCTCAGCCTCCTGAGTAGCTGGGACCACAGGCACACAACCACCATGCCCAGCTAATTTTTGTATTTTTGTAGAGACGGGGTTTCGCCATGTGCAGGCTGGTCTCGACCTCCCGGGCTCAGGCAGTCTTCCTAGCTCAGCCTCCCAAGTAGCTAGGAGTACAGGCACACATCACCATGCCTGGCTAACTTTTTGGTATTTTTTGTAGTGATGGGGTTTCTCCATTTTGGCCAGGCTGGTCTCAAACTCCTGGCCTCAAAGTGATTTGCGTGCCTCGGCCTTCCTAAGTGCTTGGATTATAGGCATGAGTTACCACACCCAGCCAAGACTACTCAAGAAGCCTCTACCAGGCATTTTTTCATTTGGCCTTGCCAGAGTGAATAACAAAGACAGTGGCAGCTTATTTGCCAGGTACACAGTTCCTAGTTGTAAATACTGTTAAAGAAATGGACATAACCCTTTTGTATGCTCTTGAGCAGAATTTGTGTGGCTTGAGCAGAATTGAGGCAGCTCAGCTGCTCCTCATTCTCCACTGATTCTTCACCCTATGACTGGCATGGCAGGCCTGCTTGGGGGCTGCAAGGACACGCTGGGTCTGGTTCCACCTTGTGCATCACTCCCAGTGCTGCTTTCCCCTTTGCTGAACCGCCTCTGCCTGGGGCTTCTGTCATTTCAGCTGGTCATTCAGGTTCCATACTTTAGGTTCTATCTGCCAGTCATTTGCACTTGATTTTAATTTTACTCAGCCAGCATCTGTTGAGTACCCAGCAAATGCCAGATACTGCCAAAATGTATTTTAGCCTTAAGGAACTTCAACTGAAAAGAGACGAAAGTGGAAACCTTACATTGTAATAAAAAGCAGAATGAAGTGCATGCCACCTCGTGGTACAGGTAATGGAAATTTGCTGTGAGATAATAGGAAGATGATCATTCATTCCAACTGGGGATGTTTCTTCAGGAGGAAGGTGATGATATTTGAACTGGGCTTTTTATACTCTTTGCTAGGAAGGACAGAGAAGAAAAAACAAATCTGACTTCATAATCTGCCTGTTTACCCAGACTCTAGTCCTTTTGCTAGTAAACTAAAAATAAAATACCCAGGAAAATCATCTCTTAAAAATATCCAGGGTCTGAAGGACAGATCTCATCCTCTCTTGTTTTTAACCTCTGCCGGGAGACCCAATTAGTCTGTTGGCATCACCACACCCAGATGAAGGCAGTGAGCAATCATTGGAAGCCTGAGCAAACAAGTTCTAGGAGTTCCCCCCTTGCCTGTCCGTGCCTTGCTCTCAGAGCCCTTGGGTTTGTAGGCAAATTGCCCCTCCTTCCCAGTCTTTCAGCTCACTTGACAGCTGCACCTTTTCCAGGCTCCTTGTTGTACTGCCCAGTCCAATGAGTTTGCACATTGTCTTCTGTTTTCACTCTCTTCTGTTGGCAAAGATTCCTGCTCCCTTAGAGAACTGGCTGCCCTGCTCTCCTCTCATACCACTTTCTCTGCCCTTCAACCACTTCTTTTTTTTTTTTTTTTTTTTTTTGAGGTGGAGTCTCACTCTGTCTCCCTGGCTAGAGTGCAGTGGTGCGATCTTGGCTCACTGCAACCTCCACCTCCTGGGTTCAAGTGATTCTCCTGCCTCAGCCTCCCTGAGTAGCTGGGATTACAGACGTGTAGCACACCTGGCTAATTTTTGTATTTGTAGTAAAGACAGTGTTTTGCCATGTTGGCCAGGCTGGCCTTGAACTCCCTGGCCTCATGTGATCTGCCCCGCTTCGGCCTCCCACAGTGCTGGGATTACAGGCGTGAGCCACCACACCTGGCTTCCTTCAACCACTTGCTTCCTCCACCAACCTCTGTCTTGCCAAAGGCAAGCACCAGATGGCCAGTCTCACTCCCCCTCTTCCTGCAGAAGAGCAGGAATAAGAGAGTCAAGGAGGGAAGCAGGCATGTTGCTGGGAAGCCTTTGGTGCAGATAACCTTGGCTACTTAGAGTCTCCAGGTGTGTTCAGTGCTTGTAGAATGAGGTCAGTAAATACCACACTCCACCCCAGGAGAGTGGTCAACAGGCAGCAGGAAAAGGCTTGCCCCAGCTACGGGTGCAGCTGCAAACCATGTTGGGTTAGAAAGGTGAGGGTATCAGGTGTGGTGGTAGAAGAGTTAAGAAGGAAGAAGAGGCCAGGCGCGGTGGTTCATGCCTGTAATCCCAGCACTTTGGGAGGCCGAGGCAGGTGGATCACAAGGTCAGGAGTTCGAGACCAGCCTGACCAACACGGTGAACCCTCATCTCCACTAAAAATACAAAAATTAGCCAGGCATGGTGGTGCGCGCCTGTAATCCCAGCTATTCAGGAGGCTGAGGCAGGAGAATCGCTTGAACCCAGGAGGTGGAGGTTGCAGTGAGCTGAGATTGTGCCACCACACTCCAGCCTGGGTGACAGACCGAGATTCTGTCTCAAAAAAAAAAAAAAAAAAAGGCCGGGCACGGTGGGCTCACGCCTATAATCCCAGCACTTTGGGAGGCCAAGGCGGGCGGATCACGAGGTCAGGAGATCGAGATCATCCTGGCTAACACGGTGAAACCCTGTCTCTACTAAAAAAAAAAAAAAAAAATTAGCCAGGCATGCTGGTGGGCACCTGTAGTCCCAGCTACTCAGGAGGCTGAGGCAGGAGAATGGCATGAACCTGGGAGGCAGAGCTTGCAGTGAGCCCAGATTGCACCACTGCACTCCAGCCTGGGCGACAGAGCGAGACTCCATCTCAAAAAAAAGGAAGAGGACAGGGTGTATCTACAAGCAATACTAAGCCTTGACATCTGTCCTGCACAGGGTTGGTCTCTGTGTCCAGAGTCACTGTTTACATTGATTGGGCCCTGGGTGGTACCTGAGATGCTGGGAGAACTCAGATTCTTTTCTGGACACCTCACTCGACATACCAAGTGTTGGAGCAGCAGGACTGTGGTTCTCTTCTATTCTCAGAGTAGGCTTTAGTCTTTGCTTCTCTTTACCATCAGGAGACCAAGGAGTAAAAGGAAAGCATAGTTAAAAAGAAAACAACAACAAAAATCTCCCAAAGCATCGTGCTCTGCCCTTGCAATAAGAACCAGACAGCACGTGTTCCATGGGAGTCCATTTCAAGCATGACAGTGCTCATGGCGGTGTCTGTCACAGAGGCCCTGGAAGCTGGGAGAGTTCAGGCCTGAGCTGGGAAAGTAGGTTAAAAGCACCCCAGGGTGGCGTAACAAGGAGTCATGTGCTTTTCCTACCTTATGTTCCTGAACTTGGCTGCTTTGATGCTTCTAGGTACTTTCTTCTTTCCCCAGGTTTTCTGTCTTTTTCTTCCCTTTATTACTAGTATTTTTAATTCCCAAAGCAAAACATGTTCAATGTAGAAAAGTCAGAGACTACAGAAAAATCACACATACGGTTGTGTATACAGTGAGAATCCTCCTCACCATCCTATTTCCACTTCCCTTCTTTTGGTGTGCATTTACCTTTTTCTAGGTTCAAATAAATGTATATATTATATACAAATATTAGTTTTGTTTTTTTTTTCCTGTGAGACAGAGTCTGTCACCCAGGCTGGAGTGCAGTGGCACAATCTTGGCTCACTGCAACCTCTGCCTCCCAGATTCAAGTGATTCTCCCACCTCAGCCTCCCAAGTAGCTGGAACTACAGGTGCCTGCCAACATGCCCAGCTAATTGTTGCATTTTTACTAGAGACAGGCTTTCACCATGGTGGCTAGGCTGGTCTCAAACTCCTGACCTCAAGTGATCCGCCTGCCTCTGCCTCCCAAAGTGTTGGGATTACAAGTGTGAGCCACTGCGCCCGGCCGCTTTCTTTTCTTAAATAAAAATGGTACCATATAATGTATTTTTCCTTTTGTATTTGTGATAGTTCTGACTCCTCATTCTCTCTCCTCTTTCCTCAGGGATCCGGTGTGATTAAAGCTGGTTTTGCTGGTGATCAGATCCCCAAATACTGCTTTCCAAACTAGTAAGTCATTCTGTAGCTTAGACGTTTTGGAGGCTCATCAGCTTTGTTACAGGCCCAGCCCTATAAGGGACAGGAGCCGAGTTTGGAGTCAACAAAGGAAAACAGTTGTCTACATGGTACAATTTGAGAGGCACAGATAAGAGGCCTCTTTTTAAAAATCCAATTTTATCTGATGCTAAAAAATTTTATCATTGGTAACTTATTGCTTTGGAGGATTGCCTCTTGGTGGAGCCCTCCTTTTAAAATTCTCCTATCACCCAGGCTGGGGATTAACATTTAACCCATCTACCATCTTTTTTTTTTTTTTTTTTTTTTTGAGACGGAGTCTCGCTGTGTTGCCCAGGCTGGAGTGCAGTGGTGTGATCTTGGCTTACTGCAAGCTCTGCATCCCGGGTTCACACCATTCTGCCTCAGCCTCCCGAGTAGCTGGGACTACAGGCGCCTGCCACCGTGCCTGGCTAATTTTTTTGTATTTTTAGTAGAGATGGGATTTCACCGTATTAGCCAGGATGGTCTTGATCTCCTGACCTCATGGTCTGCCTGCCTCGGCCTCCCAAAGTGCTGGGATTACAGCCCTTCTACCATCTTAATGAGGAGTTTCTCAGAACTTTCCTCCTAAGACAGAGAGACTGCAGGCAGGAGAAGAGCACAGAGGCTTACAGGAAGGGCTTAAAGGGGGAGGAAAGGAAGAGGCTATCTGTCCGATCTATAGCATCACAGTTTTTTTTGTTTTCTGAGATGGAGTCTCATTCTGTAGCCCAGGCTGGAGTGCAGTGGCGCAATCTCGGCTCACTGCAACTCCTGCCTTGCAGGTTCAAGCGATTCTCGTGCCTCAGCCTCCCAAGTAGCTGGGATTATAGGCATGTGCCATCACGCCCAGCTAATGTTTGTATTTTTAGTAGAGATGGGGTTTCACCATGTTGGCCAGGCTGGTCTCAAACTCTTGACCTCAAATGATCCACCTGCCTCAGCCTCCCAAAGTGCTGGGATTATAGGTGTGAGCCATCGAGCCCAGCCCAGCATCAGTTTTACTTAGAGGTCCTGGGAAGGGGACTAAGGACACTAAAATGTTTTGAGTTAATCACTCCTTTAGAAATTCTCATTTCCTCATCTTTCTTGGTCTGTTCATACACTGCAGAAAGAGAAGAACTAGAGGTATTAAATACTCTAAAAATTTGTTTTCATAATTTATAATAAATATAAAATATGAAATAATATATAAATAATACATGTTCATTTTAGAAATTGTGGAAAATACAGAAAAGTATAAAGAAGAAAATCAAAATCAACTGTGACTTCACTCCTTGAAGATAATCTCAGTAGAATTTGAGTGTGTATGTACATCTATACATCCTTCCTGTGTTCTGTCATGAAATGAAAAATGATGGTCCTCCTCACTGTCTTTTCTAGTGTGGGCCGACCCAAGCACGTTCGTGTCATGGCAGGAGCCCTTGAAGGCGACATCTTCATTGGCCCCAAAGCTGAGGTAATTCCCAGGCCTACAGAACAAGCCTTAAGCCAGCAGAGGACCTTCATTATTCACCACATGGAACATGTCCCAACATTTGGACATACCCATAAGTAAAAGGGGCAACTTTCTCTGAAAATCTCCTTTTTGATTCTCTCATCCTAGGCTTAGGTGGTTTATTTTTCCCAGGAACAGCCTGTGGTCTTGGAGAAGAAAATACCTGGGACCTCACTTTGGGACACACTGAGACCAGTCTAGGAAACAGGGCTGTTGTCTTCTGCATCCTGTCACTGCCTTGTCAGTGATCAAATTTACTGTGTTTATTATTTTTTTCACAAAAAATATTCAGTGGGGAGATCCTGGCTGGGGTACCCTAGGGATGAGTTAATTCACACAGCTTTGTCAGAGCCCTCATGCAGCCTCTTGTAAGCAGATAGCAGAATCGCTGTTGCCATCCTTGGCTTCAAGTGCTGAGGCCCAGAGGTGGGAGCCAGGAGATTGTGTCCTGGAACCAGGCAATGAGGAAGATGCCTCCTGCCACTTGCCCTAGAGGCACCTGAGGGGCCATGGAAATGCAGAAGCCCCTGCTTTGCCGGCTCCTCGGGAATGAGGGCAGTTTGCAGCAAACAGTATTTAGCCTTGGAGAATGAGTGCCCACCCTTAGCCCTGGGCAAGGACAGCAGGGTGGAAGCTCAGGAAGCTGAGGCTTCTTTGCAAGGGATTCAGCTTGCACTGCTTAGTCTTGGGAGAACAGGGTCCTGGGTGGAGCCTGACTGCAGTCGTAAGTCCTGTTCTCTTTTCCCAGGAGCACCGAGGGCTGCTTTCAATCCGCTATCCCATGGAGCATGGCATCGTCAAGGATTGGAACGACATGGAACGCATTTGGCAATATGTCTATTCTAAGGACCAGCTGCAGACTTTCTCAGAGGAGGTGAGGATCCTGTGTGTAGGGCACTCCTGTAGGGTATGCAAAGCTGTGTCAAACTCCTACCCTAGAGATGATGAGGAGGACGATGATCACTGCCAAGAGTGCTGGAGCCATTTGATTTTCAGGCATATTCAGATTTAATCTTAACACCATTCCTATGAGATATAGGTAGTATTATCTCATTTTACAAACAAGGGAACAAGTTCAGAAAAGCCAAGTCGTGGCCGGGCGCGGTGGCTCACACCTGTAATCCCAGCACTTTGGGAGGCCGAGGCGGGTGGATCACGAGGTCAGGAGATCGAGACCATCCTGGCTAACACGGTGAAACCCTGTCTCCACTAAAAATACAAAAAATTCTCCGGGCGTGGTGGCGGGCGCCTGTAGTCCCAGCTACTCCGGAGGCTGAGGCAGGAGAATGGCGTGAACCCGGGAGGCGGAGCTTGCAGTGAGCCGAGATTGCGCCACTGTGCTCCAGCCTGGGTGACAGAGTGAGACTCCGTCCCAAAAAAAAAAAAAAAAAAGAAAAGCCAAGTGGTATTTCCAAGGTCACCAAGTGAACAAAGGGTAGAGATGGAATTCAAACCTATGTCTTTTAGAATTCAAAGCCTGTGCTCATTAACTTCTTTCACCCAGACTGGAGTGCAATAGCTCACTGCAGCCTCGACCTCCTGGGCTCAAGTAATCCTCCCATCTCAGCCCCACCCCCCACCATGCCCGGCTAATTTTGTGTGTGTGTGTGTGGTGGGGTTTTGCTCTTGTTGGCCAGGCTGGAGTGCAATGGCGTGATCTAGGCTCACTGCAACCTCTGCCTCCCGGATTCAAATGATTCTCCTGCCTCAGCTTCCCAAGTAGCTGGGATTACAGCATGAGCCATGGCACCTGGCAAATTTTGTATTTTTTGTAGAGACAAGGTTTTGCCATGTTGCCCAGGCTGGTCTCGAACTCCTGGGTTCAGGCAATCTATCCGCCTCCACCTCTCAAAGTGCTGGGATTACAGGCGTGAGCCACCTTGTGCAGCCTGTGCTTATTAACTTGTAAGGAAGTAACTCTCCATTCAAAAATGTAAAGGGAGGCTGGTCACTGTGGGTCATGCCTGTAATCCCAGCACTTTGGGTGGATCTCTTGAGCTCAGGAGTTTGAGACCAAGTTGGGCAGCATGGCGAAACACCACCTCTACTAAAAATATGAAAAAAAAAAAAATAGCCGGGTACAGTGGTGCGTGCCTGTAGTCCCAGCTACTTGAAATGATGAGGTGGGAGGACTGCTTGAGCCTGGGGGCATCGAGGTTGCAGTAAGCCAAGATCGCACCACTGAACTCGCAGCCTGGTGACAGAGTGAGACCTTGTCTCAAAAAAAAAAAAAGAAAGAAAGAAAATGCAGAGAGGTGCAGACTAGGTGTATCAATTTCCAGGTGCAGGTGGGATGTTTTCAGTTTTGGGTTTTTTTTGTTTGCTTTTTTGAGATGGAGTTTCGCTCTTGTGGCCTAGGCTAGAGTGCAATGGCGCAATCTCGGCTCACCGCAACCTCTGCCTCCCAGGTTCAAGCGATTCTCCTGCCTGAGCCTTCCTGAGTAGCTGGGATTACAGGCATGCACCACCACCAAGCCCGGCTAATTTTGTATTTTTAGTAGAGACGGGGTTTCTCCATGTTGGTCAGGCTGGTCTCGAACTCCCGACCTCAGATGATCCGCACGCCTCAGCCTCCCAAGGTGCTGGGATTACAGGTGTGAGCCACCACGCCCGGCTGTTTTCAGACAGTTTTTTTAAAGCAGTGGTCCCCAACCTTTCTGGCACCAGGGACTAGTTTCTTGGAAGACAGTTTTTCCATGGGGGTGGGGGTTTGGGGTGGCCAGATAGTTTCAGGATGAAGCTGTTCCACCTCTGATCATCAGGCATTCAATTCTCATAAGGAGTGCCCAACCTAGATCCCTCACATGCGCAGTTCACAGTAGGGTTCACACTCCTATGAGAATCTAGTGCCTTGGATGATCTGATGGGAGGTGGAGCTCAGACAATAATGCTCGCTTACCTGCCATTCACCTCCTGCTGTGCAGCCTGGTTCCTAACAGGTCACAGACTAGAACTGGTCTGCGGCAGGAATTTAGAGTTTCACAAAATCTTCTTGACAGTTGGAGATACACAGTAGACACAGGGGCCTGTATAACAATCTTGGAGGACAAGGAGGGGAGTTGGGGGGCACAGCTGAGGACAGAATGAAATTTTAAAGTGGGCATTAACTTGAAAAGTTGAGAAAACTACTTGGGCAGGGATAGTTGACAGGCACAGCTTGCCTTTTTTTGGAGTGAGGCTGACTGAAGTCCCCGGGCTCTCAAACCAGCAAGGCAGGGTCTTCTCCCCTAAGACTAATGAAGATGGAAATCTGGCCTTGGCCTCATTGTCTCCCGGGCTCCTTTCACCAGCATCCTGTGCTCCTGACTGAGGCGCCTTTAAACCCACGAAAAAACCGGGAACGAGCTGCCGAAGTTTTCTTCGAGACCTTCAATGTGCCCGCTCTTTTCATCTCCATGCAAGCTGTACTCAGCCTGTGAGTAGCAGCTGGCTAGCCCGGCCCCTGCGGGGAAAGCAGTCCTTTGGCACAGCTGAGGCTGGCTCTCCTCTGGAATGGTTCAGAGTAACTTGAGCCCCCTCTGCTAGGGAAAGGTTAAAGATGGTGGGAAAGAGAGAGAGGCTTTTGCTGAAACTGAGCACTGAGGCTTCGTAGTTGAAAGCAAAGAAGGACATGTGGCTGCTATTGACCATATCCCAGTGTCAGGACTCCTAGTGGGTTTGGTCCCCAAGGCCTTGGCTGGGCCTGCCGAGGCAGCCACATGCTGCAGCAGCTCTTCCCGGAGGCCCCCGTAATGTGTCCACTTATTATTCAGCACTTACTGTGGCCAGCTGCTCTGCCAGGCTGTGAGACAACCATGATCCGAATGCCACCACAGTCCTTGTTCCCATCCCCCGTGGCTCCTGTCACACTCCTACCCCACCTCACACCAGAGTGAGGTCTACGGCAGAGATTATCCACAAGTGACCTACACGTGGGATTTATTTGACCCCATTAACAAACTGTGAGCCAGCATTTAAAAATCAAGAGGTGTCCCATCAAAACCCAAATTTTTGGCTTCTCTGAAAAAATGGGAAGATCTGGGAAGGTCGGGCACACATTCCCACAGGGCAAAAATCAGCTGGAGCTGAAGAGCGGCTGCCACTTGAGATGGGGCTGGCAAGCCCACCCTCCCCACAGCCTGTCCATGCTCTGTTGGCCTCTCCGCACTGAAGCAGGGGGTCAGTTGCCTCACTTGCCTTTTTTTGGAGGGAGGCTGACAAAGGTCCCCGGGCTCTCAAACCAGTAAAGCAGGGTCTTCTCCTGCCTTTGTTTTTTATGGAAGTGAAAAATATTCTTATTTTTCTTTACTCTTACTTTTCCTGCCTGGCCCCTGTTGACATTTGAGGGTTTTTGCCTTTTGTCTAGAGAGTTAAAACTGGCCCCTAGGCTGGGTCTCTGAAGCAGCTGAAGGCCAGGCCATCTCAGACAGGAAGGCCTGCTCTTCTGGGTACGGGGAGGGAACTTGGAGAAGATCAGCAACTTCCGTTCAGGTATTTCATGGCTTGCTCCAACACCTGGGCTTCCTTAGTACCCAGTCCATTCTACAGACCCTGGAGAGAGGCAGGCCCAAGCTTTAGTTTAGCTGACATTGAACCCTAAATAAAGAAGTGTATTTCTTCCCAGCGTGAGGAGGCAGTGCTGAGTGACGGTTTGCCCCTTTGCTTCAGTTACGCTACAGGCAGGACCACAGGGGTGGTGCTGGATTCTGGGGATGGAGTCACCCATGCTGTGCCCATCTATGAGGGCTTTGCCATGCCCCACTCCATCATGCGCATCGACATCGCGGGCCGGGACGTCTCTCGCTTCCTGCGCCTCTACCTGCGTAAGGAGGGCTACGACTTCCACTCATCCTCTGAGTTTGAGATTGTCAAGGCCATAAAAGAAGTAAGTGCTGCCCCCTGGGCCTAGGGATGGAGTGGGGGTTGGGAGCATAGCACCCAGGACCTTGGTGACCTGCCAGTGAAGCCAGGCAAAGCACCTGCCTGGGGGTCCCTGGTGAGGCCTTGTTCTTCCCAGCCAGGTCTCCCCTACGTCACACTGACAGATTCGCCTTCCTGACGTGCTGCCATCTTGTTGGGGGAAAGGGAGCTGCTTCCATTTCTTCAGTTGGGTGATGGCTACATAGGGGCTCAGTATGTTTTTTATACCTTATATGCAAATTACATAGGGTTTGGTTTTGTTTCATTTTGTTTTGTTTCTGAGATGGAGTCTCGCTCTGTCGCCCAGGCTGCAGTGCAATGGTGTGATCTCGGCTCACTGTAACCTCTGCCTCCCGGGTTCAAGCAATCGCTTGAATCCTGCCTCAGCCTCCCAAGTAGCTGGGATTATAGGTGCCTGCCACCACACCCCACTAATTTTTGTATTTTTAGCAGAGACATGGTTTCACCATGTTGATCAGGCTGGTCTCAAACTCCTGACCACAAGTGATCTGCCCGCCTCAGCCTCCCAAAGTGCTAGAATTGCAGCATGAGCTACCGCGCCCACTCCTGGTTTTTTTATTTTTATTTTTTTAACATCCTTGAAGAAGTCATAATACATTTAAAACATTTGTCTTTGTAAGTAAACTGAAACCTCCTGCCACCTGTGGCTATAGGGAAAACTCGAGCTGGGTAGGACCAGAACCATATGAGTGGTAGAAGGAGAAAGATGCCTGGGCCTGGGCTGAACTTAGGTTGTGGTCTCAGACCTAGGATCCAGGGGCCAAGTTTCCAAGCTTGCCCATCAGGAAGGTGGAGCGGTTAAGAACTCATATGCTAAATGCCACCCAGTGAAGGCCAACAGAGACCTCACTGCCCCTGCTTCTGGGCAGCAGCTATAGTGACCATTGGGGCCATCACAACGTTTAGACAGGTTTGTGCAGCAGCACATTCCTCCCCTGGGCCTTTGACTGGATGTGCACCAGATTTCCTGCCAGCCTGACTGTCTTGCTTGGATCTGCAGAGAGCCTGTTACCTATCCATAAACCCCCAAAAGGATGAGACGCTAGAGACAGAGAAAGCTCAGTACTACCTGCCTGATGGCAGCACCATTGAGGTAGGTGGCCTGCCTTCTTTCTTCGGTCCCCTTAGGTCCACAAAAGCTCTGGGCCCAACCAGAATTCTCCATCAGGGTCTGGAGTCTGGCAGGCCAGTCCCTTTACACCAAGCTTGTCCAACCCCTGGCCCATGGGCTGCACGTGGCCCAGGATGGCTTTCAGTAAGGCCCAACACAAAGTCGTAAACTTTCTTAAAACATTATGAGATTCTTTTGCAATTTTTTTTTTTAGCTCAGCAGCTGTCATTAGTGTTAGTGTATATTATGTGTGGCCCAAGACAATTCTTCTTCCAATGTGGCCCAGGGAAGCCAAAAGACTGGACACCCCAGCCTTACACCCTCTCTCTGGAGCAGCAGAGCTCCTGAGCATGAGTGGCCCTGTCTCCTGCAGAGGAGGCAGCCAGAACTTTGCTCCCTCCCGCTAGAGGGGAGGAAGCTCCTAAGGGATTGTCCCACATCAGTATGAGATTAGGAAGTGGGATGGTTAGTGCCATCCTTCACCACACCTGGGTGCAGTGTAGGGTGAGTTACCACTCCCTTGAACCCCCATTGCTAGGAAGACGTTTCCATGAGCAAATAAATCCATGTACTGATGCCAAAGACCTCTTGGCTGGAAAATGCCAGAGCGAGAAGGAAATATAGGAGCCTCCCCTCACTAGTTTCCAGGAGGCCTATCTTTGTTCCTTTAAGCCCTTGACATGTAGAGTCTGTCTTGAGCCTGGCCTTCATAGCCACCCAGTTACTAAGTGACGTGCAGAGGGGCGTCTTCCATTCCCACTCCCAAAGGGACCTTGGTCCCAGCTCCGACCTCTTCAGCTGGCCCTCCTACCTGCAGATTGGTCCTTCCCGATTCCGGGCCCCTGAGTTGCTCTTCAGGCCAGATTTGATTGGAGAGGAGAGTGAAGGCATCCACGAGGTCCTGGTGTTCGCCATTCAGAAGTCAGACATGGACCTGCGGCGCACGCTTTTCTCTAACATTGTCCTCTCAGGAGGCTCTACCCTGTTCAAAGGTTTGTCTCTTCTCTTGGAGCCCTTCCCCTGGAAGTGTTCAGCTCCTGCTGGCTCCAGGCACCCTGAGAATTGACTTGAAGTTCTCCTCTTTGCCCATTCAGGTTTTGGTGACAGGCTCCTGAGTGAAGTGAAGAAACTAGCTCCAAAAGATGTGAAGATCAGGGTAGGAGCATGGTGGGGCCTGGCCTGGGTGGAACTAGGCTTCCATGGACAGAGTGCCACCTGGCGTAGCTTCCCTCTAGCTTTGCCCAAGCTCTTCAAGCAGCCATGGCTCTACAAGCAGCGCCAGGTTCCCAGCCTGTACACTGACCCTGAGGTCTAGGTCAGCCACAGGGAGGCTGAGTTCTCATTCTCCCTCTTCACACCAAAGGCAGGCAGTTCTAATACCCAGATGAGGCAGGGTACTAGGTAGAGGGCCCCCTGCGTGATCTTTCAGGGAAACTATAATCTTAAGAGGAGACTGACTTACTGTTGCTGTGCCCCCTGCCCAGGTGGCTCCCCTGTCACACAGTCTGACACCTTAGTGATAGGTGAAGGAGGTTGGCTGTCTGAGGAGAGCGGGGATCCTAAAGGAAGGAGTACAGTTCTTGCCATGGAGTCTGCTTCTCCCTGCCCCCCCCAATAGTCCCAGCTTCCCTGGGACCTGTGGGGACTGGAAACCTGCTTCCCCAGATGAGTGGCAGGCTGGCCACAGTGCCCTCCAGAGAGGCCAGAGCTTCAGGCTTGTGTAAAATGTATCCCCTGCCATGGGCAGAAAGAGGAGCATTGTAGGGAAAGGGAGCGGGAGGGCTGGAAGTCTCAGATTCCTCTTTCCCCCACCTTTGCAGATATCTGCACCTCAGGAGAGACTGTATTCCACGTGGATTGGGTGAGTAGCTCTTCCAGGAGTAAGAACAGAACAGGAAGTGATGGCACTGATAACCCCTCAGCACCCTCTAAAGAAAAGCCTGATTTGGTTTGGCCCCAGGGGACTGGTAGGCTCCACACACAGCCACTTCTCTCTCACACAGTTCCTCTGGGTTTCCTCCCTCCAGGGGCTCCATCCTTGCCTCCCTGGACACCTTTAAGAAGATGTGGGTCTCCAAAAAGGAATATGAGGAAGACGGTGCCCGATCCATCCACAGAAAAACCTTCTAATGTCGGGACATCATCTTCACCTCTCTCTGAAGTTAACTCCACTTTAAAACTCGCTTTCTTGAGTCGGAGTGTTTGCGAGGAACTGCCTGTGTGTGAGTGCGTGTGTGGATATGAGTGTGTGTGCACATGCGAGTGCCGTGTGGCCCTGGGACCCTGGGCCCAGAAAGGACGATGAACTACCTGCAGTGGTGATGGCCTGAGGCCTGGGGTTGACCACTAACTGGCTCCTGACAGGGAAGAGCGCTGGCAGAGGCTGTGCTCCCTCCTCAGGTGGCCTCTGGCTGGCTGTGGGGGACTCCGTTTACTACCACAGGGAGACAGAGGGAGGTAAGCCATCCCCCGGGAGACCTTGCTGCTGACCATCCTAGGCTGGGCTGGCCCCACCCTCACCCCCACCCCCAGGGTGCCCTGAGGCCCCAGGCAGCTGCTGCCTCCACTATCGATGCCTCCTGACTGCACACTGAGGACTGGGACTGGGGTTGAGTTCTGTCTGGTTTTGTTGCCATTTTGGTTTGGGAGGCTGGAAAAGCACCCCAAGAGCTATTACAGAGACTGGAGTCAGGAGAGAGCAGGAGGCCCTCATGTTCACCAGGGAACAGGACCACACCGGCCACTGGAGGAGGGCAGGAGCAGTCCTCACTCTGAATGGCTGCAGAGTTAATGTTCCCAGCCCAGTCCCCTTTCGGGGGCCTTGGGAGAGTTTAAGGCACCTGCTGGTTCCAGGACCTCGCTTTCCATCTGTTCTTGTTGCAATGCCATCTTCAAACCGTTTTATTTATTGAAGTGTTTGTTCAGTTAGGGGCTGGAGAGAGGGAGCTTGCTGCCTCCTGCCTTGCTACACTAATGTTTACAGCACCTAAGCTTAGCCTCCAGGGCCCCACCTCTCCCAGCTGATGGTGAGCTGACAGTGTCCACAGGTTCCAGGACCATTTGAGATTGGAAGCTACACTCAAAGACACTCCCACCAGGCTCTTTCTCCCTTTTCCTCTTGCTCACTGCCCTGGAATCAACAGGCTGGTTGCTGGTTAGATTTTCTGAAACAGGAGGTAAAATTTTTCTTTGGCAGAGGCCCCTAAGCAAGGGAGGGGTGTTGGAGAGCCAGTGCCCTTAAGACTGGAGAAAGCTGCAATTTACCAAGTTGCCTTTTGCCACTGTAGCTGACCAGGGGACTAGGTTGTAGAGGTGGGAAGGCCCCCTCTGGGCTGATCTTGTGCCATTCTTGACCTTGGACCTGCTTGGTTAAGGAGGGAGTGGGCCAGACCAGAGTGCCAGGAGCTAATGGAGCCAGGCCTGACTCCTAGGAGTGGTCCAAAGGCCTTCAGCCTAGATGGTGCAAAGCTGGGGCCAGCCTGTCTTCACCGGCACCCTCACCTGTGACACCAAGACCCACCCCAATCCCAGACTTCACACAGTATTCTCCCCCACGCCGTCCTATGACCAAAGGCCCCTGCCAGGTGTGGGCCACAGCAGCAGGTATGTGTGAAAGCAACGTAGCGCCCCGCGGACTGCAGTGCGCTTAACCAACTCACCTCCCTTCTCTTAGCCCAAGCCTGTCCCTCGCACAGCCTCGCACAAACCACATTGCCTGGTGGGGCCCAGTGTACTGAAATAAAGTCGTTCCGATAGACACGTCAGCTGGGCCTCTATCTGTCTGTCACCAGGGCCAAGTGGAAAGAGGAAGAGCAGCAGGCACTGAATCTGAGGTGGTGACTGGGCCTGATCCATCCTCTAGAGGGCATCATTGCACCAGCCAGCCTTGTCCAGAGCATAGCCCAAGTCCCAGCCTGTCAGGTGGATGCAGAGAAAAGGGTGATCACACCACAGCCTAAGTTCAAGAACAGAAGGTCCCACTCCTGTGTACACTGTAGCCCATGGGTGAGACTCAACTCCAGATGACAGGAGCAGCTCTCAACATCCCTGAAATCAAAGATTCTCAAAACTGTCAAGTGAATAAGAAGGCCAGGAGCTTGGCCGGGCACGGTGGCTCACGCCACACCTGTAATCCCAGCACTTTGGGAGGCCAAGGCAAGTGCATCATAAGGTCAGGAGTTCAAGACCAGCCTGGCCAAGATGGTGAGATCCCGTCTCTACTAAAAACTACAAAAATTAGCCGGGCGTGGTGGCAGGCGCCTGTAATCCCAGCTACTCAGGAGGCTGACGCAGGAGAATCGCTTGAACCCGGGCAGTAGAGGTTGCAGTGAGCTGAGATCGCACCAGCCTGGGCGACAGAGTAAGACTCTGTCTCAAAAAAAAAAAAAAAAAAAAGAAGAAGGCCAGGAGCTTATTACAGTGCAGTTTCCAGGGCCCATACTCAGATATCCTGATTAATCACTTCTCCGTTTAAAACCTGCACTTGGGAGGAAAATTGCCAGGTCTTTGCCAAATGGTAACTATTTAATCTTCCCAATAACCTTACAAAATATACGTGCTTTTGTTGTCCATTTTACAGATAAGGATTTGGAGCCACAGAAAGATTAAGCAATTTTCCAAAGTTCTGCCTTTTTTTTTTTTTTTTTTTTTTTTTGAGATCATGTCTCACTTTGTCACCAGGCTAGAGTACAGAGGCACAATCTCAATCTCCGCTCACTGCAACCTCTGCCTCCTGGGTTCAAGCAATTCTCCTGCCTCAGCCTCCCAAGTATCTGGGATTACAGGTGCCTGCCACTGTGCCCAGCTAATTTTCATATTTTTAATAAAGATGGGGTTTGACCATGTTGGCCAAGCTAGTCTCGAACTTCTGACCTCAGGTGATCTGCCTGCCTCGGCCTCCCAAAGTGCTGGGATTACAGGTGTGAGCCACCGTGCCCAGCGCTGGCCTTTCTTAATCCCGAATGTAAACCCAGGCCATAGAACCTACAGCCTACATTTTTAATCACCATGCAGCCTGTAAAAAACCATTGGCCTAGAGCAGTGGTTCCCAATTGGAACCAATTTTGCCTCCCAGGACACATCTGGCAATGCCTGGAGATGTATTTGTTTGTCGCAACTGGTGTGTGTGTGGGGTGGGGTGGGGGGTGCTAAATGTCTACAACAGAGAACAATCTGGCCCCAAATATCTCCAGTGCTAGTGCCAAGGTTGAGAAATGGTGGCTGAGAGTCATGGTTTTCAGTGCCAGCTGCATGATAAAATCACCTACAGAGATGTTCAAAATCCTACTGCCCAGGCCATACCCCAGACACATTAAGTCAGAATCCCAAGGAATGGAACTGAGATGTCAGTATTTTTTAAGTTCCCCAGGGGACCCCAAGGCTGAGAACCTCGGGCCTAAAAGAGGCTCCTCTCTCTTTGACTACCATGTCCAGCAGTGATACATGGGAAATGCACTGAGGCCTAATGGTCATTTTGGGCCCGAGTGCCTATGCAGTTACCAATCTATGTTTTTCTCCCTGGCATCTTGGTAACCCACCAAGGTGGGTTTTTTTTTTCTTTGAGATGGAGTCTCATTCTGTCGCCCAGGTTGGAGTGCATGCAGTGGCGCGATCAATGCAACCTCCTCCTCCTGGGTTCAAGCGATTCTCCTGCCCCAGCCTCCCAAGTAGCTGGGATTACAGGCACACACCACTACACCTGGCTAATTTTTGTATTTTTAGTAGAGATGGGGTTTTGCCATGTTGGCTCAGGCTGGTCTCAAACTCCAGACCTCAGGTGATCCACCCACCTCGGCTTCCCAAAGTGCTGGGATTACAGGCATGAGCCACTGCGCCCGGCCTACCTACCACTCTTATTCAGAAAAATGCTCTCAGGGGCTTTTTCTAGTCAGTAAGGAATCCTGGTTCTCAACCCCAGCAACCCACCACTCACTCACACAGCACAGACTTGAGGAAAAAGAATGGCTGACTTTAATCAGTCTATAAGGAAATAAACATCTTTAGAGGCCGTGTGGGGGTGGGGGAGCCCTGCAGCAGAGGAGGCATGCCACTTCAAGCACAGCTGAAGCAGAGAAACCTCTCAGAGAAACCACTAGAAGGGTGGACGGAGTGGGAGGTGGGACTTACAGTCAGCTTTCCCTGACTGGGCAAAAGGGAGCAGTTGCAGTATTAAAAGTGGTTCCTGAGTCCACCACAGCGGCCAGCTCCAGTCAGGCAGCGGGATGGGCTCCCACGCCCCATGGCAGGCCTGTGTGCACCACAGGGCAGCCCCCTCCCTTCTTGGTCCTCTTCTGTCCTCCTGCCTTACAAGAGAAGCACGTCCCTGAGCACATATGGCCCAGCCCTTGCCCAAGCTGAGCCAGACAGGTAAGCAGAGACTTTCACTGCAGTGATGCTTCTGGCTCAGCCCCAGGAGCTACCCGCTGCCATGTCTTCCAGGCTGCACTAGAGGAAGGCAGTGGAGCAGGGTGCTGGTAAAACTAGCTCCTGGCCGAGTGCGGTGGCTCATGCCTGTATTCCCAGCACTTTGGGAGACCAAGGCAGGCAGATCACTTGAGGTCAGGAGTTCGAGACCAGCCTGGCCAATGTGGTGAAACCCTGTCTCTACTAAATAATACAAAAATTAGGTTGGCCACAGTGGCTCACGCCTGTAATCCCAGCACTCTGGGAGGCCGAGGCGGGCTGATCACCTAAGGTCAGGGGTTTGAGACTAGCCTGGCCAACATGATGAAACCCTGTCTCTACTAAAAATACAAAAAGTAGCCGGGCATGGTGGCACGCTCCTATAATCCCACCTACTCGGGAGGCTGAGGCAGGATAATTGCTTGAACCTGGGTGGTGGTTTCAGTGAGCCCAGATTGCACCACTGCAACAGATCCATTTTTTTGGGCAACAGCTCCAAAAAAAAAAAAAAAAAACTATGAAATCCTTAAAAAAAAAACCAAAAAAAACTGGCTCCTTCCCCAGGCTGCCAGCAGCATCCTCAGTGGGGTGACCTTGCCACAGCTCTCACACCATCTTAACATCCAGGGTTTGGGCCTGTGACAGGTTCTGGCGCTGGGCCTTGACCATGTGCAGGCGTCTCCCATGCAGCGTGAACTGGGACCAGGTGAAGAGCTGCAGCAGAGCACAGGTGATGGGCACCAGCACCAGCAGGTAGAAGCAGCCCTGGCGGAGCGTCGGGGCCTGTGCAGGGGCTGGAGCTGGGGGCTCTGGCCAGGGATGGGCACTCCCCACAGGGGTTATGAGGGACTGCTGGAAGAGGTCATGACCTAGGACAAGAGAGCACAGAAAGACCATGGTCAGCCCACTGTCCTCCAAGCCTTGGTGCCCTCCAAGTCTATGGTGTGACATCTCAGACACCACATGGACGTGTCCAGACCACAACTCCTGATTCCTCCAAACCCACTCCTCTCCTACTCTTCCCATCTCAGTGACGGGCACCACCATCCACCCAATAACTCAGGCCCAAAACCTCAAAGTCCTCCTCAGTTCCCTGGTTGGTTTCACGCCATCACTCCCCAACACCCAATCCTTCATCTCCCCCCAACTCCAAAACGTATCCCACCTGCCACCACCCTGGCCCAAGTCTCCACGGCCTCTGCCAGTCTCCCAAAGATGTCCCTGCTGTCCCCATTCTGGCCTCCCTATGATCTGCTGTCCATATGGCAGCCAGAGTGAACTTTTTTTTTTTTGGAAAGAGGGAGTCTCGCTCTGTCACCTAGGCTGGAGTGAAGTAGCACGATCTCCACTCACTGCAACCTCGGCCTCCCAGTTTCAAGCGATTCTCCTGCCTCAGCTTCCCAAATAGCTGGGGCTACAGGCATGCGCCACCACACCCAGCTAATTTTTGTATTTTTTAGTAGAGGCGGGGGTTTCACTATATGTTGACCAGGCTGGTCTCAAACTCCTGACCTCAGGTGATCTGCCCTCCTCAGCCTCCCAAAGTGCTGGGATTACAGGTGTGAGCCACCTCACCCAGCCCAGAGTGAATTTTGTTAAAAAGTCAATCACACTACGTCACTTCCCTGTTTAAAACCCTCCCTGGCCGGGCGTGGTGGCTCATGCCTGTAATCCCAGCACTTTGGGAGGCCAAGGTGGGTGGATCACCTGAGCTCAGGAGTTTGAGACCAGCCTGGGCAACCTGGCAAAACCCCATCTCTACATAAAATACAAAAAGTTACCCAGGCATGGTGGCATACGCCTGTGGTCCCAACTACTTGGGAGGCTAGGTGGCAGGCTCACTTGAACCTGGGAGGTCGAGGCTGCAGTGAGCCAAGATCGTGCCACTGCACTCCAGCCTGGGTGACAGGGAGACCCTATCTCAAAAAGTAAATAAATAAATAAATAAAAATAAAACCCTCCCAACAGCTTGCTTCCAACACTGCCCTGATCAACAAAGTCCTCTTCGCTTTTCCAGCCACATTTCCTAATCACCCCTGACACCCTGGGCCTTTGCGCCTGCTGTTCCCTCTGCCTGCGATTCACTGAGACCTTTTCTAGACAAATCCTTGCCATTCAGCTCACATCCTGAGGGGCACCTTCTCGGAGAGGCCTTCCCTGATAATACTACATAGCTTCTTGGTCACGCCATCTCACATCACCTTAATTTCACCATAACACTATTACTGCCTGATAATGTCTTGTTTGGATGTTTATTGCCAACCCCAGCCCACCCCTGACTAGAATACAAGCTCCGTGGTGGCAAAGACTTTGTCTATCTTATTCATGGTTAGCTCCCTGGCACCCACAGCAGGACCTGCAGAGAAGGGATTCCGTACATATTTGTTGAATGAATGAATAAATGAATGAACTAAGAAAGCATGGCGGAATCGGTGACCCAGTGACTCTAGCCATGTTGAGGGGACGCCAGTTGCCACCTTCCGTCACTGGACCCAGAGCCCAGGCTTGCCAGCCACTGTGCCAGGTAAGCTGTGCCCCCTGGAGCCTTAAGAGCCCTTGCCTGCTACCAGGCCCTCACCTGTGTAGAAACAGAGCAGCCAGGTGCCCAGCAGCGGGGCAAAGGTCTGGCCTGGCTTGGTCACCAAGGCAACCATGCCAAAGAGGAGTGCCGAGGCTGCCTGCTTGCGGTGGTTCAGCACCAGGTCCTCGTCTACCAGGTCAGTGACCACCAAGGTCAGCAGCTTACAGGTGCCCTCAGTGAAGACGCGGTTGCTGCAGTAGAGGGAGAGAGCAGGCAGGAATGAAGGCATGGGATGGAGGTGTTGCGGGGAGCGTGGGCAGGGGCATACCTGGCAATGAAGAGGCACAGCAGGCTGAGGTGGTCCGGGCCGGCCAACAACATGAGCAGGCTAAGTCCCAGCTTGAGCAGGAAGAGCCCCCGCACCACCGCGTAGACGCCCCAGCGCCGGCACAGGGACAGGAAGTAGAGGTTGTTGAGATGGGGAGCGACATAGGAGAGGCCTGGGGAGGAAGACGGGGAGCCACCTTGTCAAGGGCACTGCTGCAGTGCCAGTGAGCGCCATCAGCTTCACAGCCGACTGCATTCCTGTACACTAGCGATGCACTGGGCTCTGTGCTAAGAGCTTCACTGTCTTAGTTCATCTTCACAGCCCCTTAAGGTGAGTACTATTATCATCCCCACTTTACGGATGAGAAAGAGAGGCCCAAAAAGATGAACTAACCCACCTGAGGCTGCCCACCAAATGAGCACAGAGTCAAGACTCACACCCAGGCCCATCAGATGATATTCCTCTGTGTTAACCAGCCACTGCACCCCCTCAGGGTGCCACCATCTCCAAGAGGACCCACACCAGCACAGCCTCCGCCCCCCTCAACACCCACCACACCCTGCCCCCCATGCCCACTGCACCCGGCAGCACTTGGTGTCTTAAAAAGATTGTCCCTGGCTGGGCGCAGTGGCTCACACCTGTAATCCCAGTACTTTGGGAGGCAGAGGCAGGTGGATCACTGGGTCGGGAAATGGAGACCATCCTGGCTAATACGGTGAAACCCCATCTCTACTAAAAATACAGGTCTCTCTCCTTCCAGCTTGCATGAAGCACCCAAGGTCCACACTCACCCAACAGGATGGAGCCCGTGGAAAGGGAGATATGGTCGGACAACAGATGCTCCAGGAAGAGAGGGAAGAAGTTGCTGTTGAAGTGGCAGTGGAAGACCTGCAACCCGACAGGGATGGTGAGGAGGCTTCCAGTGGGAGGAGAGCTGACAAGGCCAGAAGCCAACAGGGGAACACACATCCCCCCCAACTCCCCATCCTCAGAGCAGCAAGAGCGAGAGCAGGCCTTTTTCCCCATGTCCCTAAACACAGAACATGCCAGAACACAACCTAAAACCACATTCCTGGTGCTATCTAACTTTGCTAAAAAGTTAGAAGCCACGGCAAAATAGTACTGGAGCAATTAAAAGCTTTTTCTTTTTAATTGAAAACACATTAGTGAGGCTCGGCACAGGGGCTCACACTTGTAATCCTAGCACCTTAGCACTTTGGGAGGCCAAGGCAGGCAGATCACTTAAGGCCAGGAGTTTGAGACCAGCATGGCCAACATGGCGAAACCCCGTCTCTACTAAAAATATAAAAACTTAGTCGGGTGTTGTGTTGCATGCCTATAATCCCAGCTACCCAGGAAGCTGAGGTGGGAGAATCATTTGAACCCAGGAGGCAGAGGTTGCAGTGAGCCTAGATCATGCCACTACACTCCAGCCTGGGCAACAAAGTGAGAAGAAAAAAAAAAGAAAAGAAAACACATTAGTGAAACAAATTTCATAACATGAAAACAGTTTATTTCTAAGTTCAGCCAGTTTATATACTGCATGTTTTAGGTACAGCACTTAGCTCTTCTTTTTTTAGAGATGGAGCCTTTCTCTGCCGCCCAGGCTGGAGTGCAGTGGTGCAATCATAACTCATTGCAGCCTCGAACTCCTGGGCTCAAGCGGTCTTTCCACCTTGGCGTCCCGAAGTGCTGGGATTACAGGCGTGAGCCACTGCACCTGGCAGTGGTTGCTGTCTTAAAAAGATTGTTAGAGGGTCCCCAAAGGGGGCATCTCTGTCTCATATCCTCACTTTACAGGAGAGGACAGGGCTACCCAGAGAGCCTGAGACCTGCCTAAGATCACATAGGGAGGGAAAAGCTCAGAGGGAGCTAGAATCCAGGCCTCCTGACTACTCAACCTGCATTCCTGCCATCGAATTGCCCAGCAGACCTCCTGGGTGGCCCAGAACTCAGTTCCCAGCTCTTTTTTTTTTTTTCTTTGAGAAGGAGTCTCACTCTGTTGCCCAGACTGGAGTACAGTGGTGCCATCTTAGCTCACTGCAACCTCCGCCTTCCGGGTTCAAGTGATTCTCCTGCCTCAGCCTCCCAAGTAGTTGGAATTACAGATATGCTGGAATTACACCACGCCCAGCTAATTTTTGTATTTTTATGGGGTTTCGCCATGTTAGCCAGGCTGGTCTCGAACCCCTGTCCTCAAGTGATCCACCCACCTCAGCCTCCCAAAGTGCTGGGACTACAGGCATGAGCCACCATGCGTGGCCAAGTTCCCAGCTCTTGAGGAGTCTGTCCCCTTGAGTGAAGTCCAGCCCAGCTGTAGAGGGGCCGGGAGCTGCTCCCCATACCTGCACCAGGTCCATGCTCACGAACCACAGGAAGTTCCGATGGCGTGCCAGCTGCCGGAGATACCGGCCCAAGGTGATGCTGTCCGCCTCCTCACTGCCTACAAGCAGCTCCTCTCCACACAGGCTATGGGGCAGAAGGGAGTGGAGAACTGCCTGGGGCTGGCCAGAGTTATCCCCCAACACATCCCAGGGCAGCCCCCATCAGCCGGGGACCCAGCACCGAAATCAGACTTAGAAGGTTGCTGGTGAGGACCTGAAGAGCCGGGGCTGGCCACTCACCCGCTATCCACAACCAGGCCTGAGCACCCTGGGTCCTTTCGGGCCGCCTCAACCCGCCGCCTCAGCAGCTGTGTGGCCCCCAGAAAGCCCAGCCCAGAGCTGACAGCCAGTGTCACGCAGAAAGCGCGGAAGGAGGAGAAATCCTCCTTGTTCCAAAAGGCATAGGATGCAAAGACAGAGAGGGAGCCGGCCGCGCTGAAGAGGGAGCAGTAGAAGTTGAGGTGGGTGCGGTCGTGGGCTGAGAGGGCCAGGTCGGCCAGCAAGGCATGGTGGTGCAGGTCCACGAGCGTCAGGAAGCCATCATAGAGGCACAGGCACAGCAAGAACTGCAGGCCAGCTGGGGCCCAGGGCACCCAGAACGCCAGGAACGACAGCGCCAGCAGCGGCCCATGCCAGCCCAGGGCCTGCACCCGGGCCAGCACCACAGCCCTTGAGGAGAGCCCGGCGCCTGACCTGCCGGGGAAAGGAGAGTTGTTGGGAGATGCCGTGTCAGACTTGGCAGGCTGAAGTTCCCCTTGCCCAGGCCCCAGGGGAGGGATGGAGGCCCAGGGTGTGGGACTCACAACAGGGTGGTGCCACTGTCCCCTAAGTCCCCAGTCTGCAACTTAGGAAGCACAACTCACCAGTGGGTACACTCTCCTCCTCTGCCCCAATTTCCACCCCCTTATTAGCCTGTTGGGCTGATGGCCAAAGGGTATGGGATGCCCACTTCTCAAGGTTGGGGGTGATGACGGGCTCAAGCAGGGATGGGGCAAAGGAATCTTCCAGAAGCAGCAGAGGGTGTTTGCAGTCCACAGTCCAGAGGGGCCAACCAAGCCAAGCCAGGGTAGATCTCTTCCCCTGCCGAGCCAGGCAAGTGTACGTCCAAGGCCACCTCTCCAACCCAAACAGAGCACCCTGGACCCCAGTAAGGGAAGAGCCATGGGCAACACTGAAATAGTCTCCCCTTCCTTCCCCACCCCAAACACAGGCAGGGGTCCTCCCTCCTGGGTAGCAGTAGGGTGGGACTGAACCAATTACGAGCTGTTCCCAATACACCAACCGGGGCTGGGAGCTGAGGAACTGCCGGTCACTGAGCCAACCGAAGAGGGGGTCATTGAGGCTGTTCCAGAGGAGAAACACTGTCTGCAGGCAGAGGGGAGACAGGAAGGTGGGCTCTAGACAGCATCCTCTCCAGGGCTCCTCCCCCCTCAGCCTGCTCACCACCCCTGAAAGATGGCCCCAGCTTTCCTACCTGCAAACCTTTGCTGGTGTCAGTTCCTCTGCTAAAACCCACTCTGGCCAGGCGCTGGTGGCTCACACCAGCACTTTGGGAGGCCGAGGCAGGTGGATCACCTGAGGTCAGGAGTTTGAGACCAGCCTGGCCAACATGGCGAAACCCCGTCTCTACTAAAAATACAAAAATTAGCCGGGCGTGGTGGCGGGTGCTTGTAATCCCATCTACTCATGAGGTTGAGACAGGAGAATCACTTGAACCACGAAGGCGGAGGTTGCAGTGAGCTGAGATTGCGCCATTGCACTCCAGCCTGTGAGACAAAAGTGAAACTCCATCTCAAAAAAAAAAACAAAAAAACCTACTCTGCCAGTCAAACCACTGCCCCCTTCAAACTCCCACCCATCCAGGGCCCAGCTGGTAAATGTATGCAGCTGATAAATTCATATACGTGAACATATTATATATATGAGTACACAGAACAGCAACTATGTAAGACAGTGGCCAGGAAAGCTAGTCTAGTCCCCATCGAGGAGGAGTCATCAAGGCCTCCACAGCTTTTCTTGATGAGTCTTGGTGAACAACCTGGACTGCCCAGGCCTCTGACTGGGTGGGACCAGGCACCTGCAATCTGCCCAGCAGCCTGGGCAGCCTCTAGTCTCCACCCCACCCCCTCCTCCATGTTAGCCACCCAGCACTGGCCCTACCTCTCCGACCCAGAAGGCCATTTTGTTGATCTTGTACACTGAGACAAAGGTGTCCACATAGTAGAGCAGGAAGACATTGTGCAGGATGGTGGTGAAGAGAGCCAGGGAGCCATAGACCACAGCTGTGGGCAGACCCAGCAACCAGGCCTGGGGCTGACCCAGCCCCATGGCTGCAGCCCCAGCCTTAGCCCCAGGAGCACCGGGGAGGGCTCATGGCCACAGGCGGTCTTCCCATCCTCGTCCCTGGGGAAGAAGGAACCAGTGAGCAACAGGGATCAGAGCCAGCTCTGTTCTTAACCCCAGACCTCTGAATCATTTAAAAACTCATTTCCAACAGGAGAGAGTTTGTACTTACAACAGCGCTGGGAATTATGAATGAAGTATAACAGAAACAGTGCTGAGCTAGACACCACTAATCTGGGAGTGACTCGAGGAAACAGAGAGCCTGTGGGAAGAGACGGCAGACACCCAGCAAGTGCTGAGCCAGGTCGCGTGCCAGGGCTGGATGCTCGATGTCTTTTTTTTTTTTTTGAGACAGAGTCTCGCTCTGTTGCCCAGGCTGGAGTGCAGTAGCCAGATCTCCGCTCACTGTAAGCTCCACCTCCCGGATTCACGCCATTCTCCTGCCTCAGCCTCCCGAGTAGCTGGGACCACAGGCACCCGCCGCCACGCCCGGCTAATTTTTTGTATTTTTAGTAGAGACGGGGTTTCATTCACCAGGATGGTCTCGATCTCCTGACCTTGTGATCCACCCACCTCGGCCTCCCAAAGTGCTGAGATTGCCTCATTGTCTTCTTAAATTGCACTGTGTGACTTTAATGGTCTAGACGGGACAACCCTGAGCTTGGGCACACAATGCACTTACAGTAAAACGTCAGGCAGTTACCCAACCCAGGCCTTAGCTTCCTCTTCTGCAAAAGGTAAAAGGAGATTGTTAGGCCTATTTTGCAAATCATAAGGATTAAACAAGGTAACTCACAGAAAGCACTCACTGTTGGTATTGATAAGGAAGACGGGAAGGGAAGTGCCAGAAACGGAAGAATGTGGTCCCTTTAAATGATATGGAATCAGGGAAGGGAAGTGCTGGGTAGAGGAGGGCGTGGTCCCTGGCTAGGGCTCCACCCCTGGGCCTGACCTAGGTGAGGACAGGCATTTTTTTTTTTCCTGCCCAAATGTTGCATTTCCCAAGACCACCCGGCCCACCACACCCCCATCCTATGCTTATAAAAACCCTGAGACCCAGCCGGGTGCCGTGGCTCACGCCTGTAATAAGGCACTTTGGGAGGCCGGGGTAGGCGGATCACCTGAGGTCAGGAGTTCAAGACCAGCCTGGCCAACACGGTGAAACCCCGTCTCTACTAAAAATACAAAAAATTAGCCGGGCATGGTGGCACATGCCTGTAATCCCAGCTACTAGGGAGGCTGAGGGAGGAGAATTGCTTGAACCCGGGAGGCAGAGGCTGCAGTGAGCCAAGATTGCGCCAACGCACTCTAGCCTGGGCACCAAGAGCGAAACTCAGTCTCAAAAAGAAAAAAAGAAGAAGCACTGTAAGCCTGCAAGTCCCCACCACCACCCCCGTGGGCCACAGTGATCCTATCTTGTCCCAAGGCAGGAGGATGGCCTTTCCCTGAGGCCCTTGAACCCCCTGAAGAAAATGCATTTCTTTTTTTCCTCAAAGCTTTATTCAGGTCTAATTGACAAACACTAAACTGCACAGTTTTCAAAGCATGCAAGCTGATAAGTTTTACCATATGCATGTACCTGTGAAATCATAACCACAAACAAGATAATGAACACATCTATTACCCTACATTCCCTCGACACTGCTTTTCTGAGTAACGTATGTTAAAAAGACATATGGGGCTGGGCGGAGTGGCTCACACCTGTAATCCCAGCACTTTGGGAGGCCAAGGTGGGCAGATCACTTGAGGCCAGGAATTTGAGACCAGTCTGGCCAACATGGCACAACCTCGTCTCTACTAAAAATACAAAAATTAGCCGGCGTGGTGGCGGGCGCCTGTAATCCCAGCTACTGGGGAGCTGAGGCAGGAGAATCGCTTGAACCCCAGAGGTGGAGGTTACAGTGAGCCCAGAACATGCCACTACACTTCAGCCTGGGCGACGGAGCAAGACTCTACCTCAAAAAGAAATAAATACAAATAAATGTTTAAAAATGGTGAGCATTAAAGCTTTACAGATCATTACTATCCAACCTCTCAGCCCTTCCCTAAAATGGAGAGGCCCCATGCCCGCCACACAGGGCTGAGGTGGGAATTAAATGAGACGCTCTCTAAAGGTGCTTAGGGCTGTAAAGCACAATGTCCGCCTCTGTCACTATCCTTAGCAGGGTCACTTACTCCAATTCCTCCAGGGCTTTCAGAACTCTCCTGCCTTTGTCAAAATGGAGTGAAGGCTCCCCCCGCCTACCCAGATGCCCAGTGATTTGTCCTTGTTGCTGGAGAAGGTGAGCCCTGAACACAAGGTCCCCAGCCTCCCCCAGCCACCTCCCTGCACCCACACTGGGTAGAAGAAAACCTCAAAGGTTAATGAGATGGAACAGGTATGACCTTTGCCATCAGCAGGGCCTGGGTTCAAATCCCAACTGTACTTCCTACTAAGAGTGTAACCTCAGGCAATTCAACCCTTCTGGGCCGGAGTTTCCTCATCTATAAAATCAGGTAATAATGCTTATCTTTTTTTTTTTTTTTTTTTTTGAGGTGGAGTCTTGCTCTGTTGCCCAGGCTGGAGTGTAATGGTGCAATCTTGGCTCACTGCAACCTCCGCTTCCCAGGTTCAAGCAATTCTCCCACCTCAGCCTCCCGAGTAGCTGGGATTACAGGCACCTGCCATCATGCCCAGCTTATTTTTGTATTTTTGTAGAGATGGGGTTTCACCATGTTGCCCAGGCTGGTCTTGAACTCCTGACCTCAGGTGATCTACCCACCTCAGCCTCCCAAAGTGCTGGGATTACAGGTGTGAGCCACCGCGCCTGGCCAATAATGCCTATCTTTACAGGGGTACAGAAAGGATTAAACAAATGTCCAGGAAGCACAGAGCACCGTGCTGTCACACGGAAGATGCTCAGAAAGTAGCTTTTTATTGGGCTCACCTAGATCAGGGTAGGAGCAGGTAAATATCCTTGTAATCGGGCTCCTTCCTCAGGTAAGGGAATTTGAAAAGATGGGTCACACGAGGAAAAGTCAGAAGATGGGGGCCTGCAAGGAGCAGGAACACATACAATGTTTGAGAATGCCAAAGACAAACTGCCCCCGGCCCCCTGTAGACCTGTGCCAACTGCAACTTGTCCAGGTAAACAGCCATCCTGGAGAGGAAGCTGAGGCAGGAGTGTGCAGGGTTACTCTTTTAATGTTTTCTCTTCCAGATTCCACTCCTCCATCGGGAAACAGCCTTCTCCCACTTGCCCTCCCCACCCTCAATCTGCCCCAGCAGAGAACAGCAGCCCCACCTCTCCCAGGGAAGAACAGCTTGGAGCCCACACCAGCCTCCTTGCATAAGCTGGTGAGAAATCCTGTAACCTGCAACCAACTCCACCCACCTCCCTGGCACCTTCCAAGACCCACCCTCATGGTCCCAGCTGGTGGCCTTGAGCCAGTCACTCCCTCTCCCTGAGCCTCAGGCTCCTCGCCCACAAAGTGGGGATGTTAATGTCAACCTCTTAGATGGCTGTGGGCTGAAATGCAAAAGGAATTTAAAGCCAAGTGCCTGCTACGTGGAAGACCCTCAATACACAGCAGCTATTTTTTTTTTTTTAAAGATAGAGTCTCGCTCTGTCACGCAGGCTGGAGTGCAGTGGCTCAATCTCAGCTCACTGCAACCTCCGCCTCCTGGGTTCAAGCAATTCTCCTTCCTCAGTCTCCTCAGTAGCTGGGATTACAGGCGCCTGCCACCACACTCGGCTAATTTTTTTTCTTTTTGTAGAGATGGAGTCTTGCTCTGTCGCCCAGGCTGGAGTGCAGTGGCGCAATCTAGGCTCACTGCAACCTCTGCCTCCTGGGTTCAAGCCATTCTCCTGCCTCAGCCTCCTGAGTAGCTGGGATTTACAGGCGCACGCCACCACACTCGGCAAATTTTTTTTTTGTATATTTAGTAGAGACGGGGTTTCACCATATTGGTCAGGCTGGTCTCAAACTCCTGACCTTGTGATCCGCCTGCCTCGGCCTCCCAAAGTACTGGGATTGCAGCCATGAGCCTCCACACCCGGCCTAATTTTTGTATTTTTCATAGAACTGGGGTTTCACCATATTGGCCAGGCTGGTCTTGAACTCCTGACCTCAAGTGATTTACCTGCCTCGGCCTCCCAAAGTGTTGGGATTACAGGTGTGAGCCACTATGCCTGGCCCACAGTAGCCATTTTCTTTTTCTTTTTCCTCTTTTTTTTTTTTTTTTGAGACAGAGTCTCGCTCTGTTGCCCAGGCTGGAGTGCAGTGGCACAATCTCGGCTTACTGCAACCTCTGCCTCCCAGGTTCAAGCAATTCTCCTGCTTCAGCCACCCGAGTAGCTGGGATTACAGGCATGCACCACCACGCCCAGCTAATTTTTGTATTTTTAGTAGAGACAGGGTTTCACCATGTTGGTCAGGTTAGTCTTGAACTCCTGACCTTGTGATCCACCCACCTTGGCCTCCCAAACTGCTGGGATTACAGGCATGAGCCACTGCGCCCGGCCTACAGTAGCCATTTTCTTTCCATTTCTTTGAAGTTTGGTTTCATGATTTTTTTTTTTTTGAGACGGAGTCTCACTCTGTCGCCCAGGCTAGAGTGCAGTGGTGGGATCTTGGCTCACTGCAACCTCCGCCTCCCAGGTTCAAGAAATTTTCCTGCCTCAGCCTCCCAAATGGTTGGGATCACAGGCGTGCGCCACCATGCCTGGCTAATTTTTGTATTTTTTGTACAGACGGGGTTTCGCCACGTTGGCCAGGCTGGTCTTGAACTCCTGACCTCAAGCAATCCGCCCGCCTTGGCCTCCTGAAGTGCTGGCTCACAGGCGAGAGCCACCGTGTGGTTTCATGATCTTTAAAGATCAGTCACTAGGTGGGGCGTTGTGGCTCATGCCTGTAATTTTAGGACTTGGGAAGGCCAAGACAGAAGGATTACTTGGGGCCAGAAGTTAGAGACCAGCTGGGGCAACATCAATCAAAAATAAAAATCATTGACCTTTCTGCCAAATCCATGATTGAAATTGTCTTTCCAGCACCCAAGCTTTATGCCTTTTGCCACCTGGAATATCCTAGCCCCTCTTGTCTGCCATCCATCAAATTCCTTTCTAAATGCCACCTCCACACTTTTGTTCATGCTGTTCCTGTCACCTAAGATACCCTAGGATAACTATATACTATTCCTCAGCCATACAGGGTATGCTTGGCTTTTATATCCATCATCAGACCCCTTACAGCTCTGTTACTATCTGCATTCACGTTCTGTACATGAAGAAACCAAGGCTCTGAAGATTAAATAACAGGCCCAAGTTACAAAGCTAGTAGGTGCTGGAGTCAAGATTCAAAACAGGTTTTGACTAAAACAACAGCGTTCTCACTTCATCATCCCCCCCACACCCTGCCCCCATCTTATCAAATCCTGCTCATCCAGTGTCACGGCTTTCCCAAGCACACCCAATCACGTGTTCTCTCCCGTTTTCCCCCTTATCAGGCATCCAAATGCCTCCCTTCCCCTCCTCCAGCCCACAGGCTTCTTAAAAGCAGGGCTGATACCGGGCGCGGTGGCTCACGCCTGTAATCCCAGCACTTGGGGAGGCCGACGCGGGCGAATCACGAGGTCAGGAGATCGAGATCATCCTGGCTAACACGATGAAACCTCCTCTCTACTAAAAATACAAAAATTAGCCAGGCGTGGTGGCGGGCACGCCTGTAGTACCAGCTTACTCGGGAGGCTGAGGCAGAATAGCGTGAACCCGGGAGGAGGAGCTTGCAGTGAGCCGAAATCGCGCCACTGCACTCCAGCCTGGAGGACAGAGTGAGACTCCGTCTCTTAAAAAAAAAAAAAAAAAAAGCAGGGCTGGGTTAGTCCCGCCCTTGATCCCTGCCCTTTGCCTCCACCAGGCTCCCTCAGCTTGCTCAGTCAATCCCTGCTGGGTCGATTGGCCCCTAAAAGGTCAATATCAACAACATCCTCAGCCCTAGGGAACAGCAGCAGCAGTCATAGGAAAACTGTCATCTTCAGACCCCACTGTGCCCCTCCTAGCTCTGTGTTCTGCTTAACTGTGGGAGTCAGAGAGAAGGGGCAGCCTGGGAGGCTTGATGTGCCTCTCTGAGTAAGACACTAAAGCAAGGCAGCAGGTACAAAGAAGAATAGTGATCATAACAGAGGAACATTTATTAAGCTTTCGCCGGGTGCACAGCACTGTGCTAAGAGACACAGAAACAATCTGGGAAGAGAGCTCAGAGCAGCGCGGGAGAAAGGGGCCACATCAGGAAGGGTTTTGTAAACCTTGTGCAAGATTCTATGCTGAGGACAACAGGTGGGGCGCTGGGGGTGGGGAAGTGACAGATCTGTTTGGAAGAAGCCCTCTAGCAGGTGTCAAAACTCTTCCCCTTCACCCTACCAGGCCCCTGGTAGGTAAAGACTAGAAAGGGATGGAAGCAGCAACATCTCCCTGATTTCTGAACCAACCTATGGTGGGTGGGGGAGGTTGATGAATTTAGTGGCGGAAACCAAGAATGCCGAACTGGGCCCCTGGAGTGAGAGGTATCAGACTGTACAAGAGACATTAGTGCAGAGGTAAAAGCTAAGAAGAGGCATAATTTGGAGTCAGGAGCCCTGGGTCAGGTGTGAACATTATCTTTAACTTACTATCTGAGTCTATTCCTACATCTGTGAAGCAGAGAAAACAATTCCATTCTCTGCCTATCCTCAGGAATACCAAATGAACAAATGAACATGAAAGGTATAATATGTGCCCTTTTCTCAACAGGCAGCTGACCCCTGAATTGTCTGCTGTGTTTCCTGTTTCACTCTCGGGGTCTTGTCTTCCTGCCCAGTCTCCCCACAGCAGGGTCTAGCACCAGGGTTGGGGGGTGGGGGCCCATCCTCCTCCTCCGGCTGGAAATGAGCTTTCAACTTGTTGAGATGGGGACCTTCTCCCTCTCCCTCCCCCACAGGTCCCAGAAGAGGCGACAGCTTCACCTCAGGACCACCCACCCCTCCCAAGCCACTGAGGAGTTTGGGATCAGCCCAGGAGCTCTTCACTCAATAGCTGGTGCTGAAACACGTGTAGGGCTGCTCCCCACCGCCTGCACGTTAAAATCACCTGAGGAGCTGTGCAATAATACCGAGGCCCAGGCCTCACCCAGAACAGTTAAATCGGAATCTCTTCGGGCGGGCCCAGCATCGGTGTTTTTCAAAGCTCCCCAAGTGCCACCAGGGTTAAATGCCTTTATGCTAATGGCACGGATCCCGACCTGACCAGTGCATCCCTCGATCCCAGACCACCAGGGAGCTATTTGACCCACTGCATCCCTTTCCTCCAGACCCCCGGAGAGCCTTTCTGCGAGGATTCCACCCTTGCCCCCTTGAACCCCGCTTCTTCCGCCCGGACCACACAACTCTCCCAATCCACAATATGATCACCCCAAAGACCCCCGCAGATAGCCCCCATGACTCCCAGAGCGCAAAGCATTCCCCTCCCCCTCGGGTCTGTCGTTTGTGCCAGATCGGCCCCAGCCCAGCCCGCTCCTGCCCGCGAGCCCCGGCCGCTGGCCAGCGTCTCACCGCAATCGTAGCCGGCGAAGCCTAATCCCACGGCTGGCGGGAGCCAGGTGCGAGCCAATGCGCCTGCGCGCACTTCTAGGGCTTCCCCAGCCTCTCCCTCCGCCCCCGCCCAGCGATTGGCTCCGCGCGGCCCCCGGGCGCAGCTCCGGCAGGTGACTGCGCCTGAGGCTGCCGCCGCCATGTTTGTCACGGGCGCTTGCCCTTAGCGACCAAAATTAAAAGCGGACACTGGCAAATAGGGTCAGGTTGCCTGGATTCCTGACCGGCTCAACCCCTCTCCTTTACCTCCACGATAGCTTAATGTCATTTCAGTTGAAACCAACACGTTTTTTCTAAGCGCTCACCTTCCTTCCCTCCTTGCCTAGTACTCGTTGGGAGAACAAAGAGAGGTCAGCATCCTCCATTGAGTCTTGTGGTCTGAGCGGATGCACAGCTGCAGCCGACTTGGAGGTGTCAGCGGCTCGATCTGGGACTCCCTGATGCTGCATCATGAGCCCTTCAAGGGTGGACAGGTCCAGGTTGAGCTGTGGGCACCAGGGCTCTAGCCACAGGAGCCAGGGCTGAAGGTGGGAAACAGCCACCAGGGCCTGAATGAGCAACCATGCAGCACAACCTCTTTGTATTAATAACGGCAATAATAAAACCTAAGGAGTACTGAGTGCTTGCTATGTGCACCGTACTACATTCAGAACAACACGTGCATTCTCTTGTTGAGTCCTCACATCATTCCTAGGAGGTAGGCGCTTTTATCCACATTTTATATGTGAAGAAACTGCATTTCAGAGAGATTCAATGACACGCAAACAGCAAGGGCCCAGTCGAGGTGGAACCCGCTATCCTGACTCCCATAACAAGAGTCTTTCCTCTTCCCACACCTGCACAATCCCTCAAAATCAAGTTTTGTTTGGCTCAATGTAGGCTGTGGAGGATGTTTTATGTTTTCTCCCAATTGGCCTGTAAGCCTGGATAGGTTTTTGGGCAAGCAAACAGCACACATTCCAGCTCTGCCTGGTTCCCCTACCTTGGGACACAGGGCAAAAAGCCTGTGGCCTTTGCCTTATGGGGGACTTGGAACTCAACCCCTAGCTCCAACACTTCTTTGCTAAGGGACTTCTTTATTATTATTTTTTGAAACAGGGTCTTGCTCTGTTGCTCAGGCTAGAGTGCAGTGGTGGCATGATCTCAGCTCACTGTAACCTCCACCTCCCTGGCTCAGATGATCCTCTCACCTTAGCCTCCCAAGTTGCTGGGACCACCACCTCACTCCACCATGCCTGGCTAATTTCTAGAATTATTTGTAGAGATGGAGTCTCACTATGTTACCCAGGCTGGTCTTGAACTCCTGGGCTCAAGGGACCCTCCCGCTTCAGCCTCCCAAAGTGCTGGAATGATAAGCGTGAGTCACTGCACCTGGCTGGGACCCTCCTTTTGTGAGTCTGTTTTATGCTTTACAGGGATTTTTCAGACATTAAATGAGAAACAAGGGTGTAGGAGCTTTGTGAACTGCTCATCCTTATGACCTTCATTGATGGTTGTCGGCTAACTTCCTGCAACAGGAATGTTGTCCTCCTCCTAACAACCACAGCAAATGGTCCAATGTAGACGCCTAGTGTCCAGGGGCTACAGATTATTCAACCAGTTCCTGAGGAGCCCCCAGGGATGCCATGAACCTTGCCCCCAGAATCCATCTCCCACTAACCTGTCTCATTTCCCTCCTTCCCAATCTCTCTCTTTCGGACACCCTTCACACTTCCCATGTCACCCCAAGCCACACATACACGCACACACATACATACAACCATCTCTCTTCTAGACTTAGACAACTGCTGAAACTCCTCCTGATCCAGAAAGCCTCATGAGTAGAAGACAGGTGATCATTTTGTCCCTCTCCTCACCTCTTACCTCCATCTGTGCTTTCCTGGCTGTGAGAACAGAAAACCCAGCATTCAGCCTGGGGTCCGGCACACTGGGATCTCCATACATTTGCTAAAGGAGTCTCCCCGCCTTTCTATCTGTGGCCAGCATGTGCTTTTATTTCAAAGCAAACCCGAGTCTTTACTTAGCCCTCCCTGGGTATCCAGTGGGGAAATGGAAATGGGGAGGGCTGGCAGGGGCCAGAGCTGGATGTGACCCAGGAGAAAAGACCTTTGGTCCCTCACAGCCAGGCAAGGTGGCTCACACCTGTAATCCCAGCACTTTGGGAGGCTGAGGTGGTTGGATCACGAGGTCAGGAGATCGAGACCATCCTGGCCAACATAGTGAAACCCCATCTCTACTAAAATACTAAAATTAGCTGGGCGTGGTAGCGTGTGCCTGTAATCCCAGCTACTCAGGAGGCTGAGGGAGGAGAACTGCTTGATCCAGGGAATCGGAATTTGCAGTGAGCCAAGATTGCACCACTGCACTCCAGCCTAGCGACAGAGTGAGACTCTGGCTAAAAAAAAAAAAAAAAGAAAAACAGAAAAAAGAAAAAAAGAAAAGACCTTTGGTCTCTCACGTTGCACTTAATGCCCCACAGTTACACTCTGAGGCCCCTCAACCCTCTGATTATATAGACAACGTAGCCAGTTACCTTTTATGTCAGCATCAGGGCAGGGCCTTGTGATTCTGTCTGATTTCTCTTTGTGGTTGCCAGTCACAGAGCTAACTGGGAGGGGAAATGCAATGAACTAGAGGCCATATCACCTCCCTAACTCATTGAGCCATACCGGAGTCCCTGGACCATGGGACAGATAGATTGTGCACTCTCTGTCTTTGAAATTCTCTCCTCCCTTTACTTCCCACCTCTCTGATCTAGTTTCTGCCATGTTCTCTTCCTACCTAATAATTCCTCCTCAGTCCCCTTCACTGCGGCACTTTCTCCCAGGGCCTCTAAAGGAAAAGGGAGGGTGTCCCAAGTTTCCATCTTGAATACTCATATACTCACTCAAACTTTTAATCCATGCCAGGCCACAGGCTGTGAGGTAAAGGGGACTTCAAAAACAAGATTGCTGGCCAGGTGCGGTGGCTCACGCCTGTAATCCCAGAACTTTGGGAGGCCGAGGTGGGCGGATCACCTGAGGTAAGGAGTTTGAAACCAGTCTGGCCAATATGGTGAAACCCCATCTCTACTAAAAAACACACAAAAAATTAGCCAGGCCCGGTGATGGATGCCTGTAATCCCAGCTACTTAGGAGGCTGAGGCAGGAGAATCGCTTGAACCCGGGAGGCGGAGGTTGCAGTGAGCCAAGATCGCGCCACTGCACTCCAGCCTGTTGACAGAGCAAGACTCTGTCTCAAAAAATAAAAAAAACAAGATAGCTACCTGCAAGAGGCGTTGAGTGGGGTCCAAACAAGCTGGCAGCCAAGATGTCAATAGTGTGATAGGGACCAGATGGAGACAAGCCCAGGGTGGCAGCTGTTACGGTAATTTCACCTAGTACCTTTTCCTTCATGACTACTTCCACACCTCCCATGTCCAACCTGAAGAGAATATCCAGAATGGCCCATCCGAATTCACCATTCCTTAAACTTCCAATCTCCCTCCAGCATTTTCTACCTCCAGGACTGCCTTAACTGTCCATTGAGGTGGCCAAGGCGGAAACATGTGCATCCACCCTCCATCCTACGCACTTCATCAAAACCACCATCTTGGATCAAGTCCAGGTGAATCCTACTCCCATCTGTCTTTTCCATCCCTTGCTCCTGTTTGGTTCTCAGCTTTCATAAGCTAACACGAGAACCTCCTCCATGACTAGCTTCCACCCCCACGCTCTCTAATCTGTCCTCCATTTTGCCCTCAAGTGAGTTTCCGATCGCAAGCTTCCCTGAGCAAAAGCTTCTCAGGTTGCTATATACTGAAAATTTTCATGGCCAGATGCAGTGGCTCACATCTGTAATCCTAGCACCTTGGGAGTCTGAGGCATGAGGATCGCTTGAGCCCAGGAGGTGGAGACCAGCCTGGGCAACATAGTGAGACTCCATCTCTATAAAAAATTTCAAAAAATAAAAAAATCAGGCCGGGTGCAGTGGCTCACAACTGTAATCCCAGCACTTTAGGAGGCCAAGGTGGACGGATCACAAGGTCAGGATATCGAGACCATCCTGGCCAACATGGTGAAATCCCGTCTCTACTAAAATACAAAAAATTAGCCGAGCACGGTGGCACACGCCTATAGTCCCAGCAACTCGGGAGGCTGAGGCAGGGGAATCGCTTGAACCCGGGGGGTTGCAGTGAGCCGAGATCGCGCCACTGCACTCCAGCCTGGGCAACAGAGTGAGACTCTGTCTCAAAAAGTAGTAATAAAATAAAAAATTTTTAAAAATTATGTGGAATGTGGTGAGGCACACCTGTAGTTCCAACTACTCAGGAGGCTAAGGTGGGAGGATTGCTTGAGCCCAGCTATGACCACACCACTGCTCTCCAGCCTGGGTGAAAGAGACTCGTCTAAAAAAAAATTTTTTTTCATAATTCATAACAAAGTGCTGGCGGGGGGGGGGACGGTTAGGAAATATCCTGGGGTGTATCATTGGTGGAAGCAATAGACCATTTAAACTAGCTTAAATAAAGAAGGAATTTACTGGCCTGTGTAAGTTAAGTCCAGGACCCTTTCTGATTTCTGTCCTGGGAAAAGCAGAAAATCCCCTCCACCCAACAAGAAAATAAAGTCCTAGGCTTGACTTGCATTGGCCCATATCATGTCAAGGGCTAGCCCAAGTCAATCACTATGGCCAGAGGGATGGCTGTGCTGAAAGGCTTAGCCCTAAATCACCCAAACCTAAGGATACAGTAGATTCAACTCCACCAGAACTACTTTCCTGAGAATAGATAAGGTGTGGGACTTCAAAATACTGGGGACTGGCACTGGAATCAGGGTGAACAAATACTGAGAAACTCACAGCTTGGCCATTATTTTTCTCATTTTGCCTGAAAATTTCCTTCCCAGGCTCCACTTGAGCTTCGTCTTGCTTGCTCCCCACTCTCCACCCAGAAGAGATGGAAAACCTGGCCAGTGCCATGGGTCCACTACTGAACTCCAGGCTGGGGTGTGGTCAGTCCATGGATAGCCGTGAATACTCCCAGGTGCTGGGATTTTAGGACAGGGACGAAGTTATAAACAGGAGCAGGGAGGTGTATTAGTTTCCTACTGATGTTGTAACAAATCACCACAAACTTGGTGGCTGAAAACAAGACAAGTTTATTTTCTTACAGTCCTGGAAGTCAGAAATCTGAAATGGCTCACTGACAAGGGGTTGGCAGGACCGCATCCCTTCTGGAGGCTCCAGGGGAGAATCCATTTTCTTGCTTTTTTCAGCTCCCAGAGCCTGCCTGCATTCCCTGGCTCATGACCGTCTTCCGTATTCAAAGCCGGTGATGGCTGGTTAAGTCTTTCAGTCATTGCATCACTCTGCCTCTGACTCAGCCACCTCACTATTCCACAGTTAAGGACCCTTGTGATTACATTGGGTCCACCCAGATAATCCAGGATCATCTCCTTATCTTAAGGTCAGCCCATTAGCAACCTTACTGCCATCTGCAACCTTACTTCTCCCTGGTCATGTAATATAACATATTCGCAGGTTTCCGGGGTGACATTATGAACATTTTGGGGGGGGAATGTCTTTTAAATTCTCTCATTCTGGAACCAGTCCTTACAGCAGAGAGAGGGCGAGGTTCCTAAGGAGTTTTGTAATGGGGCCCTTGAGATTTCAGCACCCCAGCATTTTAATTTTTTCCTGAGCAATTAATACTTAAAATTTTAAAGTTTTTTGTATATATTTGTGGGGTATATATGATGTTTTGATACAAGCATGCAATGTGAACTAATCACATAATGGAGAATGGAGTGCCCCCCAGCATTTTTAGTGACTAAAAAAATGAGAATTCTGATCACAGGCCAGGCACGGTGGCTCAAGCCTATAATCCCAGTACTTTGGGAAGCCAAGGCAGGATGATCACCTGAGCCCAGGAGTTCAAGACCAGCCTGGGTAACATAGTGGGATCTCATCTCTACAAAAATTAGTCGGGTGTGGTTGGTGCACACCTGTGGTCCTAGCTACTCAGGAAGCTGAGGTAGGAGGATCACTTGAGCCCAGATCAAGGTTGCAGTGAGCCCTGGTCATGCCACTGAACTCCTGTGGGGAAAAGAAAGAGAGATCAGATTGTTACTGTGTCTGTGTAGAAAAAAGTAGACATAGGAGACTCCATTTTGTTCTGTAAGAAAAATTCTTCTGCCTTAAGATGCTGTTAATCTGTAACCCTACCCCCAACCCTGTGCTCCCTGAGACATGTGCTGTGTCAACTCAGGGTTAAATGGCTTAAGGGCTGTGCAAGGTGTGCTTTGTTAAACAAATGCTTGAAGGCAGCATGCTTGTTAAGAGTCATCACCACTCCCTAATCTCAAGTACCCAGGGACAAAAAACACTGCGGAAGGCCGCAGGGACCTCTGCCTAGGAAAGCCAGGTATTGTCCAAGGTTTCTCCCTATGTGATAGCCTGAGATTTGGCCTCGTGGGAAGGGAAAGACCTGACCGTCCCCCAGCCCGACACCCGTAAAGGGTCTGTGCTGAGGAGGATTAGTAAAAGAGGAAGGAATGCCTCGTTGCAGTTCAGACAAGAGGAAGGCATCTGTCTCCTGCTCATCCCTGGGCAATGGAACGTCTCGGTGTAAAACCCGATTGTATATTCCATCTGCTGAGATAGGGGAAAACCGCCTTAGGGCTGGAGGTGGGACATGCGGGCAGCAATACTGCTCTTCAAGGCATTGGGATGTTTATGTGTATACATATCTAAAGCACAGCACTTAATTCTTTACCTTATGATGCAGAGACCTTTGTTCACTGTTTACCTGCTGACCTTCTCTCCACTATTATCCTATGACCCTGCCACATCCCCCTCTCCGAGAAACACCCAATAATGATCAATAAATACTAAGGGAACTCAGAGGCTGGGGGGATCCTCCGTGTGCTGAACGCCGGTCCCATGGGCCCCCTTTTTTCTTTCTCTATACTTTGTCTCTGTGTCTCTTTCTTTTCCAAGTCTCTCGTTCCACCTAACGAGAAAAACCCACAGGTGTGGAGGGGCAACCCACCCCTTCACACTCCAGCCTGGGTGACAGAATGAGACCTTGTCAAAAAGAAAAAAAAAAAGAAAAAAAATTCTGATCAGGCCGATGCTTGCTTGCACGTGCTAACCACTCACTTTTTGCCCAATATTCCTTGTTCCCACAATATAAACTGCTGATGTGCTGTTTCTTGGTCAAGCAGGAAGAGGTAACTTTGTGGTCATGAAAAAAAATTGCAGGCCAGGCACAGTGGCTCATGCCTGTAATCCCAGCACTTTGGGAGGCCGAGGTGGGTGAATCACCCGAGGTCTGGAGTTCAAGACCAGCTGACCAATATGGTGAAACTCCGTCTCTACTAAAAATACAAAAAATTAGCTGGCCATGGTGGCGCATGCCTGTAATCCCAGCTACTTGGGAGGCTGAGATAGGAGAATGGCTTGAACCCGGGAGGCGGAGGTTGCAGTGAGCCAAGATCCCCGCCATTGCACTCCAGCCTGGACAAAAAGAGCAAAACTCCGTCTCAAAAAAAAAAAATTGCAGGAATGAATGCCTTGAAGGACGTTGTGACCAGCTGCTGATGCCCAGAAGTCTGGTGGCTCAAGGGGTTATCTGAGACTGAAGAAACACAGACTTTTACCCTGGGTTCCCTGAAATGCCCCCTCCGTCACTCCTTAGTCACATTAAAAACTCCCTGCTGCTTTTTGAGACAGGCTCTCAGTCTGCCACCCAGGCTGTAGTGCAGTGGTATGAACACAGCTCACTGCAGGCTTGACCTCCTGGGCTCAAGTGATCATTCTGCCTCAGCGCCCCAAGTAACTGGAACTACAGGCACATGCCACCATGCCTGGTTTTTTTTTTTTTTTTTTTTTGTAGAGCCGGTGTTTCACCATGTTGCCCAGGCTGATCTCGAACTCCTGAGCTCAAGCAGTCCACCTGCCTCAGCCTCCAAAAGTGCTAGGATTACAGGTGTAAGCCACCCTGCTGCTTTTTTTCTGTTAATAGGGATTTGAGAGATTTGCTCTCCCGCCTTCTCACTTTGGCCAAATCAAATAAACCTTTCTCTATCTCCCACTGTTTGGCCTTAGCTGTGCATCAGGTTCACCAGCCTGAATCTGGGTTTCTATGACAGTGTTAGAGTCCAAATGAAACCCTAACCAGGCCCCTTTTTTCCATCCACAGCCCAGCCCCAGCACCTGCCTTCAAAAGGACTGGCCCGAATTAAGACTTGGAGCAGTGGCTCAGTCACGAATAGCATGACATCACCAGGGTGAGTCACCAAATGGTGGCCACCACCAGAGGGTAGCTGAGTTTTGAGGGATACTGAGAACCCAGAAGAACCTTTCTGTCAGGGCTGCTGGTGATACTGCTTCAGTCAACAGGAGATGGGGAAGGAAAGTGTGGCAACATGGCAGCCCTGCAGCTGGGAGACGGTTTCAGTTTTAATCATCCATAACTACCACTCTCCCCACTGGAGAAGGAAGAGGTGCAGGGGTTGTGACCCACACCAGAAGGGACTGGAACTCAGACAGGGCTCACCCCATCTGGATGAAGCAATCTTCCTGCCTTCACTCAAATGGCTTCTGGCCTTTGACATCAGTTGGACTGGGTTCAAATTCCACTGTGGTACTTACAGGCTGTGTGAACCTGGGACAGTGGCCTAACTTCTCTGAGCCTCTGGTTCCTTATCTACTAAAAGAGCATGACATCACTATGCACTTCACATAGCTATTAAGAATTTAAAGTAGGCCGGGCGCAGTAGCTCATCCTTGTAATCCCAAAACTTTGGGAGGCCAAGGTGGGCGGATCACGGGGTTGGGAGTTCAAGACCAGTCTGGCCAATATGGTGAAACGCCATTTCTACTAAAAAATACAAAAATTAGCCAGGTGTGGTGGGGCACGCCTGTAGTCCCACCTACTTGGGAGGCTGAGGCAGAAGAATCGCTTGAAGCTGGGAGGCAGAGGTTGCAGTAAGCCAAGATCGTGCCACCGCACTCCAGCCTGGGCGACAGAGCAAGATTCTGTCTCAAAAAAAAAAAAAAAAAAAAGGAAGAAAAGAATTTAAAGCAGCCGGGCGCGATGGCTCACGCCTGTAAAATCAGCACTTTGGGAAGCCAAGGAGGGTGGATCACCTGAGGTCAGGAGTTCGGGACCAGCCTGGCCAACATAGTGAAAACCCCGTCTCTACTAAAACTACAAAAATTAGCAGGAGGTGGTGGTGCACCTGTAATCCCAGCTCCTCGGGAGGCTGAGGTGGGAGAATCGCTTGAACCTGGAAGACGGTGGCTGCAGTGTGCCGAGATCATGCCGCTGCACTCCAGCCTAGACAACAGAGCAAGACCCCATCTCAAAAAAAAAAAAAAAAAAATTAAAGCGCTTATGTAACATTCTAGAGTGGGAGGACTTCGAGACAGTCTGCGAGAAGCTCCTGCACAGGTGGGCAATAAGACCAACATTGTGAGCCTGAGTCTTGAGACAGACTGGGGGTTGAATTTTGCCCTTACTATAGCCAGCTGTGTGAGTTGGGATGAGTTATTTAACCTACATAAGCTCCAGTCACTGAATACACTGGACACCAACTGTGAGGCAAGCAGCTTTTTGCTATGGAAAGCAGGGGTAATATCAGTACCCCCCTTCCTCGGATCGACATAACTTGCAGTTAGATGCTCCCAGACAACTCGATTCAGTGTCTGGTGTGCAGGAGTTTCACTCAAATGTGAGGATAACCCAATCCACCTGCAGGCGCTGGGAGGCTGGGGTGTAGTGACTGGGAGCTAACCGGATTAGACAGCCATCAGTAATACTGTAGGAAGGGCATCCTTGTAGGGTGGGGCCACTACGACCAGTACGGCTCACCCAGGTGTAGACAGACGCTGGTAGCTCCTGGCCAGCTCAAGGTGTTTCCTTTTGCCTGGTAACCAGGAGGAGTGGCTGAGGCAGGGCATGGAGCGGAGCAACGCAGCTACAAAGTGCGGAGAGGAGCCCCGCTCTGGATCCCGCCGGCTCCCCAAGGCTGAAGGAGACAAGTGAGTGGGGAGTCACTGGGAAGAGCATCCCGGCGGAGGGCTTGAAAAGGCTCCTTATTGTCTGCTGGGAGCCTGAGGCTCTGCCCGACCTTGGGACAAGAGGCTAGGCGGGGAGCTGAATGTTCGATTTGGGATGAATTCCCCCAAAGCCATGAACCGGCGTCCCGGGGAACCGGCCCACAGGGACAGGAGGCGGTTAAGTAGAAAGTCTGTCTACATATCCCTTCCTCCGCCGCAGGTCTGGATCCGCAGGAGCCCCCAGTAAGAACAGCAGCCGCCTGGGGGGCCGACCATGTATGTGTACAGCTGGCCGCCGCCCAAACAGGGCGTCTGGCCGCCGCCGCCGCAGCTGCTCACCTGCACCTACCTGGCCGCCCCTCTGCTGCTACCCCCAGTCCAGGCCCACAGCTTCCGCAGCCGGCCCGGGAGCCTGCATGCGGGCGAGTGGGCGGCCCCACGGGAATACCACCGCTTCTACGGCCCCGCCGCGCCACCCGAGGCCGCGCCGCCCTGGTGGGCCTGCCCTCCGGCCTACGCCACGACCCTGCGCCGGCCCTGCGCCGCCGCCGGCATCTCGGGACTGTCGCTGCAGGCGCCCGCGGCGGTGGCCGAGAGCTGGGCGCCGTGGCCGGAGGGCGGGAGCCTGCAAACCGAGCTGCGCTGGGGCCGCGTGGAGCGCGCGCGGGGCCCCCCTCTGCAGCTACCGGACTTCGTGCGCCGGGAGCTGCGGCGCGCGTACGGCACCTACCCCCGCGCCGACGTGCGCGTCACCCAGCGCCGCGGCCAGTTCCTGCTGCAGGCGACGCCGCGCGTGCTCGAGCCCGACCACCGCGTGGAGTGGCGCGTGCGGCGCCGGCCCGACAGCGGCGACAGCAGCCCAGCCCGGGAAGCCGCGGAGCGCGGCCGCCCCAGGAAGAGCAAGGGCCTGAGCTGAAGCCGCCGCAAGGCCTAGGGGCGGGCCCGCGTGCACGCGCTTGGCTCTTTCCTGTGTGTGCCGCCGCCGACAGGCAGAAGTGAGCCCTCACCTGTGCGCGGGAGGCGGACGCGCTGCTCACCTGTCTTTTTGGCTTCTCCCATGACTGCCGGCCAGTTTCCTGCACTTGTTTCTCTCGCTTTATTGCTGGACGGTGGGAGAAGGGCAAGTGCAAGACGGAATCGAGGGCACCTCTGGGTGTTCTGTACCTCTTTTCTTCTTGCACCTTGGGAAGTGGAGGACGTGGGATGGAAGAAGGGCCTGGACCTCCCTCCTTCCTCCTCCCCACCTTCTCCTAAGGAGCTTGCCCTGCAGTAAGCCCCAACTTTCCCTTCCTCTTTTCCCTCTATCAGAGTCGTCGCCCACCCCCCTTTCCCACCGCTCCCCTACCCCCGCCTTCCTGCCAAGCCGAGGGCGACGGTGATCCCCAGCTTAGTAAGAAAAGTAAATAGGCCGGGCGCGGTAGCTCACGCCTGGAATCCCAGCACTGTGGGAGGCCGAGGCGGGCGGATCGCTTGAGCCCAGGAGACCAGGTTGGAGACCAGCCTAGGCAACATGGCGAAACCCTGTCTCTACAAAAAAAAAAAAAAAAAAAAATAGCCGGGTGTGCTGATACACTACTGTAGTCCCACCTACTCGGGAGGCGGAGATGGGAGGATCACCTGAGCCCGAGAGGGCGGGGCTGCAAGGAGCCGCGAACGCACCACTGCACTCCAGCCTGGGTGACTGAAACCCTGTCTCAAAAACAAAAACAAACAAAAAAAAAAACAATAAATAAATGAGCGAAGTCAAGTATACACTGCGAGATCATTGTTATGTTTTGGGGTGGTGTTTCTCCATCTGTTTATCTGTTTAATGGGAGTCTTACCGCCCACCCTGGGGTACAGGAAGGTAGGGTGGAGGGGCGTGAAGTTGAACTGGCCCTCTGGAGAAAGCATGTGTCTGATCGCTGGGCCCAGCTGCCCTCTTCACCATCTCCCTCCAAGTGTGCAGGCCAGCACCTTCTAACTCTCCTTGGTCCTTTGGCCCACCACCCTCCGAGATGCTGAGGGCATAAGCTCTATTTTTGAAGTGTGGAAGGCTTCACTAGGAGAGGGATGTCTGAGACCTGAGTTTAGGGCTGGCTCTGACATTTTCTACCTGTGTAACTTAAGGCTTTCTGACTCTCAGTTTCTTCATCAGTAAAAGAGGCGTAAAAGTAACCCAGCCTAATTGGAAGTTAAGATGAATGTCTCGGCCCGGCCTAATTGGAAGTTAAGATGAATGTCTCCGCCCGGCGCGGTGGCTCATGCCTGTAATCCCAGCACTTTGGGAGGCCAAGGTGGGCGGATCACGAGGTCAGGAGATCCAGACCATCCTGGATAACACGGTGAAACCCCGTCTCTACTAAAAATACAAAGAATTAGCCGGGCGAGGTGGTGGGCGCCTGTAGTCCCAGCTACTCGGGAGGCTGAGGCAGGAGAATGGCGTGAACCCGGGAGGCGGAGTTTGCAGTGAGCCGAGATGGCCCCACTGCACTCCAGCCTGGGCGACAGAGCGAGACTCCGTCTCAAAAAAAAAAAAAAAAAAAAAAGATGAATGTATCTTCTTGTCTCCCAATTCTTGCTAATAATCGTTAATTCTTAATAGGCTGAGGTTTGCAATATTCTAGGAGTTTTCTGGAATGTTAGGCCACATAGCCAATTTTAACTAGGATCTAGCCAGATTTGAGGCCCAGCTGTAGAAATTTCTTTTACTGAACTTCCATTTGTAACTGACCAATAGTTACCTGGGTATACACAGGTGAGTTATTGAAGCTGTAGGCCAGCTGATTGGGCACTGCTGTATTTGTGAGCTTCTTGGAGAAGTTGTCTCAAACCTCAGCCCTTGGAAAAGGTGTTTCTCCTGATCAGTGGTTTGCTTTTGTCTTTTAAGCGCTACGAATCTCATTACTGATCATATTTTTCTTTTGGTCCTGGTTTCCAAGGAGCTCAGAGCCAAATTTGCTTTGTGTCTTTTTTTTTTTTTTTTTTTGAAACAGAGTCTCACTCTGTTGTCCAGGCTGCAGTGTAGTGGCATGATCTCAGCTCACTGCAGCTGCAACCTCCACCTCCTGGTTCAAGCGCTTCTCCTGCCTCAGCCTTCCAAGTAGCTGGGATTATAGGTGTGTGCCACTACGCCCAGCTAATTTTTGTATTTTTAGTAGAGATGGGGTTTTCCCATGATGGCCAGGCTGGTGTCAAACTCCTGGCCTCAAGTGATCTGCCCGCCTTGGCCTCATTAAGTGCTGGGATCACAGGCATGGCCACCGTGCCCGGCCTGCTTAGTGTCTTTTATATAAAACCTGCATCCTGAACTCTGTTATCCCTAGTTTCACCTTATTTTTCCTTTGTAAAAAATTATAAAACACAAGAAGGTGAGGTGGCATAGTGTGATGGGTCTGCTGTGTGACCTTGGGCAAATTAATGTCCATGAAACAGTTTCCCCATCCCAAATGGGGATGATGATACAAAAACCTATCTCATGAGGTTATTGAGAAGATGCCATGACATCTGTGTTTCTACAGTGCACAGAAAGCATTTACCACGGTGCCTGGCATGTGTTAAGTGCTAAAATGTTAGTGTTTGTTTGTTTGTTTGTTCGTTTTGAGATGGAGTCTCAGTCTGTCACCCAGGCTGGAGTGCAGTGGCACAATCTTGGCTCACTGCAACCTCTGCCTCCTGGGTTCCAGCGATTCTCCTGCCTCAGCCTCCCAAGCAGGTGGGACTATAGGCATGCGCCACCACACCCGGCTAATTTTTTTTTTCTTTTTTTGAGGTGGAGTCTGGCTCTGTCTCCCAGGCTGGAGTGCAGTGGCATGATCTTGACTCACTGCAACCTCTGCCTCCTGGGATTCTCTGCCTCAGCCTCCCAAGTAGCTGGGATTACAGGAGCACGCCACCATGCCTGGCAAATTTTTTTGTATTTTTAGTATGGACAGGGTTTCACCATCTTGGCCAGGCTGGTCTTGAACTCCTGACCCCGTGATCCACCCACCTCAGCCTCCCAAAGTGCTGGGATTACAGGCATGAGCCACCACGCCCAGCCTGTATTTTTTTTTTTTTTAGTAGAGATGGGGTTTCACCATATTGGTCAGGCTGGTCTTGAACTCCTGACCGCGTGATCTGCCTGCCTCGGCCTCCTAGAGTGCTGGGATTACAGGCGTGAGCCACTGCACCTGGCCAGTGTTTGATTTAAACATAGTTTGCAATACAGAAATATGTGATATAGGAAGTTAAATTCTTTTCTGATTTCCCTCACCCCTTAATGATCATTGAGGTCCAATCTACTATTTTTCTATGCACAAAAAAAAATATATATATATATATGTGTGTATATATATATGTGTGTGTGTGTATATATATATATGTATGTATGTATGTATTTTAGACGGAGTTTCGCTCTTGTCACCCAGGCTGCTGGAGTGCAATGGTGCCATCTCAGCTCACTGCAACCTCTGCCTCCTGGGTCCAAGCAATTCTTCTCCCAAATAGCTGGGATTAGAGGCACACGCCACCATGCCCGGCTAATTTTTTTGTATTTTTAGTGGAGACAGTGTTTCACCATGTTGGTCAAGCTGGTCTTGAACTGCTGACCTCAAGTGATCCACCCGCCTCAGCCTCCCAAAGTGCTGGGATTACAGGCGTGAGCCACCCCACCCAGGCTTTATTTTTATTTTTATTTCTTATTTTATTTTATTTTATTTTATTTTTTTGAGACGGAGTCTCGCTCCATCACCCAGGCTTGAGTGCAGTGGGGCAATCTCAGTTCATTGCAACCTCCACCTCCCGGGTTCAAGCAATTCTCCTGCCGCAGCCTCCAAAGTAGCTGAGATTATGGGTGTGGGCCACCATGCCCAGCTAATTTTTGTATTTTTAGTAGAGACAGTGTTTCACCATGTTGGCCAAGCTGGTCTCAAAGTGCTGACCTCAGGTAATCCATCCACCTCAAACTCCCAAAGTGGTGAGATTACAGGTGTGAGCCATCACATCCGGTCTATTTTTATTTTTGATTTAGAAAATAAGTGTCAGAACTTACTTTAGAATAAGATGGCTTCTCTGAGCAGGTGACATTTAAACTGAGATCTAAAGAATGCAAAGTTAACCATGCAGAGAAGGGTGAGGGGGAAGCCAGGCAGAGAGTATGGTGAGTGCAGAAGCCCTAAGGAGTGAAAGTTATCTTCATTCACTTAACAGGCATTGAGAGCCCAAATATGCCAGTCAGAATTCCAGGTACTGGGGCTACAGCAGAAAACCAAACAAGTCTCTGCCCTCATGGATCTTACATTAGAGGTGTAACAGAGGAGGAGAGACTGACAAGCAAATAGGTGAATATGTGATATAGCGTCAAATAGTGATAATTGATGGGTGGTGTTTTAAATGGGATTGAGGAGGCTTCTCCCAAGAGGTGACTTGAGTATAGTCATAATAAAGACCTTTGCAAGTCATTTGAGTACCTGGGGAAGAAAAGCAGGTATGACCACCCTGTGGATGAGTGTCCTTGTCCTGTGAGCAAGCACATGTGATAAGAGATTAAGCAGAACCTGTGGTGCAATGAAGCTGTATTGAGAATTTTGGATTTTATTCTTTTTTTTTTTTTTGAGACGGAGTCTCACTCTGTCGCCCAGGCTGGGCTGGAGTGCAGTGGTGTGATCTCTGCTCACTGCAATCTCCGCCTCTTTGATTCAAGTGATTCTCCTGCCTCAGCCTCCTGAGTAGCTATAGCTGGGATTACAGGCACGCACCACTATGGCCGGCTAATTTTTTGTATTTTTAGTAGAGATGGGGTTTCACCATGTTGGTCAGGCTGGTCTCGAACTCCTGACCTTGTGATCCACCCACCTCGGCCTCCCAAAGTGCTGGGATTACAGGAGCAAGCCACAGTGCCCGGCTGGATTTTATTATTAGTGGGTGGAGGGTTATGAGCATAGGAGTAATGTTATCAGATTTAAAAATTATTATTATTCTGGCTGCTATGTGGAAAAGAGACTATAGAGGGGTCATCATGGAAATGGGGGGCAGTTAGGCTTTGAAGTACAGTCATGCACCCCATAATGACGGTTCAGTTGACGACGGAGCGCATATATGATGGTGGTCCCTTAAGATTATAATGCTATATTCTTACTGTAACTTTTCTGTTTAGATACACAAACACTTACCATTGTGTTCAATTGTCTTCAGTATTCAGTACAGCCTCAAACTGTACAGGTTTGTAGCCTAGGAGCAATAGGCTCTACCATATGGCCTAGGTGTGTAGTAGGCTTTACCATCTAGATTTGTGTAAGTACACTCTAGAATGTTCAGACAATGACAAAATGGCCTAATGATGCACTTCTCAGAATGTATCCCCATCATTAAGCAATACATGACTGTAATACAGGAAATAGAAGACATGACTTCGTTTTATTTGGAAGTAGTAAGGGTGATGAGAAAATAAATGTCCTTGAATATGCATCTTTGTTCACATATACAAGTATTAAATTGTCGAATGTAAAGTCTTTGAGATGGAAACTGAATCACTGAACAATGACAGCTAGTAGCAATAAGAATGACCAAAATCCAGGTCTTTAGTTCTTTTTTTGTTTTGTTTTGTTTTGTTTTGTGGGGGGACAGAGTCTCACTCTGTCGCCCGGGCTGGAGTGCAATGGCGCAATCTCAGCAGCTCACTGCAACCTCCGCCTCGCAGGTTCAAGCGATTCTCCTGCCTCAGCCTCCTGAGTAGCTGGGATTACAGGCGCCCACCACCACTAATTTTTGGATTTTTAGTAGAGACTGGGTTTCACCATGTTGGCCAGTCTGGTCTCGAACTCCTGACCTCGTGATTGGCCCTCCTCGGCCTCCCAAAGTGCTAGGATTACAGGTGTGAGCCACCGCACCCGGCCGCTTCAGGTCTTTAGTTCTAAATTCCATTCCCAACTAAAAGGAATGAGGGTCCTTGGGAAAATGGCTGATTCCAGGTCTGGGGCAGTGAAGGTACATGAGGAGCCTAGAACAACTTATTCCAGAAAATAAAGGACTGCTCAAAAATGTCAAAAGTACAGCTGGGCGCGGTGGCTCACGCCTGTAATCCCAGCACTTTGGGAGGCGGAGGCGGGCGGATCACGAGGTCAGGAGATCAAGACCATCCTGGCTAACACGGTGAAACCCCGTCTCTACTAAAAATACAAAAAATTAGCCGGGCTTGGTGGCGGGCGCCTGTAGTCCCAGCTACTCGGTAGGCTGAGGCAGGAAAATGGCGTGAACCTGGGAGGTGGAGCTTGCAGTGAGCCGAGATGGCGCCACTGCACTCCAGCCTGGGCGACAGAGTGAGACTCCATCTCAAAAAAAAAAAGTCAAAAGTACAAAGAAGCCAGCTTCAAGGGAATTCCACTGGCCAAATTAGGGACAATTTAAGCATCAAAACAAATAATGACAGTAATTCATTATAACTCATTGAAAAAAATAAGAATCCATAAGTCCATACTAATAATCACTAAATAAATAAATATGAAGGAAAAACTAATCCTTACAGTAGAAGGAATAATAAAATTAGAAAATTGCCATTCCCAGTGCGGTGGCTCACGCCTGTAATCCCAGCACTTTGGGAGGCCGAGGCGGGCAGATCGATCACCTGAGGTCGGGAGTTGGAGACCAGCCTGACCAACATGGAGAAACCCCGTCTCTATTAACAGTACAAAATTAGCCAGGCATGGTGGCACATGCCTGTAATCCCAGCTACTCGGGAGGCTGAGGCAGAAGAATTGCTTGAACCCAGGAGGCGGAGATTGTGGTGAGCTGAGATCGCAGCCATTGCACTCCAGCCTGGGCAACAAGAGTGAAACTCCATCTCGGGGAAAAAAAATAAAGAAAAGAAAAGAAAAAAAGGCTGGGCGCCATGGCTCACGCCTGTAATCCCAGCACTTTGGGAGGCCGAGGTGGGCAGTTCACCTGAGGTCAGAAGTTCAAGACAGCCTGGTCAACATGGTGAAACCCCGTCTCTACTAAATATACAAAAATTAGGCGGGCGTGGTGGCGGGCGCCTGTAATCCCAGCTACTCGGGAGGCTGAGGCAGGAGCATTGCTGGAACCCGGGAGGCAGAGGTTGCAGTGAGCTGCTGAGATCGTGCCATTGCGCTCCAGCCTGGGCAACAAGAGCGAAACTTCTTCTCAAAAAAAAAAAAAGAAAGGAAAGAAAAGAAAATTGCCATTCCCATCCCAGCCATCATAGTAATAATTGATTCAGGTGATACTAAATTGATTCAGGTCACTCATGGATAATAAAACTAATGAGTACAAATTTGAATAAAAACAGGATATTTATTTAGTTTAGTTTCAAAATATGTTCCAATAAGATATTTATTAATTACAAAGCGAAAAAGAGTAAGCTAGTCGTATAATAGGGAAAACTGGTGTATATCACCTTAACTAAGTTATCAAAGCTGTAGGGTCCCCCAGTGTCTGTCCCCTATTTCTGTGTCTTGACCCAAAGATCACAGAGTCCTTTTGATCCCTCTGTGACCCAACATGTTTTACCCTGAAGGCTTGAACCCACACTGGGGTCTTGAACATTTCCTGGCACTGATAAAATTATCTAGGTTGTTACCAAAACAGAAAGAAACAAGCCCCAGCCCTGAGCCAAATGCCTTAAAGGCTCACATAAACTCTATCCCCTGACCACTTTGCTTGGATATACCTAGGGGGATCACCGCTTTTCTGTTACTGTCTGTCGTGAGGATTGCTGTAGCACTCTGTACGTAAGGTTCCCCTAATAAATGCTTTGGACTGGCTGACCATGGCAGCTCACATCTGTGATCCTAGCACTTTGGGAGGCTGAGGAAGGAGGATGGCATGAGCTCAGTAGTTTGAGACCAGCCTGGGCAACATAGCAAGACCTCTCTCTACTAAAAAAAAAAAAAAAAAAAGAAATTAGCTGGGTGTGGGGGTGTCTGCCTGTAGTCCCAGCTACTTGGGAGACTGAGGTGGGAGGATCGCTTGAGCCCAAGAGATTGAGGCTGCAGTAAGCTATGATTGTGTGACTGCACTCCAGTCTGGGCAACAGAGCAAGCGAGACCCTGTCTAAATGAATAAATAAATGCTTTGGACTGATCACCCTGTTGTTTATTTAGTGCTAAGTGCTACTTCCCTTGGAATCCCAACTGGCCCCACCTGGAAAAGGTCTGGGGCACTCCCTTGTGGAAACTCCCCTGCTAAGGCTTTTGGGGTGATTCCAACTGTGGGTTCAGCAGGATGAAACAAGTTGACATTATCATTAGAGGGGACAAATCAACATCATAAGCTTCCTGATATGTTAAAAAACACAACATCAGTTCAGCAGTAATGCAGTCATGAGGAAACCTCAGATAAACCTAAACGGAGAGATGATTCCACTTGTCTGTATTGCTCAAAAATGGCAATGTCATAAAAGACTATGACACCAGCCCAGCGCGGTGGCTCAAACCTGTAATTTCATCACTTTAGGAGGCCTAGGTGGGTGTATCGCTTGAACCCCAGAGTTCAAGGACAGCCTGGGACACATAGAAAAACCTCATCTCTACAAAAAATACAAAAATTAGCCGGGCATGGTGATGTGCACCTGTGGTCCCAACTACTCGTGAGGCTGAGGTGGAAGGATCGCTTGAGCCTGGCAGGTACAGGCAGCAGTGAGCTGTGATCATGCCACTGCACTCCAGCCTGAGTGACAAAGTGAGACCCTGTCTCAAAAAAAGACTATGGGAACTTGAGAAATGTCTCAGATTCAAAGGAGGCTAAAAAGGCATGAAAACTAAATGCAATGCATAATCCTGGATTGGATCCTGAACCAAAATAAAACCTGTTACGAAGGACATTACTGGGACAAGTAGCAAGATTTGAATAAGAACTATAGATTATGCTCAGCCATGGGGATAAGATCATGCCCAGCCCTTTCTTTTCTTTCTTTCTTTCTTTTTTTTTTTTTTTGAGATGGAGTCTTGCTCTGTCGCCCAGGCTGGAGTGCAGTGGCACAATCTTGGCTCACTGAAAGCTCTGCCTCCTGGGTTCACGCCATTCTCCTGCCTCAGCCTCCAGAGTAGCTGGGACTACAGGCCGCCATCACGCCCGGCTCATTTTTTGTATTTTTAGTAGAGACGGGGTTTTACTGTGTTAGCCAGGATGGTCTCGATCTCCTGACCTCGTGATCTGCCCACCTCGGCCTCCCAAAGTGCTGGGATTACAGGCGTGAGCCACTGTGCCCAGCCTTGTTTTTAATTTTTTATAGAGACAGGGTCTAGGAGATGTTGCCAGGTGGTCTTAAAGGATCCTCCCACTTCAGCCTCCTAAAGCACTGGCATAACAGGTATGAGTCATTGTACTGGGACCCAACCAATGAGCTTTTTTTTTTAAATCCCCTTGAGACAGGGTCTCACTCTGTTGCCCAGGGCTGGAGTGCAGTGGCAGAATCATTGCTCACTGCAGCCTCGACCTTTTGGGCTCAATCAATCCTCCCTCCTCAGCTTCCCTAGTAACTGGGACTATAGGCGTGTGCCACTACACCCAGCTAAGTTTTTATATTTTTAGTAGAGACAGGGTTTCACCACGTTGCCCAGGTTGGTCTCAAAGGAACTCCTGGACTCAAGTGATCCACTTGCTTTGATCTCCCAAAGTGTTGGGATTACAGGCGTGAGCCACTGCACGAGTGAGCTTTTTTTTTTTTTTTTTTTTTTGAGACAGAGTCTCTCTCTGTCACCCAGGCTGGAGTGCACTGGCGCCATCTCAGCTCACTGCAACCTCCACCTCCTGGGTTCAAGCAATTCTCCTGCCTCAGCCTTCTGAGTAGCTGGGACTACAGGCGCCCGCCACCACGCCCGGCTAATTTTTGTGTTTTTAGTAGAGACAGGGTTTCACCGTGTTGGCCAGGATGGTCTTGATCTCCTGACCTCGTGACCCACCCGCCTCAGCCTCCCAAAGTGCTGGGATTACAGGCATGAGCCACCACGCCCGGCCGAGCTTATCTTTTAAACCTCTTTTTTACATAGTGCTAACATTAGACAGTATTTACTTTTTCAAAATAATTTATTTATTTTTATTTATTTGTTTTGAGACAGATCTTGCTCTGTCGCCCAGGCTCGAGTGCACTGGTGCAATTACTGCTCCCTGCAGCCTCACACTCTTGGGCTCAAGTGATCCTTCTGCCTCAGGCTCCTGAATAGCTGGGAATACAAGCCCTCGCCAATGCACCTGGCTTTTTTTTTTTTTTTTTTTGAGACAGAGTCTCGCTCTGTCGCCCAGGCTGGAGTGCTGTGGCGTGATCTCGGCTCACTGCAAGCCCCGCCTCCCAGGTTCAAGCCATTCTCTTGCCTCAGCCTCCCGAGTATCTGGGACTACAGGCGCCCGCCACCGTGCCCGGATAATTTTTTGTATTTTTAGTAGAGACGGGGTTTCACCATGTTAGCCAGGATGGTCTTGATCTCCTGACCTCGTGATCCACCCGCTTCGGCCTCCCAAAGTGCAGGGATTACAGGCATGAGCCACTGCGCCCGGCCGCACCTGGCTTTGATTTTACTTTTTTTTTTAATTTTTTATTTTTTGAGACGGAGTCTTGCTCTGTCCCCCAGGCTGGAGTGCAGTGGCGCGATCTCGGCTCACTGCAAGCTCCGCCTCCCGGGTTCACGCCATTCTCCTGCCTTAGCCTCAGAGTAGCTGGGACTACAGGCGCCCGCCACCATGCCTGGCTAATTTTTTGTATTTTTTTAGTAGAGATGGGGTTTCACCATGTTAGCCAGGGTGGTCTCAATCTCCTGACCTCGTGATCCTCCCACCTCGGCCTCCCAAAGTGCTGGGATTACAGGTGTGAGCCACTGCGCCCAGCCTACTTTTATTTTTATTTTATTTTATTTTTTGAGACGTAGTCTCATTCTGTTGCCCAGGCTGGAGTGCAGTGGCATGATCGTGGCTCACTGCAACTCTGCCTCCCAGGTACAAGTGATTCTCTTGCCTCAGCCTCCCAGGTAGCTGGGATTACAGGCACCTGCCACTATGCCTGGCTAATTTTTGTATTTGTATTTTTAGTAGAGATGGGGTTTCGCCATGTGGGCTTGGCTGGTCTCGAACTCCTGACTTCAGGTGATCCACCCACCTGGGCCTCCCAAATTGCTGAGATTAGAGGAGTGAGCCACCACACCCAGCCTGATTTTACTTTTTAATGTTGGAGAATTGTGTGCATGCTGGTGAGCATTCTCAAATCCTTTTTTGAAACAATGCAGGCTTCAAATAAATGATGAGTCCCACTCCAGCATAAGGTGTGTTGTGTATTCACTTCCCTCTCTGTCCTCTTGGGTCCAGAAGTCTTGGGTCTTTTTTTTTTTTTTTTTTTGAGACGGAGTCTGGCTCTGTTGCCCAGGCTGGAGTGCAGTGGCGCGATCTCGGCTCACCGCAAACTCTGCCTCCCGGGTTCAGGCCATTCTCCTGCATCAGCCTCCTAAGTAGCTGGGACTACAGGCGCCCGCCACCGCACCCGGCTAATTTTTTGTATTTTTAGTAGAGACGGGGTTTCACCGTGTTAGGCAGGATGGTCTCGATCTCCTGACCTCGTGATCCTCTGATCCTCCCGCCTCGGCCTCCCAAAGTACTGGGATTACAGGCGTGAGCCACTGTGCCCGGCCTAGAAGTCTTGGGTCTTGAAGTCTCTTGGGTCTTGAAGTCTCTCAATGTCCCCCACCTCTGAGGATCTGCATTCTCTTAGCCATTCCTCCCTGGGGCATTCTCTGGAAGTGGCCCTGGACTGCACACAGTTTACCCCTAGCCCCAGCCCCAGTGAGGGAGGAGGGCCCCTGACTGCAGGCATTTTGAAGGAGGTGCTACCACTCACTGAGTCCAGCATCCCATTTCACTCCAGGCCCTGTTGATGTGAGCCCTAGAGGAAGCACAGATGCTTCCTTGTTTGATCTTTTTTTTTTTCAAATTAACTTAGAAGCTCAGAACTCACAAAACATCTGGGCTGCCAGGGACCTTGCCATTCATCTGGTTCGATCTCTTCAATTTACATTATGCTGGGAAACCAGAGCCATCAAGAAGGAGTGCTTCACCGGAGCTCAAACTGTAGGCAGGAATCCAGGACTCTTAGCTCCCAGCGGGGCCTGGGCCTCCAAGCCCTGACCTGATGGCCTCCTCCTCCTGGCCCTGCCCCAGCCTTACCTGTCGCCCAATCCATTTTGTCAGGACCCCCTCAGTCAACAAGCCCTGACTGACCAATTTCAAGCCCTCCTCCACCCCGCAATGACCTTACCTTTGTCTGGCTCACATTCTACTCAAGGGAATAAAATAGGAATCATAACATTACATACTTATGAGAACTTGCTCTATGCCAGGCACCACGTTAAAACCCTGAACAGAAACTATCAACACATTTAATTTAATCTTCACAAAACCTTGATGTGGATATAATTACATCCCATGGATGCAATTATCATTCCCATTTGCAGATGAGAAAACTGAGGGCCATTGATGTTAACAACTTACCCAAGGCTATACCCCAAGAATGTCCCTGGGAAATTTGATTGTAATTTTCTTATCTTTTTTTTTTTCTTTTCTTTTCTTTTTTTTTTTTTTTTTTTCTTTTTGAGAGAGAGACAGGGTCTTGCTCTGTGGCCCAGGCTGGAGTGCAGTGGTATGATCTTGGCTCACTGCCACCTCTGCCTCTCAGGCTCAAGCCATCCTCCCATCTCAGCCTCCTGAGTAACTGAGACTATAGGCACGCATCACCATGCCTGGCTAACTGATCGCAGTCTTAACCTGTAGGTCAAACTGTCTCTTCATACAGGAGACAAACTCAACAAAAATGCAAGGAATATTTATTGAACAGCTACTATATGCTGGACGCTGGACTAGACCCTACAGGGCTCATGAAGAGGGGTGTGGAGGATCTGTAAGAGATCATATGCACTGTTGGGGAGTTGAGAGAGGCTTCTTGGAAAAGGCATCTGGCTGGGCACAGTGGCTCACGCCTGTAATCCCAGCACTTTGGTAGGCCAAGGCAGGCGGATCACCTGAGGTCGAGAGTTCAAGAGCAGCCTGGCCAACCTGGTGAAACCCCATCTCTACTAAAAATAAAAAATCAGCCAGGCGTGGTGGTGTGTGCCTATAATCCCAGCTACTTGGGAGGCTGAGACAGGAGAATCACTTGAACCCGGGAAGCAGAGGTTGCAGTGAGCCGAGATTGCACCACCACACTCCAGCCTGGGCAACAGAACAAGACTCCGTCTCCAAAAAAAAAAAAAAAAAAAAAAAAATTAGCCAGGTGTGTTGGCACACGCCTGTAGTCCCAGCTACTCGGGGAGGCTGAGGCAGGAGAATCACTTAAACCTGGGAGGTGGAGGTTGCAGTGAGCTGATATTGCGCCACTGCACTCCAGCCTGGGCCACAGAATGAGACTCCATCCCAAAAAAAATAAATAAAAAGGAAAAAAGAAGAGGCATCTGAGAGAGGCTTTGAAGAATGTCCAGGATTCCAACAGACAGTGACAGGCAAGAGGTGTCCCCAGGAGCACTGAGGAAGGACCAGCATGAGAAGTGTGGAGCCGGAGCAGCAGGGGTTCACTAGTGGCAGGTTATGAGCAGGATGCGATGGAAGATCAGGCGTGAAAGCTAAGTGGAGGCCGTACTATAGAAGACTTTCTGGCAGGGTAAAGAGATTTGGGAGAGCCCCTGACGTCTTTGAGCATAAGAGTAGCCCGAGTCAAAGTTATTTAAAGGTTTGGCCAGTGGGCAAGATGTGGGCCTGCAGAAGCACCTGGCTGGGAAGTTGGGAGCCCAAACCATCAGCTGCCCCACGGCCTTGGCATTGATGTTGTAGCACTGCCGGGCACCAGAACTGAGTCCACAGGGCATTGCTAGAGCTCACAGCCTATGGAATTCAGTTCTCAGTGCCAGGTGGCCAAAGTTCTTTCAGCCTGGACGCTGCTCTTGCATGCTTTCTTCTGTGAATCGTCTCCCGTTCCCAGGATGAGTAAGTTGAGGCCCAGGATGGGTCACATAAGGAACTTGTGATACCAAGAGAACTCCTATTCCAGGGAGGGTCTGAGCTTGGAGCTGAAAATGGGGGCCCACAGCTAAGGAAATGGACAGGAGTTCCATAAATTCCAACAGGAATTGGAGTAGGTTAAGAGGGGAGGGGGCTCAGGGCCATGGCAGGGATCCATCTGTCGCTTCCTGCCCAGATGTGTTCCTGGTGGGGCCTGATGTGGGGCTGGAGGGGTGAGGGGCTGGGGAAAGAGCCAGAACACGCACACTGAGAAGGGCATCTCTATGCAAACCAAGGGGCTTTCTGAGCTAAAGGGAGTCCCCAAGATATGGATCCCCAAGATAGGAGCCCAGCCCAGGAGTCCTAGCTCCCCAGAAATCTCCCCAAAACCCTGAATAAAGATTTGAAGTACCTGGGATAGTGGAGTGGAGGAGAAAGAGTTCCCTGAAGCACACTTTCATTTTCTGGAGAGTTCAGCCGAGGGCTGGGTGCTCCCCTCACTCACATGGCAAAGCTGCAGCCTATCCCAGAGAGGGAAAGCCAAGCCTGCGCCTCAGGGGCACCCCATCCCGACCCCTGCTTGAATCCAGAGAGAGGGACAGCCACTTACCCACGAAACCTCCTCTCTATGGCTCCTGGGGCTGGATCTGCAACGATGTTCTCAGCCGGTGCTCCTTAAATAAGGCCCCCACCCCCGCCCCAGCCGCCTCCCGCCCCCGCCCCATGCTGGCTCTTCTGAGAAAGGAGGAAGGTGTGGGAGGGCCAGGAACCCTGCCCAGAGAGCCCTTTCTAACCTCAAGCCAGAGCGGGACCCCGCCCCCGCCATTCTTTGAAGCCTCCCCTTCCTCACCTTGGTCTCTAACTGAGTTCTTCCCACCCCTTGAGACCAGCCCGCTGGGCTCTCTCTCTACTCTGCCTGAAAAATCTGCCCTTTATGCCAAATTCAAGTCCAGTTTCTCATTTTGAAGCAGGATGATGGGGAATGGAGGTGCTAGGGGAAGCCTCAGCGTAGGTTTCTAGCTTTTCCCACCAGCTAAGGCGATCCAGGCACCCAAACACCAGCTGCAAAATTCACTGGAAGGAATGGCGGTGAAAAGGCATCCCTCTGCCTCCTTTAGCTCTGTGCCGCTTCAAGCAGTACCAAAGGGCAGTGGGGAGTCTGTTCCCATTTTGGGGAGAGAGAGACTGAGACCTGAGGGGAAAGAAAATCAGGGGCTGAAGTTCCAGCCAGCTTCAGAATCCCTCAGGGCAGGGATCCCGGGAGCCCCTACCTTACAGTATGTGTGTGTCCTTGTGTCTGTGGGGTTCCCTCTCCTCAGCCCACCTTCTGTCCTCGACCCCCCAGAACTTGACTCCTGCTGCACAGAGCTGGGACTCCCCAGAGTTTGAGTTGGGAAAGGAGGGACTCCCCCTAAGAAGTCTTTTCCATCCTCCTCCCTTGAAAGCTCAGGAAGTTCTTTCTGATACCAAGTCACATGCAGCTGCCATCCAGCAAACAGGGGATAGGGGAGAGGGGAAGGCACACAGTCAGAAATGGCTTGCAGGGGTCTTGGGCCAGAACTCAGGGCAGCTCTACTGAGGAAACTTGAAAGTTCCGGGAATGGAGGGTGGTAGGGAGAGAAGAGTCATCAGTATTGTGCAATGGACAGGGGGAAGCAGGAAAGGGGACGGGGGAGGAAAGGGATGGCTGGTCTCTGGAGGACAGGCAAAGGCCTGGGGCTGTGGGCTGCCCATCACCCCCTTCCTAGGGGCCTGCCCGGCCAGAGTTCAAAGTCGCTGTCACCCCACCCCTCATTAACCCTAGTATCACCAGGCTGGAGTGGCAGTGTTTTTATGGGCAAAGCGACGCGAATGTGCCCCTTCCTTCCCTGCTACCTCCCCCAAGCAGCCAACATCTTGCTGTCTCTGAGGCCAGAAGAGGAAGGAGGCTGTTGTGAGGACCAGAGGTGGAAGAGAAAGCAATAAGCAGTCATCCCGTTTTCTCCATAGTTTCTTCTTCTTCCTTCTCCTTCTTTTCTTCTTCTTTTTTTTTTTTTTTTTTTTTTTTGAGACAGGGTCTTGCTTTGTCACTCAGGCTGGAGTGCAGTAGCACAATCACGGCTTACTGCAGCCTTGACCTCTGGGGCTCAAATGATCCTCCCACCTCAGTCTCTGGAGTAGCTGGGACTACTGGCGTGTGTCACCATGCCCAGATAATTTTTTATTTTTTAAATTTTTTGTAGAGACGAGGTTTTGCCATGTTGCCCAGGCTGGTCTCAAATTCCTGGGCTCAAGCGATCCTCCCACCTCAGCCTTGCAAAGTGCTAGAATTACAGGTGTGAGCCACTGCAGCATAGTATCTTGGCACTGCCTTAGTCCCTAGGAGAGAGGAAAGATGGGACTTCTCTCTTGGACTGTGAGCTCCCTGAGGGCAGGGACAGCTTCCGGGTCCCCAGCACCCCACGAAGGAACTAGCACTAAAAAGGGCTCATCCCTGCTGATGGGGGATGGGAAATTTTATCCTTGAAGGGGACTCTTCCCCTTGTGACCCATTTCAGGGTTCCCAAGAGGGGAGGGCTGTGGGGCTTCCCCACAGGGCAGCACCGGGAATCTGTGGCAGCAGGAACAAAAAGAGGAAGTTGAAGTCTTGTTGGGCCCTGGAGTTCAGCTCTCCTGTCCTAGACAAGCAGCCCTGCCAACATGGGGGATGAAGGCCCCGGGGGGTAGGCATGGTCTACAGGCTGTCCATGACAGGGCTCAGGTGGATCCTCATCCTGGCACCTGCTACCACTCCACCTCTCCCAGACCACGTCCAAAATCCCAGGCTCCACCCTCCGGAGACACAGACCTGTAGCTCACCCCAATCTAGGGGAGACATTGCTGTTAAGGGAATGCAAAAGGTACAGACAGGGTGGGGAAGTCAGTACCTAAGAGACCAGCCTGGGCCACGTGGCAAAAACCCTGTCTCTACAAAAAAAAAAAAAAAAAAAAAAATTAGCTCGGCGTGGTGGCACGCGCCTGTGGTTCCAGCTACTCCAGAGGCTGAGATGGGAGGATCACTTGAACCCAGGAGGTCGGGGCTGCAGTGAGCCATGTTCGCACTCGTGAACCTGCACTCCAGCCTGGGGCTGTAACAGCAAGAAAAGAAGAAAAAGAAAGAGAAGGAAGGAAGGGAGGGAGGGAAAGAAAGGAAAATAAAGAAAGAAGAAAAGAAAAGAGGCCAGGCGCGGTGGCTCATGCCTGTAATCCCAGCACTTTGGGAGGCCGAGGCAGGCGAATCACGAGGTCAGGAGTTTGAGACCAGCCTGGCCAACATGGTGAAACCCCGTTTCTACTAAAAATACAATAAATTATCTGGGCGTGGTGGCGCGCGCCTGTAATCCCAGCTACTCGGGAGGCTGAGGCAGGAGAATCTCTTGAACCCGGGAGGCGGAGGTTGCAGTGAGCCGAGATCGCGCCACTGCACTCCAGCCCGGGAGACAGTGCGAGGCTCCCTCCCAAAAAAAAAAAAGAAGAAGAAAAGGAAAAAAAAGTGAGAGAGAGAGAGAGAGAGAGACGAGAAAAAGAGAGAGAGAAAGAAAGAGAAAGGTTTCGGGTCTCTGACGGATGAGAAGGAACAAGACGGGGATGCAGTCCTACCCACTTCGACTCCACCCCCTCTCAAGACCTTCACGCCTAACGCCTCCCTACGCGCAACAAAACTGGCCGCCAAGGGAGCCCGTCCATAGCCCTGGGACGTTAGAGAATTAGAGCAGGAGCTCCGCCCTGTTGTGGGCAACTTGCCCTTCTCAAACATGGCCGCCACGGCGCCTCTGGAAGGGAACCGCTCTGGGCCCCGCCTTTGATCTCGTTGGTGGGGCTGGGGGATGAGAGCTGCACCGCGCGGGACAAGTCGCCGGCGGCGCCCGACGGAGCAGGTGATTTCCCCTCCTGCCCCCGGCCCAGGGCTAGGAGAGTCGCGGAGAGCGCTGACCCAGGGTACCCGTCCGATGTGTTCCCCCACGGTACCCCCCCCGGGGCCCGTCGGACCCCCATCTCTGATTCTCGCCGTGGCCTGTATCAAGGCACATCCAGTTTGCTCAGGCCTGCCTCGTCATGTGTCCTCCAAGGCCACAGCCGCATCCCTGTGCCTTCGGGCCCACTATTCTGGACGCTTACGGGTGTCCCGCTAGCGGGTTTAGGGAGCTGCTGCTTCAGGGGTCGTCCATCATCGCGGTCCCACTTCCTGTGCTCGCCCTCCCTGTTTGTGCTCCCGCCTGACTTTGGATGCAGGGATCCCTTGTTCCCCTCAATGCCCTTGGTGCCTCTAAGGTCTGACTTGGGTATCAGAGGACAATGATATCCTCTGGGGCCTGCGTTATGGGTCCAGGGCCTCAGGAACCGGGCTTCACAGGGGCTGGGAGAAGCAGTGAAGACCTTCCATGCTAGACCCCTTGCTGCCTCCCTGAGAAGTTCGCTAGGACTCCTTTCACACTAGCTCCCAGGATTCCTCCTCCCACATGGCCTGCTCTCCCTCCACTTTAAGCACCTCCCCACCCCAAGGGAGCAGCATAGTACTTCTTACCCCACTCTCACTTAAATTTGTCCACAGTGTCTCTATCTAGCATCTGGAGGGTCCAGGCCTGTGCTGCCCTTGGGAAGCTCCCAGGCTAGCTGGGAGCAGTGAAGGTGGGGCAGTTAGGGTTGGCTGCAGAAAGGGAGTCCTGCAGAATGAGATTTGGAGAGGCAGAGGGACAGATGCTCTGGGCTGGGAGAGTGGTGTGAGCAAAGATTCTGAAATAGACAATATAGCCAGCCAGGCAGGAGAGGAGATTCAGAATATAGGATGGGGCCACACAATTTGCATCGTGAGAGGTGATGTAGTGTGGTGGTTAACAGTGAGGGTTCTGGATCCAGACAGCCTGGGTGTAAATCTGCCATTAACTTGCCTTGTGACCTTGGGCAAGTTACTTAACCTCATAGTGCCTTCATTTCCTTTCAGGTAAAATGTGGATAATACGGCCGGGCGCGGTGGTTCATGCCTGTAATCCCAGCACTTTGGGAGACCGAGGCGGGTGGATTGCCTGAGGTCAGGAGTTCGAGACCAGTCTGGCCAACATGGTGAAACCCCGTCTCTACTAAAAAATACAAAATAAATTTGCCAGGCATGGTGGCATGCGACTGTAATCCCAGCTACTCAGGAGGCTGAGGCAGGGGAATTGCTTGAACCAGGGAGGTGGAGGTTGCAGTGAGCTGAGATCGCACCACTGCACTCCAGCCTGGATGGCAGAGCGAGACTCCGTCTCAAAAATACATAAATAAATAAAATAAATAAAATAAAATGGGGAGAATAACAGTATCTACATTTTAGAGTTATTGTAAGGATTAGGTAAGTTAATACATGTAAAAGTGCTTAGGACAATGCCTCGTAAGCAGAGGCAATAAATGCTAATATTACCATCATCGGAGGCATTTAGGCAGGACTCATGACAGGATGACAGTCACATTTGGTAGACACCATCAACCAATGATCTCTAATTTGCGGCCCCCAAGAAGCAATGGGGTTCTGTGGGCTACATCTGGAATTTGAAATGTCTCATGGAAATCATGTTCTTACCCTGGAGAAGGGTGGCTGCTTAGGTGCTACTTAGGAAACCAGTCTGGCAGACCAGATCTTCCCCAACTCAGGGGCTATGCGGGGAGAAGTATTAGGAGCCCCTGAGCAGGAAGGATGTACTTAGGAAGGCTACCGGGGATGGGGAAGGGTAAAAGAGCTTAGAAGCCTGGGTGAAGTTTGGGTAGACCAAAAACAGGAGGAGGGAGGGAGGATGTTCCCTTGGAATACAAACTAGAGAAAAGCTTAGGGGAGCAAGTCTTTTTATTTGGGGACAGTGAAGAGTTTCCTAAAAATTCCCTGGCCCCCAGGCCTTGGCTAAAAACCCAGAAGCATGAGACACATCCCTGAGAAGCTTCTTCCCTAGAAACTGGGCTCTCAGGCCGGGCACGGTGGCTCACGCCTATAATCCCAGCACTTTGGGAGGCCTAGGCGGGCAGATCACCTGAGGTCGGGAGTTCGAGACCAGCCTGACCAACATGGAGAAACCCTGTCTCTACTAAAAATACAAAATTAGCCGAGCATGGTGGCACATGCTTGTAATCCCAGCTACTCAGGAGGGCTGAGGCAGGAGAATCGCTTGAACCCAGGAGGTGGAGGTTGCGGTGAGCCAAGATCGCGCCATTGCACTCTAGCCTGGGCAACAAGAGTGAAACTCTGTCTCAAAAGTAAAATAAATAAATAAATAAATAAATAAATAAAATTAAAAAAAAAAAAAGAAAACCTGGGCTTTCAGCCAAGTTTCAGTCACCACCACACAGGTGGCTCATGCCTGTAATCCCAGCACTTTGGGAGGCCAAGGTGGGCAGATCACCTGAGGTCAGGAGTTCGAGACCAGCCTGGCCAACATGGTGAAACCCCGTCTCTACCAAAAATACAAAAAATTAGCTGGGCGTTGTGGCAGGCGCCTGTAATCCCAGCTACTCAGGAGGCTGAGGCAGGAGAATTGCTTGACCCTGTCAGGTTCACACCATTGCACTCCAGCCTGGGCAACAAGAGCGAAACTCCGTCTCAAAAAAAAAAAAAAAGAAAGAAACTGGGCTTTCATGCAGCAGCCATGGGCCTTTGTCCCGGCAGAGGCTACCATGCAACTGACAGCCCAGGATTCGAGGGTGATGTAACCCAGGGTCGAGGTAGGTCCCTGGAGGCGGTTCTACCCTGAGGGAGCTGCATGATGGGATCTAGTATGCCTGGGCTGAGCCATTCTGCTCTTCCTCAGGGCCCATGAGGGCTCTGGCGCAGGTGGTATGAATTCCCCTGGTAGGCTGGGGCTTCTCAGTCCTGCTTTCCAAAGTGACCCCTGTGCTATGAGCAACTCTGTTACCACTCGGGACCAGGCAACTGTAAGCATAGAAGGTAGCCCTGTCCCAACCCACTTGAAAGTCTTGATATCCTCCCTTCCCCAGAGTAGCCCCTAGAATAGATGCTGAACTAGGTGACCTGGATTTAAATCTGACTACCGCAGTCAAGCCAGGTGACTCTGGGCAAGTCATTAAACACACTGAACTTCATTTCTTCATAGGTAAATTGGGGTTCAACTGTTTATTGAGTGCCCACTTCATGAGAGATGCTGAGTATACACTGGTGAATGTCAGCCCGGTGTTTAGTCCCTGCTTCATGAGACAACTGGAAGAAACATTAAACATTGTCCAAATAATAATTATGGCTGTGAAAGGTGCTGCTAGTCAGAAAACTTGCAGCCTGCATAGAGAGTGTAATATGGCAGGGCCCAAATGAGTTCTAGGTCAGGGGTGATGTCCCTTGAGGAAGAAGGGAATTATTTTATTTTTATTTGAAAATATTTTTCTTTTCTTTTTTTTTTTTTTTTGAGACAAAGTCTCACTCTGTCGTCCAGGCTGGAGTGCAGTGGTGCAATCTCGGCTCACTGCAACCTCCGCCTCCCAGGTTCATGTCATTCTCCTGCCTCAGCCTCCTGAGTAGCTGGGACTACAGGCGCGTGCCACCACACCCAGCTAATTTTTGTATTTTTAGTAGAGACGGGGTTTCACTGTGTTAGCCAAGATGGTCTTGATCTCCTGACCTCGTGATCCAACCCCCTGGGTCTCCCAAAGTGCTGGGATTACAGGCATGAGCCTCCGTGCCTGGCCTAAAAATATTTTTCTACAAAAAGAGAGATGGGGTCTTGATATGTTGCCGAGGCTGGTCTTAAACTCCTGAGCTCAAACGATCCTCTTGCCTCAGCCTCCCAAAGTGCTGGAATTACAGGCATGAGGCACCGTGCCCAGCCAAGGAAGGGAATTTTAAAATGAGACCCAAAAGATCAGAGTGACAGTAAGTGAAGGGGTGGAGGCAGAAGGGTGCCCAGGCAGAGGAAATAGTTTGTGTACCCTAGCACCTAGAAAAATGCCCGTGCTGGCTAGGTGCTCAATACATACTTGTTGACATGTTCCATTCCCATCTACATGCTTTTAACTCCCAAAAGTCTGTTTGGGAGTCAGGAGCATGTGGGTGGTAATGAATGGCTCCAGACCCATAGGTCCAAATGGCAGCTCATTGTCCCACTCAGATGATGAGGCAGAAGGCTCAGAGGGTATACTACCTTGCCATGAAAGAGTTTGAGTGTTAGCAAACTGAAAGAAAGCCAGGGTGGGGCCGGGTGCTTTGTCATGCCTGTAATCCCAGCACTTTGGGAGGCCAAGGCAGGTGGATCACCTGAGGTCAGGAGTTCAAGACCTGCCTGGCCAACATGGTGAAACCCTGTCTCTACTAGAAATACAAAAATTAGCCAGGTGTGGTGCACATGTCTGTAATCCCAGTTACTCGGGAGGCTGAGGCAGGAGAATCGCTTGAACCCAGGAGGCAGAGGTTGCAGTGAGCCAAGATGGCACCACTGCACTCTAGCCTGGGCAACAGAGTGAGGCTGTCTCAAAAACAAAACAAAACAAACAAACAAACAAAAAACAAAGCCAGGGTGGAGGGAGGGAAATGATCCAGGAAGGTATGGTGCATGGTGAAGCTGGAGAGAGATATAGACAGGGTAAGGACGGCAATGGAAAGCCATGAAAAGATTCTGGACTTCCCTGAAGGGTAGCAGGAAGGCATTGATAGATTTTAAGCAGGAAAAGATGTGATTTTTTTGTAAAGATCACACAGCTGTGGTGTGGAGAATAGGTTGTTGGGGGGAAGATGGAGTGGGGAGAAGGGTTAGGAAGTTCTTGCAGGCAAGAGATGGAGAAAAGTGGGAGTAGAGATGGAGAGAAATAGATGTGGCAAGAGATAATGATTAGGGCTTGGCGACTGATTGGATGAGGGAGAGCAAGGGGTAGGATGGTGTCAAGGATATTTCCCAGATTTGTGGCAGGAACAGCCGGGTGCCTGGACATGCATTTACTGAGAATGGCCTTGGAGGAGTAAAGCACTTGAGAGAACATTAGTTTGGGACACGCTAACTGTGAGATGCCTGTAAAACATACACGTGGCAGTGTTAGAGAGGTAGATGTCCAAGCCTGTAGCTCAGAGGAGACTGGACTAGAGGACTGGACATTTGGGAATTGATGACATGGCATTGGTACATAAAGATGTGGGCCCAGATGAGATCTTCCAGAGAGAGAGAGAGCGCTGCAGTGAGAAGGAGAGGCAGCCTTGCATGTGAGGAACTCCCACATTTAGAGGGGAGCAGAGAAGGGGACAGAGAAAGGGCCTTCGAAGAAATGGCCAGAGAGGTAGAAGGAAACCAGGAAAGAATGGCATCTCAGAAACCAAAGTTGGAGCTGCTGAAAGGGCAAATAGAAGGTGAAATCATGAGAAATTCCCCCCTTTTTTTTTGTAGATCAAAACCAGACAAAATTGGCAAGCTCATATGGTTCAACCTAATTAGACTAAAACCTGGAAAAAGTAACTGATGACCTCAGTCTAAGAAATTTTGAGGCCGGGCACGGTGACTCATGGCTGTAATCCCAGCACTTTGGGAGGCTGAGGTGGGCGAACTGCTTTGAGCCCAGGAGTTCGAGACCAGCCTGGGTCTCGAACCCTGGACTCAAAACATGGCAAAACTGCATCTCTACTAAAACAAACAAACAAACAACAACAACAAAAAACTAGTAGGTGGTGTGTGCCTGTAGTCCAGCTACTCCGGAGGCTAAGGCAGGAGGATGGCTTGAGCTGGGGAGATGGAGGTTGCAGTGAGCCGAGATCATACCACTGCACTCCAGCCTGGGTGACAGAGCCAGACCCTGCCTAAAAAAAAGAAAAAGAAGAAATTTTGGTGGAGATTTTGGAGCAGAAGCCAGACTCAGGATAGGGAGAAGTGGATACAATGCAGATAAGAAGGAAAGAAGGAAATAGAATTGACAGACTTGGTGATTGACTGGTAGGGGTGAAAGAGGGCAAAATCAAGGGTAATCCCCAGGTTTCAGCTTTGGCAGCTGAGTGAGTGGTGTCAGCTGATGAAGCAGATGTGTGTTTGGAGGGGGATGTGCGCAGATCAGTAGTCTATGATGAGTGTGAGGTGCGTGGAACTGGTGGTGCCTCGGAGCCTTCTGAGTGGGATGATGAGCTGGCATTTGGACCTATGGGTCTGGAGCCATTCATTACCACCCATATGCTCCTGACTCCCAAACAGACTTTTGGGAGTCAAAAGCATGTAGATGGGAATGGAGCATGTCAACAGGTATGTATTCAGCACCTAGCCAGTATGGGCATTTTTCTAGGTGCTAGGGTTACACTCATGAATAAGACAGAGTGTCCCCCTCATCCCCACCTTGCTTTGGAGCTTCCATTTTATGGGGGCAGACAGACAATAGGCAAATAAGCACAAAATAATGTTAATGGTAGTAAGTGCTATGTAGGGTTAAGGGGCATGGAGAAGACTTACTTGCCATAGGTTAGTCAGGGAAGGGCTCTCTGAGGAGGTAACATTTGAGCGGAGCCCTGAGGAGTGACTGGACGAGCCATGGATGTCCCGCAGGACACAGACAGGAGGAAGCTCAGCAAGTCTGAGGGACAGAAGGTGGGGTGGGAGCAAGCTAGGGAGGAGGGACTGGGGAGGCTGGAGAGCTGGGAGAGGGCCAGATCTGTGGGCTCCTCAGGCCTTGGGGAGGAGGATGGAAAGTGCTGTGCAGATAGTCCTAAGCTGCAGGAAGGGCAGGGACTGGGCGAGAAGAGAGAATCCATGAAAGGCTTCCCCTTCTATCTGGGCCCCAGAGCCAGAAAAGCCCCTTTGTGCAGAGGGTGGGTGGCCTGTTCTGGGTGGGGGAAGGGCTGTGCTTGGTCCTGAGGCTGAGCCTTGAGGGGCTGGACAATGGGGCCCCTTGTGATTGGACTTGGGGGCCAAGGGGCTCCCTCAGTGATGGGATTCCTGAGCCAGGAGGCATGTGACCCCAAGACCTTGTCAGAAGGTCTGGGACTGCTGCTGGGGAATGGGGTAGGGGGGTGGGGAGAGGTAGGGGGGTGGGGAGAGGTGGGGGGGCGCCTCCTCTAGAGGCTGTCTCCAGACACAGTGCCCTGTCCTGTCTCAGGCTGAAGGAGGTGAGATGGGCGGAGGAGGGGGCATGGTTCTACTTGGGGGAACAGAGAGGGCAGCATCAACAGATGGTTCCATAGCAGGCCAGGAGGGAGGAGCCACTGCCCCCAGGCCCAGTGGGTGGGGGCAGGCAGAAGAAGGCCTGGCCATCCTGTCTGTGTCCCTTCAGAAGAGAGAGCATGGAGCTGGAGAGGATCGTCAGTGCAGCCCTCCTTGCCTTTGTCCAGACACACCTCCCGGAGGCCGACCTCAGGTAGAGACGGGTCCCCCGGAAGGCTCATGTCAGTGCTGGAGCTGGAGCTGCCGGGCAGTACTATGGGTACTGGCTGATGGAAAGACAGCAGGAGGGCTGACTAGGATTTGCTGAGAGGCCTTACCTCTCATCCTGTCCCTGTCACCTTTGTTGGGCAGATGGGAAACCATAGCTCTGAGGGAGGGGGTTATACTCTCTGGCCTTAAAGATAAAGGTCTAGCTCATAGACCCCATGAAGCTGAGGGCTGGAGTCTCAGGATAGGTGGGGGTGCTGGAGGCATCCAGTGTCCTACCCAGGGCTTGTCCTGTTCCCTTCCTGCAGTGGCTTGGATGAGGTCATCTTCTCCTATGTGCTTGGGGTCCTGGAGGACCTGGGCCCCTCGGGCCCATCAGAGGAGAACTTCGATATGGAGGCTTTCACTGAGATGATGGAGGCCTATGTGCCTGGCTTCGCCCACATCCCCAGGTAGGTTCTGGCTAGGGCCAGGAGGAGGAAGGGGCTGGCTGATTATGGGGTGGGCAGAGTCATCCTCTCACTGCCCTCATCTTTTCAGGGGCACAATAGGGGACATGATGCAGAAGCTCTCAGGGCAGCTGAGCGATGCCAGGAACAAAGGTGAGTCTGGGGCTCTGGGCACCTGAGTGATTCATAATCCCGCTCCCCCAACTGCCTGCTCCCCAGAGCCTTGGCAAACCTGATGCTCTCTTTGCCTCTTTAAGAGAACCTGCAACCGCAGAGCTCTGGTGTCCAAGGTCAGGTGCCCATCTCCCCAGAGCCCCTGCAGCGGCCCGAAATGCTCAAAGAAGAGACTAGGTCTTCGGCTGCTGCTGCTGCAGACACCCAAGATGAGGTACTGGTAGAGGAGGGTACCGATGAGGGACCCAGGGGGCTGGAAAGGGGGGAGTATTGCCTCTTGTTAACGTTTGTACCCTTAGGCAACTGGCGCTGAGGAGGAGCTTCTGCCAGGGGTGGATGTACTCCTGGAGGTGTTCCCTACCTGTTCGGTGGAGCAGGCCCAGTGGGTGCTGGCCAAAGCTCGGGGGGACTTGGAAGAAGCTGTGCAGATGCTGGTAGAGGGAAAGGAAGAGGGGCCTGCAGCCTGGGAGGGCCCCAACCAGGTATCTTTTCCCAGCACCCTCTACCATGTAGCCTCAGCTACATTCCACCTTGGTGTTAAGCCCCAACCCCTACCTATCCCCATCTGTTTCCCCTGCTGGTGCCCTTGGGCCTAGACCAGGCCTCCCCTCTCTGCAGGACCTGCCCAGACGCCTCAGAGGCCCCCAAAAGGATGAGCTGAAGTCCTTCATCCTGCAGAAGTGAGTCTGGGCTGGGCTGGGCTGGGCCCTAGAGGGTCTTCCCAGGGTGACAGGAGCTTCACCCAGCCAGTTTTTGACAGGTACATGATGGTGGATAGCGCAGAGGATCAGAAGATTCACCGGCCCATGGCTCCCAAGGAGGTGAGAGAGTTAAGGGTTGCTGGGGATGCGGAATGGGTGGGACTGGCTCCTGGCTTCTGCCACTCACTGCTGATTGCCTGACAGGCCCCCAAGAAGCTGATCCGATACATCGACAACCAGGTAGTGAGCACCAAAGGGGAGCGATTCAAAGATGTGCGGAACCCTGAGGCCGAGGAGATGAAGGCCACATACATCAACCTCAAGCCAGCCAGAAAGTACCGCTTCCATTGAGGCACTCGCCGGACTCTGCCCGAGCCTTCTAGGCTCAGATCCCAGAGGGATGCAGGAGCCCTATACCCCTACACAGGGGCCCCCTAACTCCTGTCCCCCTTCTCTACTCCTTTGCTCCATAGTGTTAACCTACTCTCGGAGCTGCCTCCATGGGCACAGTAAAGGTGGCCCAAGGAAGGTGTGAGTGCATTCTGGTCATTTCTGCCTCAGGACTGGGATACTATGCCTGTCTGACCTTTCCTCCCCAACCTCGAATCCCCTATCTTCAACAGGGCAGCACCAGGCAAGAGGGGGTAAAAAGCTCTTTATTTGAAGCTCCAGGGTGGGGCAGGGCACTGGCCTCTCACCAGAGGTCCTCACAGTTCAGTTTCCCTACAGCTCAGTGTCAGGCCCCAGCCACACAGTCCAGCTGTGCTCCGATTGGCAGGCGGGTCAGACCTGCAGGTTGACAAAAGGTGCGAAGCCCGCCATATCCTGCAGCAGCACCAGGGCCTGGTGCAGCGGCGGCTCCACGTCGATGTCCACGCCGCGCTTCCGCAAGCGGCTCAGGCTGGACTCCGCCACATGGTGGCAGTGCCGCACCCGCAGCGAACGCAGCACGGGGCAGTACTCGGCCAATGTCCTGAGGGAGGAGCAGGGTGAGGCTAGGGACATGAGGCCACCACACCTTTGGTGGGGTAAGGTGGAGGCCCGGGCTCACTCAGCCTCGGACTGGCTCCGGCAAAATCCCGGTCTCCCTCCAGCTCGGGGCAGGGGCATACTTTTTCCGTCCCTACACAAGGGAGGCGCCTGGATTGGCTTCCAGTGAGCTGGAGACTTCCTGTCTCATTTAAGGGGGGAACCTGGCCCTCAGCTCCGCCTAGGATTGCAAGATCTCCCCCTTGTTGAAGAAAAGCCAGAAGTCGACTTTCTATGTGAAATCTCCCAATGTGTAAACATTGGTTGAAAAAAGTTTTTAAACTATGGGCTCTCTGGCCTAGGCAATCCTAGAGGCCCTTTCTGTTCAGAATGGGGGTGCTGTGGTTTGCAGGAAGATTCAGAACCCTCAGTCCGGCCTTTTAACAACTACAGCCCGCCCCATACCAGCAGAGGCTAAGTGACTGCCCTCCTCCCGCCCTATCAGGCCCAGGCACCTGACACCGTCGCTTCCGACGCGGAGGCAGCCGGTGAGGTCAAGGTGGTGGAGTTCTGGGCAGTTCCGAGCCAACTCTTGAACCGCGGCGTCCCCCACGTTGGCGTTGACGGCCAGAGAGAGGCTGCGGAGACCAGCGCCGCGCCTCTGCGCCAGGTACACGATGGCCTCGTCCTTGAGCTGGCGGCAGGCGGTGAGATCCAGCTCCTCCAGGGCCGGGCAGCGATCAGCGAGGCCGCGCAGCGCCAGCCCGTCCACCCAGTCACAGTGCGCGAGCGACAGGCGCTGCAGGCGTGGGCAGCCCTCGGCCAAAGCCCCAAGCGCCCGGCGACTCAGTTGCCCGCAGCCGCCCAACGCCACACTCCGCAGCTGCGGATTCCGCGCCAGCACCGGCACCAGGTCCTCGTCTGACAGCCATTCGTGACACGGCGCCAGTGCCAGCTCCTGCAGCCCCTCGGCATCCCGCAGCAGCCGGGCCAATGCGGCCCGCGGGATCTGCGGACCCACCTGCGGGCGGGGAGGCACCCCAACTCTCAGCCCGTCCCGCACTCCTCAGCCGCCTATGCACCCCTGACCTGAGTTCTTTTCTGGCAGCCTCCTGCTCTCCCAGGAGAGACCCCACTTTCCCTCTGAGTCGCTACCGAGTATTTGCCCTTTGGTGCGTGGATCCCTTCCGGGCAGCCCCGGCGGCCCAAGGGGGTCCAGAAGGGCATACTGCGGGGCTGGGGGCTGGGCTAGAGGCGGGGCGGTACCCAGGCAGGGGCGGGGCTTCAGCCCCCGGCTCACCTGCGCGGCATCGAAGCGACGCAGCCCGGCCAGGTGAAGCTGCACCAGCGACCGGAAGGCCCGGCTAACGCGCTGCAGCCGGAGCAGCTGGCGCAGCGGGACCCGGTTCAGGACGTGTGGGAGCAGCACGTCTTCCCAGGGCAGGTCCAGGAACCTGCGAGTAAAGGGGCGTTGGCACTGGCGTCCCGGGGCCACTATTACCTGCGAGTCCGCCTCCGTTATGTTCCTGCGCCCCAGCTCCCAAGAGCGGCCCCCAGACCCAGCCCCGGCTCGGCTCCCCTCCCTCAGGTTCCTCTTCCCTCTCGGCCCCTCCGGTGCTCGGTACCTGACGGCTCCGGGCTCTTGCTCCCCTCCGGACGGCTCCATCGGTGGCTCCATCGGCTGTCTATTGCGCGTGCGCAGTAAGATTTTCTCGCTTTGGCCTTGGAGTGGCCGCACCAAACCCGCCTCCTTGGCCTGTAGAGACAGACCTATTTAATCGAGTGCCGTCTCACCGAGGATCCGATCTGAAAGCTTTTCGGGTGGACCCCGAAACGGAGGCGGAACAGACCGGTGGTGTAACATTAGGCCTCGCCTTCTCGGCTACAGGGCTTGAGGCCTGAAGCTGGAGAATGCGGTGGGCATCAGAGACTGGCTTCTGTCGTCCTCTTGAGCCAGTAGCCGCCTCTGAGCGAAGTGGTGGTGGGAGGAGCAGGCAAGGCCAAACGCGGAGGGGGCGGAGCCAGGACTCTTAGGTTACCGGCCTCTCCTCTGCCCTCTGGTCGCGTTTAGCGACTTTGAAAAACGGGGAGAAACTATCCAGGCTCTTACTGTCTGCCACGTAGCAGGTGTTCAATAAGTAATTGTTGAAATAATGAATGAATTGGCGAGGCTATAATGTTTCCCTCATCAAGTAAACCTGCTCAAACCTCCCATTCCTGATTAATTATGAAGAGCTATCCAGCCTCTTCCACTTCGTAACAGTTTGGGCCGCGTTTCCGCCGGGGGAGAGAGATGTAGGGGGCGCGAAGAAAGACTATATTTCCAACTGGGTCCCTTTCATTTCCTCCAAAGGTCCAGAGTCCTAAGAAGAATGAGAGCTCAGCTCAGCCCGCCAGTGGTAGTGCTTCTCGGCTGGCCTTGGGTTTAGTTGTAGGGTCTGGGGCTGGGTCCGCCCTGGGACAATGACGCCCCAGACCTCTGGACTCAGCTTCAGGGCTGCCTCTCACCGCGTCCCCAGGTCCCAGTCCCAGGATCCGCTTCGGGGAACCCCAGGAGTAGTGCCTTCCCCCATCATCCACGGGATGGGTGTGGGGGGATGTGAAGGACGCGAGAGCCACTGCACCGCTGACGGTCTGGCGCTCCGGTGCAACCGCTTCAGCTGGCTCATCACAACGAAAACCACTTCTCATCTGTTATCTCGTCAAGGCTTCGGGCACCTCTGAAAGGTGGGCAGGTCTATGCTATCAGTCCATTTTAAAGATGGGGAAACCGAGGCCCTGGAGAGGAAGCCCCTTGTCCAGAATCAAGCCAGACGGGAATAGAGAACCCAGACATCTGGTTTTCCCAGAATTCCTTCCACGTTTCCCCACCCCGCAAGGCAGCGAGAAGGGAGAAGCTAGCAGCGGGGAGAGACAAGAAAGGGGTCAAGTTAGGTGAGGGCTTGCTATCTCTTCTTCCTCAGCCTGCTTAGGGAGGGGGTAGCTGGGAGGACAGACCCCTGCAAAGATAGAGCCACGTGAGCGCGCACCACCTCCGGCCGCGCGCCTCGTCCCCCTCCCCTCTTTGTTCGCGCCTCTGCGCCTGCGCAGTGCGACAAATCTGGCGCTGTCCCCTTCAGCACCACGCGGAGTCCGCGCCGCCCCTCCCCGCGGTGAGCCCCGCGCGCCCCCGCCTCGCACGTCCTCGCGCCCCCTGACTGCCCGAACAGACCCCTTCTTCCTTCCGAGGTCACCATCTGCCCGCCCTGGCCCTCCCAAAGAGAGTAGTTGCCATAGTAACTCCAGCGGCTCTTTCTTAAAATAGCAGGGCCCCCTTCTACCCTGGCCAAGGGCACAAGGGTTGCCGGTCCCCCACGTCTTCCGGTCCCTAGTTCATCCCGTCTAACCTCTTACCCCTGGGCAGGCGTGACGACACCTAACTCAGGCAGCAAGGAAGTTCTTCCTGAAGTCTGATTTAACATCCCCCTGCTGCATCCTGGGAGGGTGGTCAGGGTTGGATCTCCTGGGTCCGAGACTCAAAACCCCTGGCGGGTTCAAGACGGTGTTCCCTAGATCTCCTTTCCATAGTTGATGGTCTCCTGGATTTAGGGGGCGGGTCCAGTCTACACCCATACCGTGTGCTTGGCGCGGCCGCGTGCTCGTGGGGGCGGGAGCGCGTGTGGCATGTAACAGGTCATGTGGCAGCCTCCTAGGGACACGCGTGGGGTCTGGAGCGGGACACGCGTGTGCAGCCGGGCCTTACGTGTGGCTCAAGGGGCGGTGGGCGAGAGAGACGTGGACACAAGTGGGGTGGGGCACGTGAGGGTCTGGGGAATAGAACCAGGGGTTCCATGCGCCCTCCTCCTTGTCTGGGGCGGGTCTTAGGTTGGCGGGAGAGCCCAGCGGGGACCTAGCGACAAGGGGGGCTGGCAGCCTCCGGGGCTCTGGGCCCTGGGAGAGGGCGGGGGGTGGGGGGGATTAGCGTTGCCTGAGCGGCGCGTAGGGGGTAGGGGGAGGGACTGAGAGGCGGGCGGGCCTGGAGCAAACGGGAGCCGCGCTGCCTTCACAGCTCAGCTGGGCCCAGCCTCTCCTCTGTCTCTCCTCGGTCTCAGCTCTGGGCGAGCAGCGGTGAGTACTGAGGTGGCATTGAGTTGGGGCTGCACCGGGTATGCGCTGGGACCCCGTTGAGCTTCCGGAACCTGCCTGGCAGGGTTGCTACTCCTGACCTCTGCCCCTCCCCTGCATTGCCACCAGAGGCCCCTTTACCTGGTTATGGTCTCTCCTGGGCGGGATCTGTCTTACCCCTGGGGAGAGAGGGAGAGGAGAGGAATATGGGTGCAGATTCCCCTCAAGAGACCCCAGTAGGTGGGGGGGAGGGGACGGTGTGTGTCCCTGCTTGAGTGTGTACATCTGTATGTGTACATCTGTATGTGTATGTGACTGTGAGCAGTAGGTCTCTGTGAGTGTCTGATACACCTGGACCTCTGTGTGCACTGGAGAATGACAGCTTGTGTATATATTTGGGTACCTCTTTGTGTGTTCCTGTTTGATGATGGTGTGTGTGTAAAACAAGCATGTGCCTTTTCATTACACACATACTTGTTATGACTGTGAGAGTGCATGAGGGTGTGTCTTTGAGCAGTGTGTGTGTGTGTGTGTCTGTGTGTGTGCCAGAGGGTGTTGCCTATGAATGTGTTTAACTGTGTACTGACATATTTGTCCTTATGTATGTGTGTGCGTGTGTGTGTGTGTGTGTGTGTGTGTGTGTTTGTGTGTGTGTAGGTGCCTGTCTGTACCTGTATGAAGAAAAGAATGTCCCTGGCCGGGTGCGGTGGCTCACGCCTGTAATCCCAACACTTTGGGAGGCCAAAGTGGGTGGATCCCCTGAGGTCAGGAGTTTGAAACTAGCCTGGACAACATGGTGAAACTCCATCTCTACTAAAAATACAAAAATTAGCCAGGCATAGTGCTGAGCGCCTGTAATCCAAGCTATTCAGGAGTCTGAGGCAGGAGAATCACTTGAACTTGGGAGGCGGAGGTTGCAGTGAGCTGAGATAGCGCCATTCCACTCCAGCCTGGGCAGCAGGGGCGAAACTCCATCTCAAAAAAAAAAAAAAAAAAGAAGAATGTCCCTTTCCCACTCAGTATGTATATATTGGGGGTAGGAGCCTCTGCTCAGGCTTTTCTCCCCACTTCCATGCTGTGCCTCTCAGCCCTTCAGCATCCCTATATAACACCTGTTCCTCTTCCCTCTCCTTCCAGGAGGCCTGAGTTTCCCTTCCCTGAGTGAGGGGCCTCCATAAGAGAGACTATAGGGGTCACAGGGCTGTATGATGGTGACAGCTGGCTGACACCCCTTTTCCAGAGGGTGGGGTACCAACTTCCCCTATTCTAGAAGTAGCTCCAAAGTGCCATAAGAACTCCGGGCTCACTCAACTTTGAAGTTGCTTCCTCTCTCCTCCCAGGGTGATGCTCAGGGCCTCAGGCAGAAGGAAAGGAGCCAGGGGCCCACTGGGTGTATAAGTCTTTTCTCGTCAGGCCTCTATGGAAGTAGTCCCCAGGCGTGGGATCAATGATCCCATATTACCAGGGTGTGCTAGGTCCCTGATACTCAGAGGCCCTAGCCAACTTTCCCTTCCCTATCTCTGCTGTCCTATCCATCTAACTCCTTGGCAGTTCACCCCATGCTCCCCTTCCTCTCTTACAGGCCTGTCTGAAGAGCATGCAGCCCCCTTACTCCCCGCCTGGCCTCGCCATCCCTGCCCCCCCAGCCTGACCCCCGGCCCCAGCATGGCCCAGGGTGCCATGCGCTTCTGCTCGGAAGGCGACTGTGCCATCTCCCCACCACGATGCCCACGCCGCTGGCTCCCCGAAGGCCCGGTGCCCCAGAGCCCCCCAGCCAGCATGTATGGCAGCACAGGCTCCTTGCTACGGCGAGTGGCAGGTCCAGGTCCTCGAGGCCGGGAACTGGGACGTGTGACAGCACCCTGTACACCTCTGCGTGGCCCCCCCTCACCCCGTGTTGCTCCCTCACCCTGGGCACCCTCTTCACCCACTGGGCAGCCCCCACCCGGGGCCCAGAGCTCTGTGGTCATCTTCCGCTTTGTGGAGAAGGCCAGTGTGAGGCCACTGAATGGGCTACCTGCTCCAGGGGGCTTGAGTCGGAGCTGGGATCTGGGTGGGGTTTCTCCTCCCAGGCCCACCCCAGCCCTTGGGCCTGGCTCCAACCGGAAGTTACGGCTGGAAGCATCCACATCAGACCCACTCCCCGCCAGAGGAGGCTCGGCCCTACCTGGCAGCCGGAACCTTGTACATGGGCCGCCAGCCCCACCCCAGGTTGGAGCAGATGGCCTTTACTCCTCTCTCCCCAATGGGCTGGGGGGCCCCCCTGAGCGCCTGGCCACACTCTTCGGAGGACCTGCTGACACTGGATTCCTGAACCAGGTATGCAACTTCCCCTGGGCTCCCTGGGCCCCCAGTGAAGGGGCAAGGCTCAGCCTCCTGTCAGACATGGGCTTGTCTGCTGTTCACTCTGAATCCTTTAATCTGTTCTAAATCTGCCTCTCTCTTGCCCTCTGTGTTTGTCTCTGTGTCTCTGAACCTCCATCTCTGTCGATGCATGTTTTAATTTCTGTTTCTGTCCCATATTCTTGTGTCCTTGTATGTCTGGCTTTATCTCTGGGTGCCTGTGTCTCCCTCGTTGGCTCAGGGGGATACCTGGTCCTCCCCCCGGGAAGTCTCCTCTCATGCCCAGAGAATCGCTAGAGCCAAATGGGAATTCTTCTATGGCTCCTTGGACCCCCCCAGCTCAGGTAAGGCCTGGGACTGAGGCAGGGAGAACAGGGCAGGGCCTTCCCCACAGCAGCTGAGGCTCAGTAGGGAGCCCTCCTTCAAACTTCCCCCAATCCTTGGAATTGGCTCTTGAGTCAGCCAATGTCTCCCCAGGCCTCAATCTTTCCATCTGCGCTATGATGGGAGGCTGGAGGATAGGACTGGGCAGGGCACC